>NC_000003.12:48797878-49100909 GCF_000001405.40 Homo sapiens | reverse complement strand
GTTAGCTGGCCATGGTGGCACACGCTTGTAGTTTCAGCTACTGGGAAGCTGAGGCAGGAGAAACCCAGGAGGTGGAGGCTGCAGTGAGCCAAGATGGTGCAAGATAATCAAGACTCCATCTCAAAAAAAAAGAAAATTCTGACATGAGAGTGCTCTGTGAATATCCTAGTTTGATAAACAGGATTGTGGGGCTGATGGATGATGTGGGAGTTCACAGATGGTGCAACTTTCCTAGGCCAACAATGGCATCTGTTTTCTGCGTTTTGATGACACCAACCCTGAGAAGGAGGAAGCAAAGTTCTTCACGGCCATCTGTGACATGGTAGCCTGGCTAGGTATGGACTAGGCAAAGCCTAGAAGGGCTGGTGGTTAGTGGGCCTCTCCTTGGGCCATGGCCTGCCCACTGGGTGTTTGTGGCTGGCTGCTCATACTTTGTTTCATTTTGCCCCAGGCTACACACCTTACAAAGTCACATATGCGTCTGACTATTTTGACCAGCTATATGCGTGGGCTGTGGAGCTCATCCGCAGGTAAGGCCAGGGCCATGACGTAGAGCCAGGCAGACTGACTAGGTCACAGCCATGCTGGGCACTCACACCGCTTCCCCACAGGGGTCTGGCTTATGTGTGCCACCAGCGAGGAGAGGAGCTCAAAGGCCATAATACTCTGCCTTCACCCTGGAGAGACCGTCCCATGGAGGAGTCACTGCTGCTCTTTGAGGTGGGGTCCTAGAGGAGCATCTGGGTTTGGGTGGGCCAAGGTGCTGAGAATGAGATGCTCCTGTGCTTAGAGACAGCCTGAGTCCTTGTTCCCCTCAGGCAATGCGCAAGGGCAAGTTTTCAGAGGGCGAGGCCACACTACGGATGAAGCTGGTGATGGAGGATGGCAAGATGGACCCTGTAGCCTATCGAGTCAAGTATACACCACACCACCGCACAGGGGACAAATGGTGGGTGTAGAATGGGGTGGGGTGGTGGGGCTGCCGAGCAGGGCGATGGGCCATGGGGTAGGGCAGAGTAGGGCTGGATGGTAGGGCCCACTGCCTATGCCCCACAGGTGCATCTATCCCACCTACGACTACACACACTGCCTCTGTGACTCCATCGAGCACATCACTCACTCACTCTGCACCAAGGAATTCCAGGCCCGGTGAGGGAGCTGGGTCCATGGGGTGGTAGGGCCAGTGGAATTCCAGCAGCCCTTCCTGTGGTCTCTGCCTGGTTCCAGAGCTGGCCAGTGCTAACCCTACTCTCCCACCCCAGACGCTCTTCCTACTTCTGGCTTTGCAATGCACTGGACGTCTATTGCCCTGTGCAGTGGGAGTATGGCCGCCTCAACCTGCACTATGCTGTTGTCTCTAAGAGGAAGATCCTCCAGCTTGTAGCAACTGGTGCTGTGCGGTAGGTGCGGCTGTTTGGCTTATGAAAGGTTAATGGCATATGCTCCCAAAGGCCTTCTCACCACCTTCTTATCCACAGGGACTGGGATGACCCACGGCTCTTTACACTCACGGCCCTGCGACGGCGGGGCTTCCCACCTGAGGCCATCAACAACTTCTGTGCCCGGGTATAGCCCAGCAGGTTGGGTAGATACATTGGGGGTTGAGTGTGGCAGTTTGTGATTGTAGCTGTGACTGATGCTGAACTTTCCTGCCAGGTGGGAGTGACTGTGGCACAAACCACAATGGAGCCACATCTTCTAGAAGCCTGTGTGCGTGATGTGCTGAATGACACAGCCCCACGAGCCATGGCTGTGCTGGAGTCACTACGGGTCATCATCACCAACTTTCCTGCTGCCAAGGTGGGCCTGCCTCAACATGTGTGTCACATGTGTGTGTGTAGCTGGGGGTACACTTGGCTCTGGGCATGGGGGTCCTAATGCTGAGTATGACTCATACCTGTCTCCTGTCTCCTGCTATAGTCCTTGGACATCCAGGTGCCCAACTTCCCAGCTGATGAGACCAAAGGCTTCCATCAGGTTCCCTTTGCACCCATTGTCTTCATTGAGAGGACTGACTTCAAGGAGGTAAATTGTGGGGGTGGAGGGTCCCGTTTGCTGCTGAGTCTGGTACTGGGAACCTTTCATCTCCTCATCTCTGTCAGTCCATCTACTTCCTGCTTCAGATGAACCAATCTTTGCCAGACACGGGGGTAGGGAAGCTTCCCCACTTGTTTGACCCTTGCAGCCTCATGTGTCTACCCCACTTCCTATCTCTAGGAGCCAGAGCCAGGATTTAAGCGCCTGGCTTGGGGCCAGCCTGTGGGCCTGAGGCATACAGGCTACGTCATTGAGCTGCAGCATGTTGTCAAGGTGAGAGCCAGCTGCAGCCTTCCTACTGCAGTGCCTGCTGGGGCCAAGATGTGAGTATAGCCTGCAGTCCTGGTTGTGGTTCCCGGGTCTAATTGCTGCTCCCCTCCCCCCACTTCCAGGGCCCCAGTGGTTGTGTAGAGAGTCTGGAGGTGACCTGCAGACGGGCAGATGCTGGAGAGAAGCCAAAGGCCTTTATTCACTGGGTGTCACAGCCTTTGATGTGTGAGGTTCGCCTCTATGAGCGACTGTGAGTGAACAGAGCTGGGGTGGGGGCAGGTACAAGATGCACATTGCCTGCTATGGCTGCCCAGCTGGGGGTATGACCTTCACTTTGGCTGCAGATTCCAGCACAAGAACCCTGAAGATCCTACTGAGGTGCCTGGTGGATTTTTAAGTGACCTGAACCTGGTAGGTTCATGAGGTTTGGGGTGAGGGAGGTAGGCCTCCCTGGTTGGATGGTTGCCTGAGTTCCCTGCCTGCAGGCATCACTACACGTGGTGGATGCAGCATTAGTGGACTGCTCTGTGGCCCTGGCAAAACCCTTCGACAAGTTCCAGTTTGAGCGTCTTGGATATTTCTCCGTGGATCCAGACAGCCATCAGGGAAAGGTGCTTGACTTTACTCACCTGCCCTCATCTGCAGCAGTGACAGTGGCTGCCGTTCATTGTGCCAAGTGCTCTGCATACATTCCCTTAGTTAATCCTCACCACCTGAGGGAGTTGGTATTCATATTCTACTAGTGAGGAAACTGGCACTGAGGATAACTCCAGGCACAAAATTTTGTATGAAGGCTGCCTTTTTTTTTGAGACAGTCTTGCACTGTCGCCCGGGGCTGGAGTGCAATGGCACCATCTCGGCTCACTGCAACCTCTGCCTCCCAGGTTCAAGTGATTCTCCTGCCTCAGCCTCCCGAGTAGCTGGGATTACAGGCGCCTGCCACCACACCCGGCTAATTTTTTGTATTTTTAGTAGAGATGGGGTTTCACCATGTTGGCCAGGATGGTCTCGAATTCCTGACTTCATGATCTGCCCGCCTCGGCCTCCCAAAGTGCTGGGATCACAGTCATGAGCCACTGCACCCGACCTCTTTTTTTTTTTTAATTATTATTTTTTGAGGCAGGGCATGGTGGCTCACACTTGTAATCCCAGCACTTTGGGAGGCCAAGGCAGGCTGATCACCAGAGGTCAGGGCTTACCACCAGAGGTCAGGAGTTCGAGACCACCCTGGCCAACATGGTGAAACACCCGAAAGATATTATTTTTAATATCTTTCGTTAAGGCAGCTAATAACCTTTCTTTTTATTTATTTTAGAGACGGGGTCTTACTCTTGCCCAGGGTGGTGTGAAGTGGTGCAATCATAGCTCACTGTGGCCTCAAACTACTGGGCTCAAGCTATTCTCCTGCCTTAGCTGAGACTACATGTGCACACTACCATGCCTGGCTAATTTTAAAACTTTTTGTAGAGGCAAGTTCTCACTATGTTGCCCAGGTTGGTCTTGAATTACTGGCTTCAAGCAGTCCTCCTGTCTCAGCCTCCTAGAGTGCTGGGATTATAGGCATGAGCCACTGTGCCCAGCCACCCTGCCATCCTTTTTTTTTTTTTTTTCTTTTTTTGAAACAGTATCTCGCCCTGTTGCCCAGGCTGGAGTACAGTGGCACGATCTCGGCCCACTGCAACCTCCGCCTCCCAGGCTCAAGCCATTCTCCTGCCTCAGCCTTCCAAGTAGCTGGGATTACAGGCACATGCTACCACGCCCGGCAAATTTTTTTTTTTTTTTTTTTTTTTTTTTTTTTTTTTTTGAGACGGAGTCTCACATGTCGCCCAGGCTGGAGTGCAGTGGCACAATCTCGGCTCACTGCAAGCTCTGCCTCCCGGGTTCACGCCATTCTCCCGCCTCAGCCTCCCAAATAGCTGGGACTACAGGCGCCCGCCACCACTCCCAGCTAATTTTTTCTATTTTTTAGTAGAGACGGGGTTTCACCGTGTTAGCCAGGATGGTCTCGATCTCCTGATCTCATGATCCGCCTGCCTCGGCCTCCCAGAGTGCTGGGATTACAGGCGTGAGCCACTGCGCCTGGCCTAATTTTTGTATTTTTAGTAGAGACGGGGTTTTGCCATGTTGGCCAGGCTGGTCTTGAACTCCTGACCTCAGATTATCTGCCTGTCTCAGCCTCCCAAAGTGCTGAGATTACAGGCGTGAGCCACTGCACCAGCCCACCCTGTCTTTCTTACTCCTTAAAGTAGGGGGCAAACATGGTGGTTGTTATAATCCATATAAAACTATACCCTGGACCCCCACGGTGGTTGTTATGGTCCATATAATACTATAGCCTAGAGCCCCATTCAGTCCCTTACCCAAAGTCACAAAGTTATTGAGGACCCGGGCCTCCTGACCCTTAGTCCCTCGGCTTCTTTGGCTTAAGAAGGATGTTAGGGGGAGGTGTCTGTGGTGAAACCTGCCCAGGCCTCCCTGGCCTTGTTCTGGGTTGGTGGTCATCCTTTTCCCTCTGCCCTCCAGCTTGTCTTTAACCGAACTGTCACACTGAAGGAAGACCCAGGAAAGGTGTGAGCTGGAAGCACTGAACCTACCTCATCCTCCTGGAGGGTGTGGCTACCCTCGCCACCCCAAATTCCATGTCAATAAAGAACAGCTAAATTCTCCTAGAGTCTGTGTGTTATCTCTGCACTTCTAGCATCTGAAGGCCCTGAAGACATGCTGGTGGTGGTGGTATGATTGGGGGATGGAGATGTGCCTTTTGCACATTTTGTCTGTGAGAATGGACTTTCCCAGAACAGAGTGGTACTGACAGCTTTGAAAGCACCGGTGCACTTTTTGGTGCTTAAAGGCAGGGGCCTGGGTAGGATTCATACCCTCCGCACCTGGTCTGAGAGAATGGAGGGCCCTGGGGTGTTTGTCCATGGTTAGGACCCCTGTGCCAGAGGGATCTAAAAGGTTTGTTTCTGCTGGTGTGGAGAGGCCTAGCTCCCAGTCTGATCATTCAGCATATAATTTTTTTTTTTTTTTTTTGATACGGAGTTCCACTCTAGCCCAGGCTGGAGTGCAGTGGCTCAATCTTGGCTCACTGCAACCTCTGCCTCCCGGGTTCAAGCGATTCTCGTGCCTCAGCCTCCCAAGTAGCTGGGATTACAGGCGGGCGCCACCACTCCTGAATAATTTTTGTAATTTCAGTAGAGACGGGGTTTTGCCAAATTGGCCAGACTGGTCTGGAACTCCTGACCCCAGGTGATCTGCCCGCCTCGGCCTCCCAAAGTGCTGGGATTGCAGGCGTGAGCCACTGCGCCCAATCAGCCTATAATTCTTTTTTATTTTTGAGACGGAGTCTCACTCTTGTCCCCCAAGCTGCAGTGCAATGGTGTGATCTCAGCTCACTGCAACCTCTGCCTCCCAGGTTCAAGCAGTTTTCCTGCCTCAGCCTCTTAAGTAGCTGGGATCACAGGCATGCACCACCACACTCGGCTAATTTTGTATTTTTAGTAGAGACGGGGTTCACCATGTTGGCCAGGCTGGTCTCAAACTCCTGACCTCAGGTGATTCACCCGCCTCGGTCTCCCAAAGTGTTGGGATTACAGACTTCAGCCACCGTGCCCGGCCCATTCGGCATATAATTTTTGAGTGCCTACTACGTGCCAGGCAAAGTGAGATGGGGCATACGTGCTGTGGTGGCCTTCCAAGTTCACGGGAGGGGAAATGGGTGACCAAGCACTGTATGGGAGCGGTCTCCCTGGGGCCTGTGCAAGACTGGAAGAGGTTCCTGACCCAGCCTGGGCCTCAGAAAACATTACTCTAACGAAGTGACTTCTGAAGGGAATCACGAAAGACTACGGGGAGTTTGCCAGGATAAGAGGAACAAGGGCAAAAGCTCCGAGGCAAAAAGAGTCTACAGCAGGCTGGAAGCCCTCTGGGGGCAGTGTAGGCTGCTGCTGAGGCCCGAGTGTGCCTGCAGCTTTAACGCCTTCCACATTTTCCCTGTATACAAACACTAGGCTACCCGGGGGCCCGCTTTAAGGTGGACCCAACTGCGGAAGGCTGAACTCAGATGGCAGCAGACAGCGGGAGTACCAGATGCTGACTCCTCCAGGAGGTGAGCAACCTAGAGGCTTCCCAGGCAGGGCACGGCTGGGGACGCCAGGCCCAGGACAGAAGTTTGTGGGGTCCACCTTAAGCGAGAGGCCGAGCCTGGCCAGGCCCCGCCCCGCGTGGGCGTGCTCGACCAAAGGAGGCTCTGGCGGGCGACGGAAGGTGGGTCCAAAGAGCTAGCTTGGAGCCCTAGCCTTCCGAGACTCCACTACTAGGCCAAGCCACGGCCCTAGCTCCGCCCCACATGGAGAGGCGTCCATGGGCGGAGCGAGCCGCTCCATACCCTAGGATCCACTATCCGCTCTAGCGGCCAGAAGCGCGGCCACCTTCCCCTGCTGAAGCGTTCACTTTAATTTTGGCCGGTAGGCAGTCCCAGATCTCGCGGGATCCGACGCCCCGATTATCGCGAGAGGAGCAATCGGCTCCTATTGGCTGTGAGGGTTGAATGTAAGATGGCGCCCAGGGAGCTGTGAGGAGAAAACCCTGTCGGTCTTGGAGCGACGACGGCAGAACCAGGGTCCCTGGCGGTGCGGCGGGGCCGGCGGGTGCAGCGGAGGCGGCGGCGGCGGCGGCAGTGACGTCGCCGGGTGAGGGCTCCAGTGCGGGTGGGGATGCGGCGAAGCTGTAGGCCTGAGACGGGGGGCCCACCCCACACAACGGCGGGCGGGGGCGGGCGGGCCACTACCGCTGGGCCCTGGAGAGTTCGGGGCGGCTCCGGAGCCGAAAACGTTCCTGGGCTAGCGCACCCCGCCCTGTGGATGGGGGAGGGGTGGCCCGGGGATTTGGGTGGGCGCGGCGCGAGATGGCGCGCCGGTGCGGGCGCGCGGCTGAGCCTGTTTTTACGCGCGCGCGCTGTGCGGCTCTCGGTGCGCGTGGCCGCCGACGTGCGCGTTCCCGGCCCGGATATCTCTGCTCTAGGAGCTGTGGCCCGTGGGCAACCGCGGCTTTCTGGAGCGCGCGCCCGTGACGACCCCCAGTTTTGGGGCGCGCGCTCTGATATCGGGTGGCGGTGCTGCCTCGAGAGCGCGCAGGAGGCTTCTGCTGAGCAGAGGGCCGGCCGCGGCTCGTTGCGCTGGGAAGGTTGAGGATTGGGTCCTTTCTGGTCTGGTGACGTTCCCGGGCATCCGTGGCCTCGGCCTGGAGAGAAACCAACCAGCTTTGCTGTCTGGCTTGCGGTTCCGCTCCTCTGTGAGGGGGGCGAGATTGCCCGTTCTCCTCGAAGAATGCCGTTACTTGAGGCCCAAGTACGGTGCGGGTGCTTGGGTAGGGTGTTTCTCTGCTTCGGAAACCAAGCCCTCTTGGTTTGAGAGGGCAGTGAGCCCCTTCGGATTTCCTCACCTTGTACTGGGCTTTCTGCCGGGCAGGGAAGGTTAATATTAGAAGGCCCTTGAGTGGTACCTGCTTATCTTTCATTAGAAACTAATACGTCCATAAGCGTAATTCATACACGTCACCTCTGTGCGCTCCGGAAGGGAATTCGCTTATGTGGCCCATGTGAACTCCGAGCTCTAAAATGCCAGTTTAAATCCTTAAACGCAGCTTTTCTTTTGCGTAAGTGGGAGGGGCTTACTTTATTATATTAAAGGCCCACCTTTGCCTCAGCCAAAAAGTTGGCCTTAAACAAAATGGAACAACCTGAGAATCAGTGCTTTACCTTTTTTGAAATTGCAGAAATCCCAGCAGAAATTACTAAAATCTGATAGTGTATCACTGTAAAAGTCACTTTTGGTGTAGGATTTCAGTCCTTTTCAGCTCTTTTTTTGACCCTGCCGCTGTGTTTTGGTGTCAAGGAAGTTCTAGGTTTGTTCTAGAGAAATAGGCACCTCTTTTTTCTAATACAAAACATCTGCTAGTTTGATTTACAGTCTTGCTCAATTAAGCTTAAGGAATAGGAAGCTAAGAGGAAGTAAAATTAGCCATCAAATTTGATAATGGTGGGGTAGTTCTTTCTAATGTACTGTATTGTTTTTAAGAACAAAGTTAAAATTATTAATAAAAAGAGGCTGAGGATGGAAGGAACTTTTTTGTTCTATCTTCTTCAGAATATTAGAAGTCTTAAGAACTCAGGACAAGCAGCAGAAATACATGCAACATGGTGACTGGTGAGTTAAAATTGTTCATATCCTGGAAGTATCTGTGCACAGTTTTTTTTCTGGTAATACTGAAGCATTACAAATCCTGTCAATTCTGGGTGCTGTCTTCCAGAAACTATTAGGTGCTGTAAAATGAAGATGTGGGAGAACGGCATCTTTGAATTCAGCCACAGTTCGCTACTTGCTCAGTTTTCTCCTCTTAGGATATAAGTCAGTGGAACCCGCAGATTTAAGCGTTTGCAGGCTCAGCTTTTAAACGGACCTAAATGGTTCAAAGAAAAGCTGTAAAGTTTTTCTAGGATACACTTAAAATTTTGACTTTTTTTTTTTTTTTGAGACGGAGTCTCACTCTGTCACCCAGGCTGGAGTGCAGGGGTGTGATCTCGGCTCACTGCAACCTCCGCCTCCCTGGTTGAAGCGATTCTCCTGCCTCAGTTTCCCAAGTAACTGGGATTACAGGCATGCAGCACCACACCTGGCTAATTTTTTGTATTTGTAGTATAGACGGGGTTTCACCATGTTGATCAGACTGGTCTCGAACTCCTGACCTCGTGATCCACCCGCCCTCGGCCTCCCAAAGTGCTGGGATTACAGGCGTGAGCCACCGCGCCCGACCAAATTTTGATTAATTTTTTAGGCTTGCTTGTTCTGGGTTATCTTTATTTTTAACTATTAAGCTTGAGATCTTCCTTTTAAATTGGTGTTTATAAATACTTTTTCTCCAAGTTTGTCAACTAAGATTTACTTATTAGATGTCTTCCTTCGGGTCCTCTCTGATGAATTTTTCCTATAACTCTTCGAGAACCTCTGCAGTTCCACATCCTCTCTCCAGCTTATGTTGCCATTTCAAACTAAAGATCAAATAGTGGTTTAATTTTCTTGTAAATTTGAATTGCTCTAGGAAAGTAACCAAAGTCAGGGGCTCTGGATGTGGCTGCCTTTCTTTAAGGCAGCTTCAGAATCAGGGATGTCTTTCCTTACTTTGGATATGCTTTTTTTTTTGGATATGCTTTCTTTTAGTTTAATTAGTTGTGGTTTATACTTCATGTGCCATATTTCTTTCTTGTCTGCTTTTTAAATGGCCACTCTTGATCTGTAAGGGTCTCTGATTTCTGAATTAGCCTTAGAATTAGGTGTTACATGAATACCTGTTCTTTTCTTTTTATTTTTATTATTATTTTTTGAGACGGAGTCTCGCTCTGTTGCCCGGGCTGGAGTGCTGTGGTGCAATCTTGGCTCACTGCAACCTCTGCCTCCTGGGTTCACGCCATTCTCCTGCCTCAGCCTCCGGAGTAGCTGGGACTGCAGGCTCCCGCCACCATGCCTGTCTCATTTTTTGTATTTTTTAGTAGAAACGGGGTTTTACTCTGTTAGCCAGGATGGTCTCAATCTCCTGACCTCGGGATCCTCCCACCTTGGCCTCCCAAAGTGCTGGGATTACAGGCGTGAGCCACCGCGCCTGGCCTATTACCTGTTCTTTTCTGTTATTCTGTTGTACTGCATTTTGTTCCAGATGTTTTAAGTCCTCTTCAGACTTCACTTAAATGCTTCCTTTGTATTTTTTCCTAGTTATTACATTAGATTGTGATTTCTGTTATTAAATTGATGTGGCTGCATGAAGAAATGGTAGATTAATTTCTTCCTTTGCTGAAAGAGGGAAGGAGTGCTCCTTTGGTCTCACTCTTCAGGCCAGGGCAAAACTGTAGGTAGAAATGGTGGCTGTGTCAGAAGGCTAATATTTTTCTCTTTTTCTCTTTTCTCTTTTTTTTTTTTTTTTGAGATGGAGTTTCACTCTTGTCGCCCAGGCTGGAGTGCAGTAGCACGATTTCGGCTCACTGCAACCTCCACCTTCCGGGTTCAAGCAATTCTCCTGCCTCAGCCTCTGGAGTAGCTGGAATTACAGGTGCCCGCCACCACGCTGGGCTAATTTTTTTTTTTTTTTTTTTTGAGACGTAGTCTCGCTCTGCTGCCCAGGCTGGAGTGCAGTGGCACGATCTCGGCTCACTGCAAGCTCCACCTTCTGGGTTCACGCCATTCTCCTGCCTCAGCCTCCCGAGTAGCTGGGACTGCAGGTGCCTGCCACCATGCCCGGCTAATTTTTTGTAGTTTTAGTAGAGACGGGGTTTCACCGTGTTAGCCAGCATGGTCTTGATCTCCTGACCTCGTGATCCGCCCGCCTCGGCCTCCCACAGTGCTGGGATTACAGGCGTGAGCCACTGTGCCCGGCTGATGTCTGGCTAATTTTTTGTATTTGTAGTAGAGACGGAGTTTCACTATGTTGGTCAGGCTGGTCTTGAACTCCTGACCTCGTGGTCTGCCTACCTTGGCCTCCCAAAGTGCTGAGATTACAGGCGTGAGCCACTGCGCCCGCCCATGTTTTTCTTTGTTTTAAAATTTGTGAAATATTTATCCATCCATGTAAATTTAGGCGATCTCTGTACAATTTAATGACAAATTATAAAGTAAATGCTGGCGAAAGTACTACTTTTTCAAGAAATAAAACGATGCCAGTATCTCTGAACCCTTCGTGGGTCCCTTCCTGATCACAGCTTCTCAAGCCGTACAGACAGCTGTTATTCTGTGATAACATTCTTCTTCTTTTTACATTTACCATCTCCGTAGCCCTTAACCTAGTTTAGATTTGTTTCCTTATGAGTTTTGTATAAATGGAGTCATGCTGTATTATGTTGTCTTAGCATAATGTTTCTGAAATTTGTTCACATTGTGTGCAGCTGTTCATTTCCATTTTTTATGTAGTATTCTGTTGTATGAATACACCATAAGGTATTTATCTATTCCACTATTGATAGATATCTGGGTTGCTTCCAGCTTTTGGCTCTTAACAATGCTGCTGTGAACATTCTTGTATTAAGTACCCTTGTTTAAAAAAAAGTTCCTTCATATATACTGATGGGTAAAATTGCTCAGGTTCGTGGAATGGATATTTTCAGCTTCACTAGATAATGCAAGTGGTTGTGCCAGTTTACAATCCGTCAATATTTGGGAAAAATACAAATTTTAGTTTCCTGATTGAAAATAGAACCATGGCCGGGTGCAGTGGCTCATGCCTGTAATCCCATTACTTTAGGAGGCCAATGCGGGCGGATCACCTAAGGTCAGGAGTTCCAGACCAGCCTGGCCAACATGGTGAAATCCCGTCTCTACTAAAAATACAAAAATTAGCAGGGCATGGTGATGGGCGCCTGTAATCCCAACTACTCGGGAAGATGAGGCAGGAGAATCGCTTGAACCTGTAGGCGGAGGTTGCAGTGAACTGAGAGGGCACCATTGCACTCCAAGCTGGGGGACAGAGCGAGACTCCATTTAAAAAAAAAAAAAGAAAAGAAAAAAAGAAAATAGAACCGTGATGAAAATGCCCCTAAACCAGGGACTCCTCTGGCATGGGGCATATAAATGGCCTAATGGGATAACTTCTATCACAAACCCTGCAGTTGGCTAGTATCCTTAAAAATCGAAATATGGGTGGAACACAGTGCCTCATGCCTGTAATCCCAGCAGTTTGGGAGGCCAAGGTGGGAGGATTGCTTGAGCCCCGGAGTTGGAGACCAGCCTGGGCAAGATGGCAAGACCCCATTTCTACAGAAAAATAAAAATAGCTGGATGTGGTAGCATGGACCTGTAGTCCCAGCTACTCGGGAGGCAGAGGCAGGAGGATTGTTTGAGCCCAGGAGTGTGAGGCTGCAGGGATCTATGAATGCACCACTGCATTTTATCCTGGGTAGTGGAGCAAGACCTTGTCTCATTAAAAAAAAAAAAAAAAAAAAAACAGACAAAAGCCTGGTGCAGTGGCTCAGGCATGTAATCCCAGCACTTTGGGAGGTCGAGGGGGGCCGTGGAAATGAACTCCTCACCTGAGGTCAGGAGTTCGAGAACAGCCTGGCCAATATGGTGAAACCCCGATTCTACTAAAAATACAAAAAAATTAGCTGGGCTGGGTGGCGTGCGCCTGTAGTTCAAGCTACTAGGGAGGCTTGAGGCAGGAGAACCACTTGAACCTGGGAAACGGAGGTTGCATTGAGCCGAGATGATGCCATTGCACTCCATCCTGGGTGAGAAAACGAGACTTCGTCTCAAAAAAATAAAAATACAAAGAAACAAAACCCAGGCAAAAGAATAGAAATACGTCAATTCTGGTCGGGCACGGTGGCTCACGCCTGTAATCCCACCACTTTGGGAGGCCGAGGCGGGCAGATCATGAGGTCAGGAGATCGAGAGCATCCTGGCTAGCACGGTGAAACTTTCTCTCTACTAAAAAATACAAAAAAATTAGCTGGATGTGGTGGCGGGCGCCTGTGGTCCCAGCTACTTGGGAGGCTGAGGCAGGAGACTGGCGTGAACCCGGGAGACAGAGCTTGCAGTGAGCCGAGATTGTGCCACTGCATTCCAGCCTGGGTGACAGAGTGAGACTCTGTCTCAAAAAAAAAAAAATAAATGAAATAAAATGAATATATTCACATGGAAAAAAAATCAATTTCCATTTTAAGGAGTCATGTCTGTCTTATAAACATATGGAGTTATTTCAAAGAAGCATAGAAGACATTGTTCTTTTTTTTTTTTTTTTTTTTTGAGATGAACCTCCGCCTCCTGAGTTCAAGCAATTCTTCTGCCTCAGCCTCCCGAGTAGCTGGGACTACAGGCGCATGGTACCCCGCCTGGCTAATTTTTGTATTTTTAGTAGAGATGGGGTTTCACCATGTTGGCCAGGCTGGTCTTGAACTCCTGACCTCGTGATATGCCCGACTCGGCCTTCCAGCGTGCTAGGATTACAGGCATGAGCCACTGCACCTGGCCTATTTTTTTATTTTTATTTTTTTTAAATTTATTTTTCTTATTATTTTTTGAGATGGAGTCTTGCTCTGTTGCCCAGGCTGGAGTGCAGTGGTGCGATCGTGGCTCACTGCAACCTTCGCCTCCCGGGTTCAAGTAATTCTCCTGCCTCAGCTTCCCTAGTAGCTGGGACTACAGGCACCACACCTGGCTAATTTTTGTATTTTTAGTAGAGACAGGGTTTCACCATATTAGCTAGGCTGGTCTCAAACTCCTTGTGATCTGCCTGCCTCAGCCTCCCAAACTGCTGGGATTATAGGCGTGAGCCACTGTGCCTGGCCTATTTTATTTTATTTTTTTGAGACAGAGTTTTGCTCTTGTTGCCCGGGCTGGAGTGCAGTGGCGCGATCTCGGCTCACTGCAACCTCCGGCTGCTGGGTGCAAGTGATTCTCCTGCCTCAGCCTCCCGAGTAGCTGAGGTTACAGGTGCCCACCACCACGCCTGGCTAATTTTTGTGTTTTTGGTAGAGATGGGATTTCACCACGTTGGCCAGACTGGTCTTGAACTCCCAACCTCAGGTGATCCGCCCACCTCAGCCTCCCAAAGTGCTGGGGATTACAGGCGTGAGCCACTGCACCGGGCCCCATATGAATGTATTCAAACTGGACTAAGCTATGAAGAGCCATTGTTGGAGTAGATGTGAACCTTGAGGGGCCTCAAAGCCCAAGGAAGAGGTAAGGTTCTGAGGCAGTTCAGACTTCTTTTAGTCCATCACGGATTGAAGACTCACTCTGCAGAGCCATACAGGGGGCCCAAAAGAGGTATCAGGGATAAGAAACCCAAGAAACAGTGATTGCAATAAGATCTTCCCTTGGTACCTAAACGGAAAAAAGAAAAAAATTAGCAAACAGACCTATAGAAATGTAATAGATTGTTGTTTTGGAGTAACCTTTGTCCATGGTACCATCTTATGTTCTAATAATAAAATAATAAAAATAATAACTCATGTAGTGAAGAATTGCTGTGCATCAGGCACTATGCTAAGCTCCAGTAGGAGGAAATACAGAGGAGCCAGGCGCAGTGGCTCACACCTGTAATCCCAGTTTTGGGAGGCTGAGGATCACGAGGTCAGGAGATCGAGACCATCCTGGCTAACACGGCGAAACCCCGTCTCTACTAAAAATACAAAAAAATTAGCCGGGCGTGGTGGTGGGTGCCTGTAGTCCCAGCTACTTGGGAGGCTGAGGCAGGAGAATGGTGTGAATCCAGGAGGTGGAGCTTACAGTGAGCCGAGATCGCACCATTGCACTCCAGCCTGGGCGACAGAGTGAGACTCCATCTCAAAAAAAAAAAAAGAAAAAGAAAAAGAGGGAGATACAGAGGAGATACCAGTGAACAATTTGATTTTATACCAGCAAAAATGTCCAGGGTCTGTTTAAGGGAGGGCTGGCTTTCCTTTATTGTTACTTATTTTTTTTTTTTTACAATGCAGCTATATTTAAAAGCGTTTAGAAGTAAATGCTTGTTTACAGACCTCATACACCCCAAGAGCATTAGAGTATTTTCTTTTTTCATTATTAGTCTCATCAGAGTCCCAGAAATTGGGAACACTCAGATATCCTCATGGCTGCATGTTTTTCAGAAATACTTTAATTAATTTCTTTATTGCTTCTTACTAAGTCTTTTACTTGGAGCTAATTAAGAATCTTTTGTCTCTTTTAGAAGTTTCTCCATTTCTCTTTATTACGAAGGCTCAACTTTTGTGTCTTATGTGCAGCATCTTGAAGTTAAGTCTTCATTATTTTGTACAAGTTTTTGGTATTTTATGGTTTAGTTTCTTTTTCTTTTTTTTTTTTTTGAGATGGAGTTTTGCCCTTGTTGCCCAGGCCGGAGTGCAGTGGCATGGTCTTGGCTCACTGCAACCTCCACCTCCCAGGTTCAAGCGATTCTCCTGTCTCAGCCTTCCGAGTAGCTGGGATTACAGGCACGTGTCACCACACCTGGCTAATTTTTTTTGTATTTTTAGTAGAGGCGGGGTTTCATCATGTTGGTCAGGCTGGTCTCAAACTACTGACCTCAGGTGATCCACCCACCTCGGCCTCCCAAAGTGCTGGGATTACAGGTATGAGCCACCTCGTTCGGCAGGTTTAGTTTCTTTCAGATTTTGAAAGAAAATCGTACTATGATCAACCAGAATTACGTGTCTGTTACCATTACTACACTATAACCACTTGTATTTTTAGTAGAGATGGGGTTTCACCGTGATAGCCAGGATGGTCTCGATCTCCTGACCTGGTGATCCGCCTGCCTCGGCCTCCCAAAATGCTGGGATTACAGGCATGAGCCACCTCTTTCGGCCGGTTTAGTTTCTTTCAGATTTTGAAAGAAAATCATACTATGATCAGCCAGAATTATGTGTCTTACCATTACTACACTATAGCCACTGTGTAGAAAAAGATGATTTTTTTTTTTTTGAGACGGAGTCTTGCTCTGTCGCCCAGGCTGGAGTGCAGTGGCACGATCTTGGCTCACTGCAAGCTCCACCTCCCAGATTCACACCATTCTCCTGCCTCAGCCTCCCGAGTAGCTGGGACTACAGGCGCCCAACACCACACCCGGCTAATTTTTTTGTATTTTTAGTAGAGACGGGGTTTCACCGTGATAGCCAGGATGGTCTCGATCTCCTGATCTGGTGATCTGCCTGCCTCGGAAAGTGCTGGGATTACAGGCGTGAGCCTTAGATTAATACCACTTGTGGAAAATTCAGAAGAGTGTTTAACAGAAGAAACTTAATTACTCTGTGGTTCCATCATCTAGGCATAACTACTGTTAGCATTCCTTTTTATCATTTTTTGAGGTGGAGTCTCACTCTTTCCCCAGGCTGAAGTGCAGTGGCGCAGTCTCAGCTCACTACAACCTCCGCCTCCCGGATTCAAGCAATTCTCCTGCCTCAGCCTCTAGAGTAGCTGGGATTACGGGTGGCTGCCACCATGCCCTGTTAGTTTTTGTATTTTTAGTGGAGATGGGGTTTCACCATGTTGGCCAGGCTGGTCTCACAATCTTGGCTGGATGTGATGGCTCACGCCTGTAATCCTAGCACTTTGGGAGACCGATGCTGTGGATCGCTTGAGGTCAGGAGTTTGAGTACATCCTGACCAACATGGCGAAATCCCGTCTCTACTAAAATACAAAAATTAGCTGGGCATGGTGGCGGGTGCCCGTAATCCCAGCCACTTTGGAGGCTGAGGCAGGAGAATTGCTTGAACCTAGGAGGCGGAGGTTTCAGTGAGCCAGGATCGTGCCACTACGCTCCAGCCTGGGCGACAGAGCAACACTGTGTCTCAATAAAAATAAAAATAAAAAAGAATTTAGGCTGGGTGTGGTTGCTCATGCCTGTAATCCCAGCACTTTGGAAGGTGGAAGCGAGTGGATTACCTGAGGTTAAGAGTTCGAGACCAGCCTGGCCAACATGGCAAAACCTCATCTCTACTAAAAATATAAAAATTAGCCGGATGTGGGCCGGGTGCGGTGGCTCATACCTGTAATCCCAGCACTTTGGGAGGCTGAGGCGGGTGGATCATGAGTTTAGGAGTTCAAGACCAGCTTGGCCAAGATGGTGAAACCCTGCCTCTACTAAAAATACAAAAATTAGCCAGGCACGGTGGCAGGTGCCTGTAATCCTAGCTACTCGGGAGGCTGAGGCAGGAGAATCGCTTGAACCTGGGGGGCACGGAGGTTGCAGTGAGCCAAGATTGTGCCTCCTGGGTTCAAGCGATTCTCCTGCCTCAGCCTCCCAAGTAGCTGGGACTACAGGTATGCAGCACCACACCTGGCTAATTTTTTTTTTTTGAGATGGAGTCTCACTCTGTCACCCAAGCTGGAGTGCAGTGGCATGATCATAGCTCATTGCAGGCTCAAACTGCTGGGATCAAGCCATCCTATCCTCCTGCCTCGGCCTCCCAAGTAGCTGGGACTACAGGCGAGAACCACCATGCCAAGCTTAGTATTGATATTTTCTAATGGTTTTATGGAATTTTTCCTACCTCAAGCTTGTTTGTCTTTTAAATTATTACTATTATTTCTAAGAGATGGGATCTCACTGTGGTGCCCAGGTTGGAGTGCTGTGGCTATCCACAGACAGGATTCTACTACTGCAGTATGGAAGTTTTGACCTGCCCCATTTCCAACCTGGGGTGGTTCACCCCTCTTTAGGCAACCTGGTGATTCCCTGCTCCCTTGAAGTCACCATATTGATGCTGAACTTAGTGTGGACACCCGATTGGCATAGAGCACTATAGCCCAGAACTCCTGGACTACTCAAGCAATCCTCCTGTTTCAGTCTCTTGAGTAGCTGGGACTGCAGGCATGCACCATCATCCCAGGCTCCCCCCCCCCCTTTTTTTTTTTTTTTTGAGACAGAGTCTCACTTTGTCGCCAGGCTGGAGTGCAATGGTGCGATCTTGGCTCACTGCAACCTCCGCCTCCCAGGTTCAAGCGATCCTCCTGCCTCAGCCTCCCAAGTAGCTGGGATTACAGGCATGCTCTACCATGCCCAACTCATTTTGTATTTTTAGTAGAGACGGGGGTTCTCCATGTTAGTCAGGCTGGTCTCGAACTCCCGACCTCAGGTTATCCACCTTCCTTGGCCCCCCAAAGTCCATAGTGCTAGGATTACAGGCGTGAGTCACCACACCTGGCCTTTTTTTCTTTTTTTTTTTTTTTGAGACGCAGTCTTGCTCTGTCGCCCAGGCTGGAGTGCAGTGGTGTGGTCTCGGCTCACTGCAAGCTCTGCCTCCCAGGTTTACGCCAGTCTCCTGCCTCAGCCTCCCGAGTAGCTGGGACTACAGGCGCCTGCCACCACGCCAGGGTAATTTTTTGTATTTTTAGTAGAGACAGGGTTTCACCGTGTTAGCCAGGGTGGTCTCGATCTCCCGACCTCGTGATCCACCCACCTCAGCCTCCCAAAGTGCTGGGATTACAGGCGTGAGCCACCGTGCCCGGCTTTTTTTTTCTTTTTTTTTAAATGGAAGGCTTAAAGAATGGATTTTGATGGTTTATAGCAAGTAACTTTTTGAAGCTTTTATTTTTTCTGACAGCTGAATATCTAGCTTATTTGCCTTTTTGCTCAGGAAATAAATGTATATTTGGACTAGAGTTTCTTATAGTAACTTTTTAAAGGTACTATTCTAGAAATACTGGCTGGTAGGATTTATTTGGAGATGACATAGGCAGCAGAATTGTTTTAATCATATCTTTGGAACCTTGATTGACAAAAAATATGTTCTGGACTTTGGTATGAAATGTATTCTAAAACTAAAATATTGATTAAATAGAAGTTATATTCACTTAGCTAAATGTTTGTCAAAAATAGAGGACACCTTGCTGGGCGCAGTGGCTCATGCCTGTAATCCTAGCACTTTGGGAGGTTGGGCAGATCGCTTGAGGTGAGGAGTTTGAGACCAGGCTGGCCAACATAGCAAAACTCCATCTCCACTGAAAATACAAAAATTAGCCGGGTATGGGGGCAGGTGCCTTGTAATTCCAGCACTTTGGGAGGCCAAGGCCAGCAGATTACAAGGTCAGGAGTTCGAGACCAGCTTAGCCAACACGGTGATACCCTGTCTCTACTAAAAATACAAAAATTAGCTGGGCATGGTGGCGTATGCCTGTAATCCCAGCTACTTTGGAGACTGAGGCAGGAGAATGGCTGGGACCCGGGAGACAGAGGTTGCAGTGAGTAGAGATGACGCCACTGCACTCCAACCTGGGCTACAGAGCAAGACTCTGTCTCAAAAAAAAAAAAAATAGAAGGCTTCGGCCAGGCATGGTGGCTCACGCCTGTAATCCCAGCAGTTTGGGAGGCCGAGGTGGGCAGATCTCTTGAGCCCAGGAGTTTGAGAACAGCGTGGGCAACATGGCAAAACCCTGTCTCTCTAACAAATACTGTAATTAGCTGGGCGTGATGGTACACGCCTGTAGTCCCAGCCGCTTGGGCGGCTCAGGTGAGAGGAACAATTGATCCCAGGAGGTTGAGGTTGCAGTGAACCAAGATCTTACCACTGCACTCCATCCTGGGTGATAGAATAAGACCTTGTCTAAAGAAACCAACAACAAAAAATCAGGGGTGTGGAACTTTAATTTCCTGATCTTACATAGTGAGAACTCCATAGATACTCTGAAATTTTTTTTTTTTTTTTTTTAAGATGGAGTCTCACTCTGTTGCCTAGGCTGGAGGGCAGTGGTGCAGTCTCGGCTCACTACAACCTCCATCTCCTGGGTTCAAGTGATTCTCCTGTCTCAGCCTCCTGAGTAGCTGGGATTACAGGAATGTGCCATCATGCCCGGCTAATTTTTATATTTTTAGTAAAGGCAGGGTTTCACCATGTTGGCCAGGCTGGTCTCGATCTCCTGCCCTCAGGCGATCCACCCAGCTCAGCCTCCCAAAGTGCTGGGATTAGAGGCCTGAGCCACCGCACCTGGCCAATACTCTAAAATTAATGAGTCTGCAAGTAGAGGCTTAAAGGTATGAAAGTAATCATAACAAAACTAAGAATAAAAATGTGATTGGCAGGGTTTGGTGAGAGGAGGGTGATTTTTAGTTTTTTATTTATAATTTTTTTAGGCTTTTTTTTTTTTTTTTTTTTTTTTTTGAGATGGAGTTTCGTTCTTGTTGCCCAGCCTGGAGTGCAATGGCATGATGAAGAACTAGAGGTCAAAGCATACTTAGCTGTTTTTACTTTTTATTTTATATCTTTTTATACTATTATAATGGTTTTTCTTAGTTGAGTTTCATATCCCTGTCCCCAACCCCCCAAGAAACCTCCAAAAACAAAACAAAAACTAGGTGGAATTCTATACTGAATACTGAAGAAAGCTTGTTTCTAGGAAGAAAAGAAGAAAAGTCGGTGAAATTATCCTTTACACTTAATATCAGAGTTGAGGTGAGGCTTAAGCTGCCCCTTCTGAGTTTCTGAAACTTGAAATACAAGAGTGAGGAGAAATAGGGTTACTAGGAGGATCATAGAGACTGGCTTTACTGGGCAATAGTCACGAAGGTTTTTCAGTTCTGTAAACTTTGTTTGAGGTGTTTCTTTTTTCTTGTTTTTTTTTAAATTATTTTTTGTTGTTGTTTTTGTTTTGTTTGATATTGAATTCCCATCTACTCCGTTGGGAAGCAGTGTTTCTTTGTATTGGTGTTTAGTCATTTGTTTTTTCCCAGACTTCAGACAAAACAGGTTTTTGCTGCATGTAAAAACGCTTTACTTTTGTACCTTAAAAAAAAAATTGCTTTTTATAGTAGCTTTGAAAATTTAATCAGTCTCAGTATATTATGTGAATGCAACTGACAGTTGAAGAAAATACATTTCAGGAAATGTAAATTCCAGCTGACCTCTGCTGCTCTTTTATAATGGAGATGAAAAACTGAAATTATGTACCAGCATGGTAGAGGACCTGTTAATGGCTGCTCATATAATCTCTCCTTTGTCCCCTTTTGAGCAGAAGGGTATATGTGATTAGATATTAGAGTTTCATAACTTTCTAATGTTACCGGATCTCTATTATGAAAGATGCCTTTTTTTTTTTTTTTGAGATAGAGTCTCAGTCTGGCGCCCAGGCTGGAGCGCAGTGGCACGATCTCGGCTCACCGCAACCTCTGCCTCCTGGGCTCAAGCAATTCTCCTGCCTCGGCCTCCCGAGTAGCTGGTATTACAGGTGCCTGACACCATGCCTGGCTAATTTTTGTATTTTTAGTAGAGACAGGGTTTCGCCTTGTTGGCCAGGCTGGTCTCAAACTCCTGACCTCAGGTGATCTGCCTGCCTTTGCCTCCCAAAGTGCTGGGATTACAGGCGTGAGCCACCGCACTGGGCTGAAAGATGCCTTCTTAAGGAAATCGCTACTGTGCTATTAACAAAGGGGAACTTTGATACATTCTGTGCAAGTGTGGCAAATGAGTGCTCTCGGATCACCTAAGCCAAGTAGCCTTCTCTGAATCTGTAGTTAGGCAAAGTGTGCTTGGCCTGATGCTCTCTTTATGTGTGATGTGGACATCGTTGACCACTTAATTATTATTATTTTATTATAGTATTTTATTATAATTGTTATAATATTTAATTATTATAATTATAATATTTTTATATTTATGTAAAAATTATATTTATATTACATAATTGTAATTATTATAATATTTTATTATAATTATTTATTTTATTTTATTTATTTATTTCTTTTAACAGATGAAAGTCTCTCTAGGTTTCCCAGCCCAAAGACCTGGTCTCAAGCAATCCTCCACCTCAGCCTCCTGAGTAGCTGAGACTACATGTGTGCACCACTGTGACCAGCTGATAACTTAATTTTTTTGTTTGTTTGTTTGTTTGTTTTTTTTAGACAGAGTTACGCTCTGTCGCCTAGGCTGGAGTGCATTCGAGTGATCTCGGGTCACTGCAGCCTCGATCTCTGGGCTCAAGCAATCCTTCTACCTTAGCCTCCGTAGTAGCTGGGACTACAGGTGCATACCACCATACCCAGTTAATTTTTATATATTTTTTGTAGAGATGGGGTTTCTCCATGTTGCCTGGGCTGAGGTGGAAGGATTGCTTGAGTCCGTGGAGCTATGGATATTACAGAAACCAATTGGGTGGCTCACGTCTATAATCCCAGCACTTTGGGAGGCCGAGGCGGGAGGGTCACCTGAAGTCAGGAGTTTGAGACCAGCCAGGCCAACATGGCAAAACCCAGTCTCTACTAAAAATACATAAATTAGCTGGGCATGGTGGTGGGCACCTGTAGTCCCAGCTACTCGGGAGGCTGAGGCAGGAAAATCACTTGAACCTGGGAGGCTGCAGTGAGCCGAGATCGTGCCACTGCACTCCAGCCTGGGCGACAGAGGGAGACTCCAACTCAAAAAAAAAAAAAAAAAAAAAGGACAGGTGTGGTGGCTCACGCCTGTAATCTCAGCACTTTGGGAGGCTGAGGCAGGCGGATCACGAGGTCAGGAGATCGAGACCATCCTGGCTAAGATGGGGAAACCTCGTCTCTACTAAAAATACAAAAAAATTAGCTGGGCGTGGTGGTGGGCGCCTGTAGTCCCAGCTACTCGGGAGGCTGAGGCAGGAGAATGGTGTGAACCCAGGAGGTGGAGCTTGCAGTGAGCCAAGATCAAGCCACTGCACTCCAGCCTGGGCAACAGAATGAGACTCCATCTCAAAAAAAAAAAAAAAAAAAAAAAAAAGGAACCATAATTCTTCGTTTTCCACATTGAATTTCAAATGCAGCAGGTATATATGAAGCAACTACCATGGGTGAGCTATTCGGAGAGAACCAGGACATAGTCTTGTCTACCAAGAACTTAGAGCCTAGGTAGAAGAAAGGAGACGTTTACCCACATATTTTATATCTGTAACATAAGGTAGAGCATCTGGTCAGTCTAGTGTATCTATCCTGATTGCTCAAGGGAACAAATCACCTTTCCAGACATTCAGAATTGTCTGATAATCCTTTTTGGCAAAAACGTTCGCTTGTTTTCTGTTACTCTTTCATCCTGCTGCTACTTTTGTTCTGGAGGTCGGGCTGTTGAAGGGAGGATGGTACAAAGGTAGCAGCGACAGGGGTCAGCAGTCCACAGATTGCACACTTTTCCCTCAGATGATGAGAGTTAACTGTACGTCTGCAGGTTAATTCTTAAGGTAATTAAATACCTGATGAAAACTTGTAGAATTTATTTCTGAATTTTAGTAGTGACCTGGATATTTAAAGCACTATTTACCTTTTTTCCAGAATTATTTTAATAGTATTAGTTACATTTCTGTAGTGCTATCTATGTGCTAGATGATTTTCTAAATGCCTTATTTAATCCTTATGTCAACTGTGAGGTAAGTACTATTGTGTCCCCATTTACTCACAAGAAAACTAAGGTTAATTGACTTTTCTAGAGTTACATAATAAAGGAGACATAAAGTTGGGATTTGAACCCAGGCAGCCTGGCTCCAGAGTCCATGCTTTTAACCAGTAGTAAGCTGTGTTGCAAAAGAATGTGAGCACCACATGGCAAAATAGGATTTTTGGTTTTTCTGATGGGAGATGAAGAACATATCCTCTGCCTCTTGTGTCTTGCCACAACTAGGTGGCATACCTATCTCTGCTGTAGGAAATACTTGGAAATAAAACATATCCATAGGAATCCCTGCCCCTAGCTTCCTCCTTGCTTGGTGTCCTCTCTGTGATGGTCACAGAGCAGTTTTGCATGTGACATTTACTGTCCAGTGCTTGGCTCTGCAGAGAAGATGGGATTGACCTAGTGCTGGGTAGGAAGTGTGTTTTCAGCCTGTTTCATCCAGTATTGTGAAGCATGTGTTTGTTTTTTTGTTTTCAGTGTGATAGTTTTATTTAAGAAATGTTAATAGAAATAATTTTCAAACATCCATTAATTGAAAAAATAAGGTGGTATAATAAAACTTTATTTTTTGATTCTATATGTATACAGCTGCCCTGAATATATTCCACTCTTGTGCAAGGGTAATTGCTTCTGGGCATTTCCTGCTAAAAACAGTAACATAATTTTGACTTCTGTTTATTTCTAGGAACCCTAAGGACTCTGCAATATGAATAATTCCCTAGAGAACACCATCTCCTTTGAAGAGTACATCCGAGTAAAGGCACGGTCTGTCCCGCAACACAGGATGAAGGAATTTCTGGACTCACTGGCCTCTAAGGGGCCAGAAGCCCTTCAGGAGTTCCAGCAGACAGCCACCACTACCATGGTGTACCAACAGGGTGGGAACTGCATATACACAGACAGCACTGAAGTGGCTGGGTCTTTGCTTGAACTTGCCTGTCCAGTCACCACCAGTGTTCAGCCACAAACCCAGCAAGAACAGCAGATCCAGGTTCAGCAGCCGCAGCAGGTTCAGGTATATGGGAAATGCTGAGGTGCAGCCTGTTTAATGTACTTTATTTGTTGTCAGTGTTTTAGTTAGTGGGCTCATCACATCTATGTGGATGTTATAGGTTATTTAACACTAAGATTTTCAAAGTTAATGTGGACTAAAAGTTTTTTCTTTCTTCTCCTTTTTCTTTAAGCTTTTTTTTTTTTTTAAACAAACCCCAGTGTCAAGGACTGACTTTGAATAGATTGCAGCCAGGGATCTGCTTAGCTACCTAGGAAACCCCAACCCAGAAGCGGGTCATCTATGATTGGTTTAGCATCAGGTTCAACGTGACTTGCGTGATGAGTGAGGGGGCGCCACCTTTCTGGCAGCACCTTTTCCCAGGATGAGGGGCTCTCCACACCGGAACCCGGTCCCGGCACGTGACCCCGCCGGCGGCGATGTCAGTGATGGTGGGGGACTGGCTTTCCGAGGCTGACCAACACTGTGGTGCTGCCATGTCATTGTACTTGGGTTGTTTTCTTTGTTTGTTTCTTCTTTTTTTGAGATGGAGTCTTGCACTGTGGTCCAGGATGGATTCTCCTGCCCCAGCCTCCTGAGTAGCTGGGATTCCAGGTGCCTGCCAACACACTCGGCTAATTTTTTATACTTTTAATAGAGACGGGGTTTCACTATGTTGGCCAGGCTGGTCTTGAACTCCTGACCTCATGATCCACCTGCCTCCTTATCCAAAAGTGCTGGGATTACAGGCATGAGCCACCGCACCCGGCCACACCTGGGTTGTTTTTTTCTTTTCTTTTTTGAGACAGAGTCTCATTCTGTCACCCAGGCTGGAGTGCAGTGGTGCATTCTTGCCTCTGTCCCCCGGGTTCAAGCTATTCTCATGCCTCAGACTCCTGAGTAGCTGGGACTACAGGTGTGCACTACCACCCTCAGCAATTTTTGTTGTATTTTTAATACAGACTGGGTTTCCCCATGTTGGGCTTGAACTCCAGACCTCAAGAGATCTGCGTGCCTTGGCCTCCCAAAGTGCCAAAGTGCTGGGATTACTGGTGTGAGCCACCATGCCCAGCCTTTTTTTTGTTTGTTTGTTTTTTCTTTGAGTTGGAGTTTCGCTCTTGTTGTCCAGGCTAGAATGCAATGGAGCCATCTCGGCTCACTGCAACCTGCACCTCTTGGGTTCAAGCGATTCTCCTACCTCAGCTTCCTGAGTAGCTGGGATTGCAAGCATGTGCTACCACGCCCGGCTAATTTTTGTATTTTTAGTAGAGACTGGGTTTCACCTTGTTGGCCAGGCTGGTCTCGAACTTCTGACCTCAGGTAATCTGCCCTTCTCGGGCTCCCAAAGTGCTAGGATTACAGGCATGAGCCACGGCGCCTGACTTTTTTTTTTTTTTTTTTTGAGGGACAGGGTCTTGCTCTGTCACCTAGGCTGGAGTGCAGTGGCACGATCACTCCTCACTGCAGCTTTGACCTCCAAGGCTTAAGCGATCATCCAGCCTCAACCTCCAAGTAGCTGGGACCACAGGCATGTACCACCACGTGCAGCTAATTAATTAATTTTTTTTTTTTTTGTAGAGATATAGTCTCCCTATGTTGCCCAGGCTGGTCTTGAACTCTTGGCCTCAAGATATTCTCCTGCCTTGGCCTCCCAAAGAGCTGAGATTACAAATATGAGCTGCCATGCCTGGCCTTAAAAATATTTTCGAGTACTGTAAACTAAAAACACCACAGATATTTGGTCTTTTTTATTTAAGATGGAGTCTCGCTCTGTTGCCCAGGCTGGACTGCAGTGGTGCAATCTCAGCTCACTGCAAGCTCTGCCTCCCAGGTTCACGCCATTCTCCTGCCTCAGCCTCCCAGGTAGCTGGGACTACAGGCAGCTGCCACCACGCCCAGCTAATTTTTTTGTGTTTTTAGTAGAGACGGGGTTTCACCATGTTAGCCAGGATGGTCTCGATCTCCTGACCTCGTGATCCACCTGCCTCGGCCTCCCAAAGTGCTGGGATTACAGGCATGAGCCACTGCGCCTGGCCCAAATATTTGATCTTTGCTGTGGAGAGCTGAATAGTTTTGAAATTAGAGATCTTTTGGTACTGGGTTTAGGTGTGATAGCTTCATATGACTGAGGCTTCCTTTCTTTTCTTTTGTATTTTTTCCTGAGATGGAGTCTCGCTCTGTCCCCCAGGCTGGAGTGCAGTGGTGTGACCTTGGCTCTCTGCAAGCTCCGCCTCCCGGGTTCACGCCATTCTCCTGCCTCAGCCTCCCGAGTAGCTGGGACTACAGGCGCCAGCCACCATGCCTGGCTAATTTTTTGTATTTTAAGTAGAGACGGGGTTTCACCATGTTAGCCAGCATGGTCTCGATCTCCTGACCTCATGATCCGCCCACCTCGGCCTCCCAAAATGCTGGGATTACAGGTGTGAGCCACCACGTCCATCTGAGGCTTCCTTTCTATTTGTGTCATCCTGAATAGAGACAGAACACAGGAGGGCTGGTCTTGGCTGATTACTGATAGTGTAACATTTGAAATTAATTTAAAAATGGAAAGGCTGATGTATTTCAGTGATCTTCATTAACTTGTGTGATTCCATAACTCAGATTACGTATGGATTTCTGGGTCTGTGTTTGTTGTTTCTAAACCACAAAACGGCTAAGTGCATTTGTGAATGCCTGTAATCCCAGCACTTTGGGATGCCAAGGTGGACGGATCATTGAGTCCAGAAGTTTGAGGCCAGCCTGGGCAACATGGCAAAACCCCGTCTCTACAAAAAATAAAAAAAAATTACCCAGGGATGGTATGTACTTGTAGTCCCAGCTATTTGGGAAGCTGAGGTGGGAGGATTGCTTGAGCCCAGGAGGTTAAAACCAGCCTGGGCAACATGGTGAAACCCTGTTTCTACCAAAAATAAGAAAAAATTAGCTGGGTGTGGTGATGCACGCCTATGGTCTTAGCTACTAGGGAGGCCGAGATGGGAGAATCGCTTGAGCCTGGGAGGTGGAGGTTACAGTGAGCTGAGATCGTGCCACTGCACTCCAGCCTGGGTGACAGAGTGAGATCCCATCTCAAAAAAAATAAAAATAAAAATTGTAAGGCACAAAAAAATAATGCTAATTGATGATAAACTTTCTGAAAGACGAGAAACTAGTACATTTGTTGAGAAGGTAAAATGTTTTCCTTTTTTTTTTTTTCGAGATGGAGTCCCACTGTGTCACCCAGGCTGGAGAGCAGTGGCGTGATCTCAGCTCACTGCAACCTCTGCCTCCTGGGTTCAAACGATTCTCCTGCCTCAACCTCCTGAGTAGGTGGGATTCCAGGCACCTGCCACTGTGCCGGCTAATTTTTGTATTTTTAGTAGAGACAGGGTTTCACCATGTTGGTCAGGCTGGTCTTGAACTTCTGATCTCAGGTGATCCACCGGCCTTGGCCTCCAAAGTACAGGTGTGATCCACCGTGCCTGGCCAAAGTTTTCCTCTTTAGAGGTCTTTATGTGAGATAACAGGCTCCTCTAGTTGCAAATGCAGTTTTCTTGCCATTGTCTATTATGGTTTAATTTCATTGTATTCTGGAAGTCTTTTTATACTAAGAGGATAGGAAAGGGACTGAAACATGCTGGAGAGGCAGGAGTATGGAGAGGTGTGCCTGGTGAGATAGAAGGTTTCCCTTTCCTTCATTTTTTCTGTTTTTTTTTTAAGAGACAGGATTTCACTTGCCCAGGCTGGAGTGCTGTGACATGATCATGGCTCACTGCAGCCTCTACCTCCTGGGCTCAGGTGATGCTCTCACCTCAGCCTCCCGAGTAGCTAGGACTACAGGTGCGTGCCACCATGCCCAGCTAATTTTTTCATTTTTGGTAGAGATGGACTCTCGCCATGTTGCTCAGGCTGGTGTTGAACTCCTGGCCTCCAGCAGTCCTCATGGCTCAGCCTCCCAAAGTGCTGGGATTATAGGCATGAGCCACTGTTCCCAGCTGAAGTAGGTTTCACTGTAGCTCCTCAAAAATGCAGACGAGTATATTGGAAGGACATAGCCTCTGAAGCTTCAGTACTGGGTTTAAATTTGACTTGACCACTCAATTGTTGGCATGAGCTTATTAATCTTTACCTCCAGTTTGTTCATCAGTTAAATAAGGATAATACCATTTAATGAGACTGAATAAGATAATAAAGTATCTGGCATATGGAGAGTTTTTTTTTTTTTGTAATGGAGACAGGGTCTCATTCTGTCACCTAGGTTGGAGTGCAGCGGTATGATCTTGGCTCACTGCAACCCCAGCCTCCCAGGCTCAAGCAATCCTCCCACCTCAGCCTCCCGAGTACATGGGACCACAGGCGCACACCACCAACACCTGCCTAATTTTTTGTATTTTTGATAGAGCCAGAATTTCACCATGTTGCCCAGGCTGAGATTTACTCATTTTTTATCTTTATATTTATTTACTTACTTTTTGAGACAGAGCCTCACTCTGTTGCCCAGACTAGAGTGCAGTGGCATTATTTTGGCTCACTGCAACCTCCATCTCTGGGGTTCAAGCTAGCACGCCCGACTAATTTTTATATTTTTAGTAGAGATGGGGTTTCACCATGTTGGCTAGGGTGGTCTTGAACTCCTGACTTTAAGTGATCTGCCAACCTCGGCCTCCCAAAGTGCTGGGATTGTAGGCATGAGCCACCACGCCCAGCCTTGTTTTGTCTTTGTAAGGAAGAAAAGGTACAGGAAAGGTTAAGTAAAAGAAGGCTGGCCCAGGCATGGTGGCTCACACCTGTAATCCCAGCACTTTGGGAGGCTGAGGTGAGTGGATTCCTTGAGCCTAGGAGTTTGAGACCAGCCTGGGCAACATGGCGAAATCCTGTCTGTACAAAAGTACAAAAATTAACTGGGTATGGTGGCTTGCTTGTGTGATCCCAGGTACTGGGGAGGCTGAAGTGGGAGGATCACCTGAACCTGGGAGGTCATGGTTGCAGCGAGCTGTGATTGTGCCACTGCACTCTAGCCTTTTACACTAAGGACAGGAAAGGTGTCTCAAAAAAAGAGAAAAGAAGTCTGATTTTCTGGCTCAAATTATTCTGCTGTTTTTTACAGCTTTGACCTCCTCTTCCTTACCACGCCTGGCCAATTTTTGTACTTTTTTCAGTAGAGGTGGGGTTTCATTCACCATGTTGGACAGACTGGTCTTGAACTCCTGACCTTAAACGATTCACTTGCCTCAGCCTCCCAAAGTGCAGGCATGAGCCATTGCACCTGGCCCCTAGGCTGGTCTTGGGACTCCTGAGTTCAGCTGAGCCACCCACTTTGTGGGTGTTTGGATTACAAATACAAAGTGTTTGGATTACAGGCACAAGCCATTACACCTGGCCCCGCTTTCTCATAAGATTAAAGAGTTTGGGGCTGGGTGCGGTGGTTCATGCCTGTAATCCCAGCACTTTGGGAGGCCGATCAGGAGATTGAGACCATCCTGGCTAACACAGTGAAACTCCGTCTCTACTAAAAATACAAAAAATTAGCCAGGCCTGGTGGCGGGTGCCTGTAGTCCCAGCTACTCGGGAGGCTGAGGCAGGAGAATGACGTGAACCCGGGAGGTGGAGCTTGCAGAGAGCCAGGGTCACACCACTGCACTCCAGCCTGGGCGATAGAGCAAGAGTCTGTCTCAAAAAAAAAAAAAAGTTTGGGGATTTAAGTTTGGAGTGTTTTTTGAGACTTTATGTTCAAGATAAACTGATGAATGCTTGAACTTGGAAGGTAGAGGTTGCAGTGAATCAAGATCACACCACTGCACCACAGCCTGGGTGACAGAGCAGACTCTGTCTCAGAAGAAAGAAAAGCCACTGACCGAGATCACTATTAACGTTCGTCTTTCTCCCTAAACTCTATGTAAATGAAAGAAGAAACAAATATAATGACATCCATGAGATAGATTCAGTGTGATAGAATCATAAGAATGTATGTTTTCCCTAAGTGACTAAAAAGATACTTTTAAAAAATAAAGAATTCTGGCCAGGCCAGGCATGGTGGCTCACACTTGTAATCCCAGCTGTTTGGGAAGCTGAAGTATGTAGATGACTTGAGCCCAGGAGTTTGAGACCAGGCTGGGAAACATGGTAAAACCTCATCTCTACAGAAAAACACAAAAATTAGTTTGGCATGGTGGTGTGCACTTGTAGTCCCAGCTACTCAGAAGGCTGAGGAACTCCTTGGGCCCAGGAGTTCGAAGTTGCAGTGAGCTGTGATCACGCCACTGCACTCCATCCTGGGCAAAAGTGCAAGACCCTGTCTCTATAAAAAACAGAACAACAAAGCATTTTTAAGAGTGTTGGAAAAAATGAATACCATTTAAAAACCACTAAATCTAAGAAATTGATAAAAGAGAATAAGTAGACAGAATTAGGTGATGAAAGGCCAGGCGTGGTGGCTCATGCTTGTAATCCCAGCACCTTGGGAGGCTGAGGCAGGCGGATCACCTGAGGTCAGGAGTTTGAGACCAGCCTGGCCAACATGGTGAAACCTCATCTCTGCTAAAAAATACAAAAATCAGCCGGGCATGTTGGCAGGTGCCTATAGTCCCAGCTATTCGGAGGCTAAGGCAGGAGAATTGCTTGAACCTGGGAAGCCAAGGTTGCAGTGAGCTGAGATCGTACCATTGCACTCCAGACTGGGCAATGTGAGCGAAACTCTGTCTCCAAAAAAAAAAAAAAATTTGGTGACAAATGCGTGTAGGAAAGAACTTTTGGGGAAAGTGGGGCAGTTCTTAGAGTGCCCTAAGCTGAGAAGTAGAGGATACACAGAGTAGAGGTCCACTGGGGTAGCTTTAGAACTAAAGGTTGGGAATTGACTAGAGACTTCAAAACACACACATACACATATGTATACTTACAGCTCACATTACCTTGATGAGCAAGTTAGAGATACATTAGTTTGATGATAATTGTTACTGCTCTTTTGAGTAAGAATCATAGGCTGGGTGCAGTGGCTCATACCTGTAATCTCAGTACTTTGGGAGGCTGAGGCAGGAGGATCCTTTGAGTTCAGGAATTCAAGACCAGCCTGGGCAACATAGTGAGACTTTGTCTGTACTAAAAATAAAATTAGCCAGATGTAGTGGTACACACCTGTAATCCCAGCTACTGAAGAGGCTGAGGTGGAAGGATCGCTTGAGAATACTTTATCTCAAAAAAAAAAAAAAAAAAAAAATTCCCCCCCATGGATCTGTATTTTCGCCAGCCTTTTAGAGTGCTCTTTGTGGTCCCCTCGCCCACACAGATTATCAACTATTAATGCAAGTTATAAGTGTAATTGGAGGAAACGTCCTTTTTTTCTGTAAAAAATAATTTTCAGCTGTGTGTGGTGGCTCATGCCTCTAATCCCAGCACTTTGGGAGGACAAGGCGGGTGGATCACGAGGTCAGGAGTTCAAGATCAGCCTGGCCAAGATGGTGAAACCCCGTCTCTACTAAAAATACAAAAAAGTAGCCAGGTGTGGTGGTGGGCACCTGTAATCCCAGCTACTCGGGAGGCTGAGGCAGAGAATTGCTTGAACCCGGGAGGCGGAGGTTGCTGTGAGCCAAGATTGCGCCACTGCACTCCAGCCTGGGCGACAGAACAAGACTATCTCAAAAAAAAAAAAAAAATAATAATAATAATAATAATAATAAATTTTCTACTTGAGGCTTTTTTGCCTTATTCAAGTAGTTCTAAAAGTCTTATCACAAATTTCTAACCTACAGGATGCTAGAGAGATGGTTTGTGCTATATGATACCTGCAAGAGTAGTTTTATTCCTTTCTACTTTAAATTTTAGCCAAGTTTGGCCGGGTGTGGTTGCTCATGCCTGTAATCCCAGCATTTTGGGAGGCCAAGGTGAGTGGATTGCTTGAGCTCAGGAGTTCTAGACCAGCCTAGGCAACATGGCAAAACTCCCATCTCTACCAAAAATACAAAAAATTGGCCAGGCATGGTGGTGCATGACTGTGATCCCAGCTACTCAGGAGGCTGAGGCTGGAGGATCACTTGAGCCCAGGAAGCGGAGGTTGCAGTGAGCCGAGATCGTGCCACTGCACTCTAGCCTGGGCAATAGAGCACAGACCCCATCACAAAAAAAAAAAGAAAGAAATTTTAGCCAAGCTTGGCTCTGTCATCCATGCTGGAGTGCAGTGGCATGATCACGGCTCGCTGCAGTCTGGACTTCCTGGGCTCAAGTGATCCTCCTGCTTCAGTCTCCTGAGTAGCTTGGACTACAGCTACTACGCCCAACTAATTTTTTTTTTTTTTTTAATTTTTTTGAGACGGAGTCCTGCTCTGTCACCCAGGCTGGAATGCAGTGGTGTGATCAGAGGCTCACTGCAACTTCAACCTCCCATGCTTAAGGGATCCTCCCACCTCAGCCTCCTGAGTAGCTGGGACTATAGGCTACAGAGTAGAGTGGCACAATCATAGCTCAGTGCAGCCTTGAACTCCTGGGCGCAATTGATCCTGCCATTTCAGCCTCTGGAGTGGCTGGGACTACAGGCATGCACCACCACGCCTGGCTAATATTTTTACTTTTTGTGGAGAGAGGGGTGTTGCTATGTTGCCTAGGCTGGCCTCAAACTCCTGGCCTCAAGTGATCCTCCTGCCATAGCCTCCTGATTTAGGATTACAGGCATGAGCACAGCACTTAGCACCTCATTTCATTTTAATTTCAAGTAAAATGTAATACTTTTTTTTAAAAAAGGTGTTGAGAGTTGTTATATCTGAATGAAAGAATTGTGGGTTGTTTTTTTTGTTTGTTTCCAAATTTTTTTTTTTTTGAGACGGAGTCTCGCTCTATCGCCTGGGCTGGAGTGCAGTGGCATGATTTAGGCTCACTGCAACCTCTGCCTCCTGGGTTCAAGTGGTTCTCCTGCCTCCGCCTTCTGAGCTAATTTTTTTTGTATTTTTAGGAGAGACAGGGTTTTACCATGTTGGTTGGCCAGGATGGTCTCAATCTCTTGACCTCGTGATCCGCCTGCCTTGGCCTCCCAAAGTGCTGGGATTATAGGCCTGAGCCACCGCGCCTGGCCTTTTGCCAGATTCTTAATATGATTATTTAGTAATTTTCTACCCAGTGAAAAAGCTTGGCTCTTATATAAATTAAAAAAATTGAAGGGAAGTAATATAAATAACATTTAATTTCTTTTTTGTTTTTTTTTTCGAGACAGAGTTTTGCTCTTTCACCTAGGCTGGAGTGCAGTGGTGCTATCTCGGCTCACTGCAAGCTCCGCCTCCTGGAATCACACCATTCTCCTGCCTCAGCCTCCCAAGGAGCTGGGACTACAGGTGCCCACCACCACACCCAGCTAATTTTTTTGTATTTTTAGTAGAGACGGGGTTTCACCATGTTAGCCAGGATGGTCTTGATCTCCTGACCTTGTGATCTGCCTACCTTGGCCTCCCAAAGTGCTGGGATTACAGGCGTGAGCCACCGCACCCAGCCGTTAAATTTACTCTTAACTCTTATTCCCCTAATTTTAAATTCTTACTATTTTGGATATAAAGTGACATCAGATTATTTGTAATTTTGTTTATTTCTGGAGTGACGGACAGGTGCCACCACTTAGGAGGTGGATTGGGAGGTTCTAACTCCCTAGTATTTCTGCTAACAATAGCCATTAGCCACATTAGCCATTTAATTGTTTATTTTGGAAGCTTGAGCATTGATAAGTAATTTCTCTCTCTCTTTTTTTTTGAGACAGAGTCTCTGTCGATGAGGCTGGAGTGCAGTGCCATGTTCTCGGCTCACTGCAACCTCCGCCCCCCAGGTTCAAGCTATTGTCCTACCTCAGCCTCCTGAGTCGCTGGGATTACAGGTGCACACCACCACGTCTGGGTAATTTTTGTATTTTTATTAGAGACGGGGTTTAACCATGTTGGCCAGGCTGGTCTCGAACTCCTTACCTCAGGTGATCCACCTGCCTTGGCCTCCCAAAATGCTAGGATTACAGGCATGACCCACCTCACTTGGCCTTTTAAATGATTTCTAAGAAAAATCAATTGATCAGATAATAACTCATTTTAAAAGAAGAAAAATCATCTGGGTGCAGTGGCTCATGCCTTTGTGAAACCTTGTCTCAACTAAAAATAAGAAAATTAGCCAGGCACGGGTGGCAGGTGCCAGTAATCCCAGCTACTCAGGAGGCTGAGGCAGGAGAATTGCTTGAACCCGGGAGGAGGAGGTTGCAGTGAGCCAAGATTGCGCCACTGCATTCCAGCCTAGGCGACAGAGTGAGACTCTTGCCTCAACAAAAAAAAAAAAAGAAAAGTAAAGTAAATTAAGAAATACAGTAAAGCATGAAGCATATGAGCTATGATTCAGTGATAGTAACCAGATTTTTGACATTTTGTTTTAAGCAAGCCGTATTATAATTTAAAAACATACTATGTGTTTAACCCAATAGTAGTGGTTCTTTTTTTTTCCTTACCCTTATTTTTTTCTGAGATGGAGGTCTCACTGTCACTCATGCCAGAGTACAGTGACATGATCTTGTGTCACTGCAACCTCTGCCTCTTGAGTTCAAGTAGTTCTCCCACCTCAGCCTCCTGAGTCGCTGGGACCACAGTTGGCTCACAACCACGTCTGGCTAATTTTTTTGTATTCTTGGTAGAGACGGGGTTTCACCACATTGCCCAGGCTGGTCTCGAACTCCTGAGCTCAAGCAGTCCACCAGCTTTAGCCTCCCAAAGTGCTGAGGTTACAGGCATGAGCTACCATTCCTGGCCAGAAGTGATTCACAAATGGTAGTTCAAGAGACTCGTAGGGGCCTGTAATCCCAGCACTTTGGGAGGCCAAGGCAGGCAGATCATGAGTTCAGGAGATCGAGACCATCCTGGCTAACACGGTGAAACCCCATCTCTAATAAAAATACAAAACAAAAATTAGCGGGCGTGGTGGCGGGTGCCTGTAGTCCCAGCTACTTGAGAGGCTGAGGCAGGAGAATGGCGTGAACCCGGGAAGTGGAGCTTGCAGTGAGCTGAGATCACACCACTGCACTCCAGCCTGGACGACAGAGGGAGACTCCGTCTCAAAAAAAAAAAAAAGAGAGAGACTCCTGGTAGCCTCCAAGCACCTTTTAGGGTTCCTCAAGGTCAAAGCTGTTTTTATTACAATGCCAATGTATTAATTTGCCTTTTTCACTTTCATTCTCTCCTGACCATGTACTGGAGTTTTGCAGAGGCCATGTGTGATGTATAATAGCACAACAGATTGAGTGCGGAAGCAGATAGGAGAATTCAGCTACCTTATATTAAGTCAGCCATTAAATAGGTTTGCAAAAATGGGTCAGGCGCAGTGGCTTACGCCTGTAATCCTAACACTTTGGGATGCCGAGGTGGGCAGATCACTTTGAGGTCAGGCGTTCGAGAACAGCCTGGCCAACATGGCAAAAACCTGTCTCTACTAAAAATACAAAAATTAGCCGGACATGGTGGCATGCCCCTGTTATCCCAGCTACTTGGGAGGCTGAGGCAGGAGAATTGCTTGAACCCAGGAGGCAAAGGTTGCATTGAGCTGAGTGAGCCAAGATTGCCTCACTGTACTCCAGCCTGGGCAACAGAGTGAGACTCCATCTCCAAAAAAAAAAAAAAGAGGTTTCCAAAAATGTAAAACAATGCAATTCTTATTATAATTATTTTGGCAAATAGTTATTTTTCATGAGAATATGTTATTTATGTTAACATATAATGGCTTTATTTTTGTTTGTTTTTTTCTAGAACAACTCTTGCTCTGTCCCCCAGGCTGGCATGAGTGACACGATCTCCGCTCACTGCAACCTCTGCCTCCTGGGTTCAGGCTGTTCTCCTGTCTCAGCCTCCTGATTAGCTGGGATTACAGGCATGCACCACCACACCTGGCTAGTTTTTGTATTTTTAGGACAGACAGGGTTTCACCATCTTGTCCAGGCGGGTCTCGAACTCCTGACCTTATGTGACCCTGCCTGCCTTGGCCTCCCAAAGTGCTGAGATTATACGCATGAGCCACTGCATCTGGCTTTATCTGATTTTTAATTAATTTTTTTTGTTTTAGTATAGACGGGGTTTCACCGTGTTAGCCAGGATGGTCTCGATCTCCTGACCTTGTGATCCACCCACCTTGGCCTCCCAAAGTGCTGGGATTACAGGTGTGAGCCACTGCGCCCAGCATGGTTTACAATTTTTTAAATTCCTAGTTTTGGGCCAGGCGTGGTGGCTCATGCCTGTAATCTCAGCACTTTGGGAGGATGCGGTAGGTGGATTGCTTGAGGATATGAGTTCAAGACCAGGTTGGCCAACATGGGGCAACCCCATCTCTACTAAAAATACAAAAACAAACAAAAAAACAGCCAGGCATGGTGGTGGGCACCTATAATCCCAGCTACTCGGGAGGCAGAGGTTAAGAGAATCGCTTGAACCCGGGAAGACAAAGTTGTACTTCCAAGATCACACCACTGCACTCCAGCCTGGGCGATAGACTGAGACTCTTGTCTCCAAAAAAAAAAAAAAAAAAAAAAAATTAGGGCCAGCCATGGTGGCTCACGCCTATAATCCCAGCACTTTGGGAGGCCGAGGCAGGCGGATCACCTGAGGTTGGGAGTTTGAGACCAGCCTGACCAACATGGAGAAACTCCATCTCTACTAAAAATATAAAAAACAAAAAACAACAACAAAAGAAAACCAGCCAGGCATGGTGGCGCATGCCTGTAATCCCAGCCACTCAGGAGGCTGAGGCAAGAGAATCGCTTGAACCCGGGAGGCAGAGGTTGCGGTGAGCTGAGATGGCACCATTGCACTCCAGCCAGGGCAACAGAGTGAAACTCCATCTCAAATAAAAAAAGAATTAAAAAATTAAATTCCTAGTTTTAATTTAGAGTACAAGTAAATATTACTAGATATAACCTATGTAAACAAGTTCTTTTGGGTCTTCAATATTTTTTGGCCAAATTCAAGTTTTTTGGTGTTAGAGTTTCACTTTGTTGTCCAAGCTGGAGTACAGTGGCACGTGCCGTTCATAGTTCACTGCAGCCTCAATCTCCTGGGCTCAAGTAGTCTTCCTTCCTCAGCCTCCCAGGTAGCTGAGACTACAGGTGTGTGTCCACGCCCAGGTAATTTTTAAAATTTTTTGTAGAGATAGGGGTGTCACTATGTTGCCCAGGTTGATCTCGAACTCCTGGGCTCAAGCAGTTTTCCTGCCTTGGCCTCCCAAAGTGCTGGGATTACAGGCATGACCACGATGCCCAGCCCCAAATTCAGGCTTTGACTAAGAAATCTTGAAAACTGCTGTTCTGCAGTAATTGGCTACATAGTTTCCTCTTATGTCTTTGGCATATAGCCCTAGTTCTTAAATTTGACCATGTAATTACACTGGAGGACTTGATAAAACCACTTCTTAGAATTTCAGAGTTAGTAGGTCTGGAGTGGTACCTGACAATTTGTATTTCTGAGTGCCTGGATGCTGCTGCTGCTGTTGGCATGGAAACTACATTTTGAGAACCACTGGTGCAAGGAAATAATATTTTACTTCATGGAGAGAAATAATAAACCTACTTATTTGAACACCTATTATCTGTAACTAAATATTATTTTATGTTTAAAACACTGTAGGGAAGTAGACATTCTCCCCTTTTATACTTACTGTACCTAAAGAAACTGTTTAGAGGTTAAATTTCCCCATGGATTCACAGGCAGAAAAGTGCAGCATCAATTCACATTGAAGTCTGTGATCTCAAAACCTGAGCCTTTTTTTTTTTTGAGACGGAGTCTCGTTCTGTCACCCAGGCTGGAGTGCAGTGGCGCGATCTTGGCTCACTGCAAACTCCGCCTCCCAGGTTCACGCCATTCTCCTGTCTCAGCCTCCCGAGTAGCTGGGACTACAGGCACCCGTCACCACGCCTGGCTAATTATTTTAATAGAAATGGGGTTTCACCATGTTAGCCAGGATGGTCTTGATCTCCTGACCTCATGATCCGCCTGCCTCGGCCTCCCAAAGTGCTGGGATTACAGGTGTGAGCCACAGCGCCCGGCCTTTTTTTAAAAAATATACTTAGTAACAGCTTTATTGAGATATAAGTTACCCATTTGAAATGTATAATTCAGGCACACTGGCTCACACATGTAATCCCAGCACTTTGGGAGGCCAAGGCAGGTGGATCACTTGAGGTTAAGAGTTTGAGACCAGCCTGGCTAACATGGTGAAACCCTGTCTGTGCTAAAAATGCAAAATTTAGCTGGGCATGGTGATGCGTGCCTGTAATCCTAGCTACTCAGGAGGCTGAGGCAGGAGAATTGTTTGAACCAGGGAGGCGGAGGTTGCAGTAAGCTGAGATTCCACCACTGGGCAACAGGGCAAGACTTTACCTCCCAAAAAAAAAAAAAAAAGCGACTACACCAATTTTTTCTTGTTTTTTTTTTTTTCTGAGATGGAGTCTCACTCTGTCCTTGACTGGGCTGGGTATAGTGGCGCCATCTCGGCTCACTAGCTTCCACCTCCCAGGTTCAGGCAATTTTGCTGCGTCAGCCTTCCGAGTAGCTGGGATTACAAGCATGTGTAACCACGCCCAGCTAATTTTTGTATTTTTAGTAGAGACAGGGTTTCACCATGTTGGCCAGGCTGGTCTGGAACTCCTGACCTTGTGTCCACTGGCCTCAGCCTCCCAAAGTGCTGGGATTACAGGTGTGAGCCACCGCATCTGGCCAACTACACCAATTTAACATGCCCACCAGCAGTTTCAAGTTGTCTATATCCTTACCTATACTTGTTATCTGTCTTTTTTAGATATAACTTATTAGATATAAAGTGGTTTCTCATTGTGGCTTTGATTGGAATTTCCTTCACAGCTAGTATGATATGGAGCAACTTTTTATGTGGTTCTTGGCCATTTGCATATATTCTTTTTTTTGGGAGATAGTTTCACTCTTGTTGCCCATGCTGTGGTGCAGTGGTGCAATCTCGGCTCACTGCAACCCCCACCTCCTGGGTTTAGTAGTTCACCTGCCTCAACCTCCCAAGTAGCTGGGATTACAGGCATGCACCACCATGCCTGGCTAGTTTTGTATTTTTAGTAGAGACGGGGTTTCACCATGTCGGTCAGGCTGGTCTCAAACTCCTGACCTCAGGTGATCCACCCACCTTGGCCTCCCACAGAGCTGGGATTACAGGCATGAGCAACTGTGCCTGGCCTCATTTTCTGCCTTCTTGTTTTCTACCTTTCTAATTCCTACTTGTGGTTAGGGTAATTTATCTATGTGTCTGATGGTAAAAGCTGTTTTTTAAAAGTTGCATACTATGTATTTTTTTCTTTTCATGCTCTTTTGCATGCTGACATAATAATAAGACAGTAACTGTATTGTTATCAGAAACATGTCATCCAGGTTATGGTAATATTGCTCAGATTAAATTATTGGGATTCTGTTTATTTAAATGCCTTTCCCATTAAACATATGTTAAGTAAGCACTCTAAAGCAGTGGTCCCCAACGTTTTTTGCACCAGGGACTCGTTTTGTGGAAGACAGTTTTCCACAGACATTGATGGGGGTGGTGCTTTGGGATGAAACTGTTTCACCTCACATCATTAGGTGTTAGATTTTTTTTTTTTTTTTTTTTTTTTTTTTTTTTTAAGATGGAGGCTCACTCTGTCACCCAGGCTGTGATGCAGTGGTGCTCTCTCTGCTCACTTCAACTTCCGCCTCCTGGGTTCAAGCTATTCTGCCTCAGCCTCTCAGGTAATTGGGATTACAGGCATGCACCACCATGCCTGGATAATTTTTTATATTTTTAGTAGAAGTAGAGGTGGGGTTTCACCATGTTGGCCAGGCTGGTCTTGAACTCCTGGCCTCAAGTGATCTGCCCTCCTCAGCCTCCCAAAGTACTGGGATTACAGGTGTGAGCCAATGCACCTGGCCAGGCATTAGATTCTAATAAGGAGCATGCAGCCTAGATACCTCACATTTGCAGTTCACGATAGGGTTTGTGCTCCTACAAGAGTCTAATGCCACCATTGATCTGACAGGAGGTGGAGCTCAGGTGGTAATGCTCACCTCTGTGCTGTGTCGTTCGCCTACGGACCAGTACTAGTCCTTGGCCCCAGGGTTGGGGACTTCTGCCCAAAAAATCAGGCTGGGGGCTGGGTATGGTGGCTCACGCCTATAATCCCAGCACTTTGGGAGGCCAAGGCTGGTGGATCACCTGAGGTCAGGAGTTTTGGACCAGCCTGGCCAACATGGTGAAACCCCGTCTCTACTAAAAATACAAAAATTAGGGCTGGGTGTGGTGGCTCACACCTGTAATCCCAGCACTTTGGGAGGCCAAGGCAGGCAGATCACGAGGTCAGGAGATCAAGACCATCCTGGCTAACACGGTGAAACCCTGTCTCTAATAACAATACAAAAAATTAGCCAGTCGTGGTGGCGGGTGCCTGTGGTCCCAGCTACTTGGGAGGCTGAGGCAGGAGAATGGCATGAACCTGGGAGGCGGAGCTTGCAGTGAGCTGAGATCACACCACTGCACTCCAGCCTGGGCGACAGAGCGAGACTTGGTCTCAAAAACATATATATGTATATATAAATTAGGTCTGGGCGTGGTGGCTCACGCCTGTAATCCCAGCACTTTGGGAGGCCGAGGTGGGCGGATCATGAGGTCAGGAGATCAAGACCATCCTGGCTAACACGGTGAAACCCTGTCTCTACTAAAAATAAAAAAATCAGCCGGGCGTGGTGGCACGCACCTGTAGTCCCAGCTACTCGGGAGGCTGACACAGGAGAATCGCTTGAACCGGGGAAGTGGAGGTTGTAGTGAGCCGAGATCGCACCACTGCACTCTAGCCTGGGCGATAGAGCGAGACTCCGTCTCAAAAAAAAAAAAAAAAAGTTAGCTGGATGTGATGGCAGGCACATGTAATCCCAGCTACTTGGGAGGCTAAGGCAGGAGAATAGCTTGAATCCGGGATGCAGAGGTTACGGTGAGCCGTGACTACCATATCACTCCAGCCTGGGGAACGAGCGAAACTCCATCTCAGAAAATAAATAAATAAGGCTAGGCATGGTGGCTCAAGCCTGTAATCCCAGCACTTTGGGAGGCCAAGGTGAGCGGATCACAAGGTCAAGAGATCGAGACCATCCTGGCCAACCAACATGGTGAAACCTCGTCTCTACTAAAAATACAGAAATTAGCTGGGGGTGGTGGCATGCGTCTGTAGTCCCAGCTACTCAGGAGGCTGAGGCAGGAGAATAGCTTGAACCCAGGAGGCGGAGGTTGCAGTGAGCTGAGATCATACTACTGCACTCCAGCCTGGTAACAGCGAGACTCTGTCTAAAAAAAAAAAAAAAAAATTAGCTGGGTGTGGTGGTGGTGTTCCTGTAGTTCTAGCTATTTAGCAGGCTGAGGTGGGAGGATCACTTGAGGAGTTTGAAGTTTAAAGTGCCCTATCATCTTATCACGGTACTCTAACCTGGGCAACAGAGCAAGACCCTATCTTTAGAGAAAAAAACGGTCCCTTGTGATGGCTCACGCCTGTAATCCCAGCACTTTGGGAGGCCAAGGCGGGCGGATCACGAGGTCAGGAGATGGAGACCATCCTGGCTAACATGGTGAAATTCCATCTCTACTAAAAATACAAAAAAAAAATTAGCCGGGTGTGGTGGCAGGCACCTGTAGTCCCAGCTACCCGGGAGGCTGAGGCAGGAGAATGGCGTGAACCCGGGAGGCGGAGCTTGCAGTGAGCTGAGATGGCACCACTGCACTCCAGCCTGGGCGACAAAGCGAGACTCCGTCTCAAAAAAAAAAAAAAAAAAGAGTGAAACTCCATTTCAAAAACAATTTTTAAAATGCTGGCCGTGGTGGCTCACGCCTGTAATCTCAACAGTTTTGGAGGCCAAGGTGGGCGGATCACTTGAGGTCGGGAGTTCGAGACCAGCCTGACCAACATGGAGAAATCCTGTCTCTACTAAAAATGCAAAATCAGCTGGGCATGGTGATGCATTCCTGTAATCCTAGCTACTCAGGAGGCTGAGGCAAGAGAATTGCTTGAACCCAGGAGGTTGAGGTTGCAGTGAGCCAAGATCATGCCACTGCACTCCAGCCTGGGCAACAAGAGCAAAACTCCGCCTCAAAGAAAATGGAAATAAAAATGCCGGCCGTTTCGGCTCACACCTGTAATCCCAGCACTTTGGGAGGCCGAGGTGGGTGGACCAGTTGAGGTCAGGAGTTCAAGATTAGCTTGGCCAACATGGTGAAACCTCGTCTCTACTAAAAATACAAAAATTAGCTGGGTATGGTGGCACATGTCTATAATCCCAGATACTCGGGAGGCTGGCTTCAAGAATTGCTTGAGCCTGAGAGGTGGAGATTGCAGTGAGCTGAGATGGCACCACTGCATTCCAGCCTGGGCGACACAATGAGAATTTGGGGAAAAAAAAAAAGAACCAAAGTTTTGATATTTCCTTGTTAGACTCCAGCATGTCTGTAATCCCAGCTACTCTAGGAAGCTGAGGCAGGAGAATCGCTTGATCCCAGCAGGCGGAGGTTGCAGTGAGCTGAGATTGCGCCACTGCATTCCAGCCTGGGCGACAGAGCGAGTCCATCTTAAAAAAAAAAAATTTTTTTTTTTGGTATTTCCTTTTTAGGCCCCAGTTAATTGTCTTGCTTGCTCTCTGGGGTGGATATATGTCCCTGTTATTGTAATGTGCTGCTGGACAATCCTGGATCTAGTCTTACGTATTGTGTCCTTCTCAGAAGCCTTGAGTATGCCAGTGTTTTCTCACATTTTGCAGGTCCCCTGTCTGGGATCTCTTTTCTTTCTTTCCTTGGGTACTGGATTTTCAGTGCTGCCTGGTTCACTCACTGATGAATCTTGTTGCTTACAGGTCCAGGTGCAGGTACAGCAGTCTCCGCAACAGGTCTCGGCTCAGCTCTCCCCACAACTCACCGTTCACCAGCCTACTGAGCAACCCATCCAGGTCCAGGTGCAGATCCAAGGCCAGGCACCACAGTCAGCAGCCCCCTCCATTCAGACCCCGTCTCTGCAGAGTCCCAGTCCCTCGCAGCTGCAAGCAGCTCAGATCCAGGTGCAGCACGTGCAAGCAGCCCAGCAGATCCAGGCTGCAGAAATCCCGGAGGAGCACATCCCACATCAGCAAATCCAGGCTCAGCTGGTGGCTGGCCAGTCTCTTGCTGGTGGTCAGCAGATCCAAATCCAGACCGTGGGTGCCCTTTCCCCACCACCATCCCAGCAGGGCTCACCCCGGGAAGGGGAGCGGCGGGTTGGCACGGCCAGTGTCCTCCAACCAGTGAAGAAGCGCAAAGTGGACATGCCCATCACTGTGTCCTACGCCATCTCAGGGCAGCCGGTGGCCACCGTGCTGGCCATTCCACAGGGCCAGCAGCAGAGTTATGTGTCTTTGAGGCCAGACTTACTGACAGTAGACAGTGCCCACCTGTACAGTGCCACTGGGACCATTACTAGCCCTACAGGAGAAACCTGGACCATCCCTGTTTATTCTGCCCAGCCCCGGGGGGACCCTCAGCAGCAGAGCATTACCCACATTGCCATTCCCCAGGAAGCCTACAACGCAGTTCACGTCAGTGGCTCACCCACAGCCCTGGCAGCTGTTAAGCTGGAGGATGACAAGGAGAAGATGGTGGGCACCACATCTGTAGTGAAAAACTCCCATGAAGAGGTAGTGCAGACCCTTGCAAACTCTCTCTTTCCAGCACAGTTCATGAATGGCAACATCCACATTCCAGTGGCTGTGCAGGCTGTGGCAGGCACGTACCAGAATACGGCTCAAACTGTCCATATATGGGACCCCCAACAGCAGCCGCAGCAGCAAACTCCCCAGGAACAGACACCACCACCACAGCAGCAGCAGCAGCAACTCCAAGTTACTTGTTCAGTAAGTGAAGACTTATCAGTAGGGCAGGCAGCCTGGTCCCTCAGGGCCCAGTGCAGCACAGAGCTTGCCTCGCAACCTCTGGCTTATTTACTGCTGTTACTCTTACAGTGATGCAGTATTTAGTATTTGGGAGAAGAGGGGGAGAAACATCACGTGAGGCTATGCAACAGAAAAAAGAGTTTATCCTGGTACCTGGAGGTAAATGAGATGGCCAGGAATTGCTTTGGAGTTTTGGAGACATTTTGGGTTTAAGTACCATGGACACTTCTTTGTAATCTCTTCTCAGGAAGAGTAAAGTTACAGGTGTAGATGAATGGGACACCTCAAGTGTGTCCCAGTGCTGTTTCCTTGTATCATAAGTAAATGGTTTTAGCAAAACACTTGTAGTTTATCACATAGATTACAAACTCATCACTGGAGAGGCTGTGAGATTGTTCATTCTGTTTTTCATCTTTGGGCACACAGTGTGGGTGAATTAGAAAAGCTAAAATAACTCATAAGGAGCCTGTTAAAAGTGATCACCATTGGGAGGCTTGAATATGCCGTCTATGTGGTGGGACCTCCCAAGAGTTTTTGTGTTACGGGGGCGGCCGGGCGAGGTGGTGCACTTCTGTAATCCCAGCACTTTGGGAGGCCGAGGCAGGCGGATCACAAGGTCAGGAGTTTGAGACCAGCCTGGCCAATATGATGAAACCACGTCTCTACTAAAAATACAAAAATTAGCTGGGCATGGTGGCAGGTACCTGTAATCCCAGCTACTCGGGAGGCTGAGGCAGGAGAATCACTTGAACCCAGGAGGCAGAGGTTGCAGTGAGCTGAGATTGCGCCATTGCATTCCAGCCTGGACAACAGGAGCAAAACTCTGTCAAAAGAAAAAAGTAGGGGCCAGGCACGGTGGCTCATGCATGTTACCCCAGTACTTTGGGAGGCCAAGGCGGGTGAGTCACCAGAGGTCAGGAGTTTGAGATCAGCTTGGCCAACATGGTGAAACCCCGTCTCTACTAAAAATACAAAAATTAGCCGGGTGTGGTGGCACACACCTATAATCCCAGGTAATCCTACTCAGGAGGCTGAAGCAGGAGAATTGCTTGAACCTGGGAAGCAGAGGTTGCAGTGAGCTGAGATCGTGCCACTGCACTCCAACCTGGGGCAACATAGCAAGACTTTGTCTCAAAACAAACAAACAAAAAAACTATTAGTGCTGGGTGCAGTGGCAGTTGCCTGTAATCCCAGCAGTCTGGGAGGCTGAGGTGGGAGGAATGCTTGAGCCCAGGAGTTTGAGATCAGCCTGGGCAATATAGGAAGACCCTATCTCTACAAAAATTTAAAAAATATAGTCTAGTGTGATGGCACATACCTGTGGTCCCAGCGTAGATGCGAGGGTTGCATGAGCCTGGGAGGTTGAGGCTACTATGATCATGCCATTGCATTTCAGCCTAGAGAACAGAGTGAGACCCTGTCTAAAAGAACTGATTGGTAAAATATCTGGTCCCGTTAGAGTGGGATATAGGGCCTCTGGTCTTATGGGACTGATGAAGGTGCTATGCCTCGGTGGGCATAGGCTCCTGAGCATGCATATGTTTGTGGGAGCTGGTACAAACAAGTTAGATAAGGGACTGCACTTGGAAACATGGGCTGTAAGTGATTAATTAAGCAAAGGTTGACCAGGTGGTTTCATAGAGGCAGTATCATATTATCCTAGGTGACATTGTTAAGGACCTGCTAAATATCTAGCTGTTGGGCCTAGAAATAGAATAAGAGAAGGTTTTTTGCTTCATATAGCTTAGAGTCTAGTTGTGAAAAGTAAGAACTCAGGATTTCTTTTCCTTCGAATTATTTATAAGGCAGAATAATTATGACATATACACAAAGACAAACTGGGAATTTAGAAATTCTAGGTTAAGAAGTCAACAGAGGTCTTTGTGGACAAAATGACGTTTGAACTGTAGTTTATTTATTTTTGAGACAGGTTGTTGCTTTGTTTCCCAGGTAGGAGTATGGTAGTGATCATAATTCACTGTAGCCTCTAACTCCTGGGCTCATAAAATCCTCCCGCCTCAGCCTCCCAAGTAGCTGGGACTATAGGCACAGACTACCACACTCGGCATATATATATATTTGTAGAGACAGGGTCTCACTGTGTTGCCCAGGCTGCTCTTGAACTCCTGGCCTCAAGTGATCCTCCCACCTTGGCCTCCCAGAATGTTGGGATTACAGGCATGAGCCACTGCACCCTGCCTTGAACTGTTGAACTGTAGTTTATAGTTTAGATAAACAAAAGAATGGAACAGCATAAATACAGAGCCAAGGATGGACAGAAGGGACATGCCCTAATGCAACTTGAGAAGGGAACTGTGAGAATGGAGTTAGTATTGAGGGGTGGGGGTGGGGTTGTTGCCTTCCCAAAGTAGAACTGAGTTTGATCTAATCTGTGGTAGGAAATCAGGAATTTCCTAGATTTGTGGTAACAGGAGGAATCAAGTAGATGTGTGTAGAATTGACTGCATATAGGAGAAACTAGCCAGTAGATTTGTAACAGGTCTCTATGCTCAGCTTTTGTTCACAGAGATGGAGCCCATTAGGCCTCCCCTAGCTCTCCTGGGCCTGATGGTCCAATTGCAGGTCAGTGCCTCATTTGGTACTTAGTGGTCTCTGTTTATAATTTCCATGTCTGGGTCTTCAGCAGGAGAAGATCCTTTCTGGAGTTCATTTTAGTGGGCCAGTGTTCTTCAGAGGCTGTATCTGATTTGGGAAAGTCTTAGAGTGATTTACATGAAGTTATTATTACCAGAAATAGAAAAATTGTGAAGAATCCCGATTTTCCATCCCAAGGGAAAGATGCCAAGGGAAAGATGAGTTTGTCTATATATACCACAAACATCCCTCTCCCCTCTTATGCAGGCTCTGTGCTAGGAGCTGGGGAATAGAGATGAATAAGACAGTCTTTTCTACCCTTGGACCACTTTACAGCACATGCAGAAGACAGTCAAGTTGAACCCTAAGGGGAGCTAGTGACAAAATGTGTTCCTTCATCTGCCACAGGTTGGAGAGGGCCATACCTTTTATGAAAGCTATCATATCTTCTGTCTTTAAAACCAGATTTATGGTGAAATCTCACTTCCTCACACCAACCGCCATCTGTGGCCCCATTTTTCTGTTCTACTTTATTGCCAGAACTCTAAAGAAACATTATCTACACAAGCTGGGCTCTAGATGCTGTAAAAATTTCCCTTCAACTCATGACTAAATCTGTTCTTGTCAAGGTCAGCAGTGACCCCCCTATAGCCAGTTCAGACCAGCAAGTATGTTTTTATCCTACAGCAACATACAACACAGCAGCCCATTGTTGAGACTTGTTTTTTTTTTTTTTTTTTTGAGACAGGGGGTCTCATTCTGTCACCCAGGCTGGAGTGCAGTGGTGCGATCTCGGCTCACTGCAACCTCCGCCTCCCGAGTTCACACCATTTTGCCTCAGCCTCCCGAGTAGCTGGGACTACAGGCGCCCGCCACCACACCCGGCTAATTTTTTGTATTTTTAGTAGAGACAAGGTTTCACCATGTTAGTCAGGATGGTCTCGATCTCCTGACCTCGTGATCCACCTGCCTCGGCCTCCCAAAGTGCTGGGATTACAGGCGTGAGCCACCGCGCCTGGCCGAGACTTTCTTTAGACTTGCATGTTATTACACATTCCTGATTTTCCTCCTACCCATCTGAATCTTCTTTATTCCCAGGAGGCTTACCGGTGCCTTCTCCTCCTCTCTCTGAATCATACATGTTGATGTTCCTGAGGGTTCAGTATTTGGCCCTCTTCTCCCTAAGGGATTTCTTTCCATTGCCATGGTTTTCAGCATCCTCCAGATGATTCTTGCTGCTGCTGAAGATGATAATCACTGATACTATCTGCCAGTACTACTGTTCTTGATGTTTAACATATTCTTCTAATTTTCACATTAACCTTATGAAGTATGTACTGATACTTCTGTTTTACAGATGAGGAAACTCAGGCACAGAGAGATTAAGTGACAAGGCCAAAGCCATGCTTAAAAAGTGGCAGAATTGGCCAGGCGTGGTGGCTCACACCTATAATCCCAGCACTTTTGGAGGCCGAGGTGGGTGGATCACGAGGTCAGGAGTTAAAGACCAGCCTGGCCAAGATGGTGAAACCCCGTCTCTACTAAAAAATAAAAAAATAAAAAAATTAGCTGGGCATGGTGGTGGGCGCCAGCTACCTGGGAGGCTGAGGCACAGAATTGCCTGAACCTGGGAGGTGGAGGTTGCAGTGAGCCGAGATCGCGCCACTGCACTCCAGCCTGGGTGACAGAGCGAAACTCCATCTCAAACAAACAAACAAAAAAGGGGCAGAATTGAGATTCAACCCTGCATGGGCTGGCCCTGGAGCCTGTGTCTTAATCCCTGTGCTGCACTGACACATAAGTCTCTCGGCCATGCCTTCCTCTGTTTGGAACCTTTTCCACATATTCAGCTGCCTACTTAGCATTTACTTGGACTTATTGACAATACCTCAGATCTTCATTGGCACCATTTCTAAAACTGTCAAACTTCCTTGTCTCAGAAAGTAGTGCTGCTCTCCGCCTAGTTGTTCAAACCAGAAACCCAGGAGTCATCTTTGTGTCTGCTTTCCCTTACTCCCCACAACCAGTTCATCAACAAGCCATGTTGGTTCTACCATCACACCTCTCAAAATCTCTTATATCATCTCCACTGCCACCACTATAGTCTAGGCCACCAGTACTTGCTTCCATTCTTGTTCTTCAATTTATTCTTCATAGAATAATCATAAAATACAAGATTATGTCACTTCCTAGCTTAAAACTCTCCAAGGCTTCCATTATATGTAGGAACAAATTTACACCACAATGTACAATACTCTGTATGAGTAGCTTTCAACCTGGGTTGCATTATTGCCTCCTCCACCCACTGATAGACATTTGGACACGTTTGGAAGAATTTTTGGAAGATGCTTGGGAATGTTAACTGACATTTAGTGTTTGGAAGCACACAGTGAAGGGGGCCTGCTACAGAAGCACTGCCTCCCATGCTCTAGCCACTGCCTACTTGTTCAGCCAGACTCCTGGATTTCCAGTTTGGGTAAATGATGTTGCCATTGAACGAAGGAGAGAGGTAACTCAGGAGAATAGATCTGGGCAGGGAAGCTAATGAATACTCTTTGTAGATGTTAGTTTGAGGTGGCTATGAGTTGTTCAGTTGGAGATGTATAGTACCCACTAGGTATATTAAGCGGAGGGGGGGGGGGGCGCAGGGGGGGTTCTAGCTTGGAGGTACATAGTGGTCACTTTGACAAATATGGATATCCAAACTGGAAAAGTGGGTGAGACTCACCAGGGAGAACATGTAGTTGAAATGAGAAGTGGGTCTATAGAGGAGCTCTATGGTTGACAAACACGTAAGGGCCTGGCAGAGAAAAACCCAAAGCATACAGAGAAATAGCTGCTAGATAGCTGAGGGAGGTCCGGGAGGATGATATATCAGGAAGCCGAGCAGAGTGCAAAGGACAATGTTGTGAGTGACATTGTTGGATGTGCCAGAAAGGTCCAGTAGGTTAAGGCCAAAGCATCCATTGCATTTGACCCTTTCATTTCAGGTGTATGTGACTGGGGAGTACAAGGAGGGTGGTATTGCTGGTAGTGGTGGCAGCAGCTACTACAGGCCACCAAGAAGAGATTGCTCATTTCTGGGGTAGACAGAATAGTGATTGGAGCTCTGAATGCAGCATCTGGATCAAAGGTCTATGGAAATCAGAGAATGAGTCCTCAGATTAAAAGTAGAAGAAAGGGCAAGAATGTCTGGGCCCAGCTAGAGACTTGGCTTTGAGCAAGACGGTAATTGGTGACAAACTTTTTAATAAAACAGTGGGGGAAAGATGGGTTGCTCCCTGAGCTAAGAAAGTACTTATTGACTAGGTAAAGGGAGGCTTGGGCCTGTGGGTGGTGGGGAGGAGGGGATGTCTGCATGGGTCACTCAGCGGCTTCTGTTGCTATTGGGTCCTCTGGCCCTGAGCTCAGCTGCCCTCCTGGTCTGTGCTAGATGTCTTAGAGGGGCATGATGGTTGGCAGTTCATGGAACTGTTTCAAAGAAATTGTTTGAGTAATAGGTTTTTGTTGTTGTTGTTGTTGTTGTTGTTGTTTTTTGTGATCCTTGGATTAGTCAGTGCAGTTAAGGAGAAAAACTGATGCCAAAGATTTTCTTCACAACGCTGCAGATTGAATCAGCTCTTTGCCCTGGACTGTAATTTAATATATCGCAGTATTCTGGGCCTGATGCAAAACTTTGCACATGTTTTTTGAATTTAGTGAGTGAGCGAAACTAGGGCTTTGGGTGATTTGAATTCATTTTTTGCCATTTTATAGCACCTTTGAGAATCCAAGCACATTCTTTTTTTTTTTTTTTTTTTTTTTTGAGACAGAGTCTGGCTCTGTCGCCCAGGTTGGAGTGCAGTGGCACCATCTTGGCTCACTGCAACCTCTGCCTCCCAGGTTCAAGCGATTCTCCTGCCTCAGCCTCCCAAGTAGCTGGGATTACAGGCGTGTGCTACCACACCCGGCTAATTTTTTTTTTTTTTTTTTTTTTTTTGAGACGGAGTCCCGCTCTTTAGCCCAGGCCGGATTGCAGTGGCACAATCTTGGCTCACTGCAAGCTCCGCCTCCCAGGTTCACGCCATTCTCCTGCCTCAGCCTCCCAAGTAGCTCGATCTCCTGACCTTGTGATCCGCCCGCCTCGGCCTCCCAAAGTGCTGGGATTACAGGCGTGAGCCACCGCGCCCAGCCTAATTTTTTATATTTCTGGTAGAGACAGGGTTTCAGCATGTTGGCCAGGCTGGTCTCCAACTCCTGACCTGAAGTGATCTGCCTGCCTCGGCCTCCAGAGTGCTGGGATTATGTGTGAGCCACCGCGCCCAGCTCAAGCACATTCTTTGAACATGTGGTGACTCAGTTCTTGCCTTTCAAAATCAGAGTCCAAACTAAAAAAATGGAAAATCTTGGAATTTTAATATTTTTAGGGTATAAAGATCTCTTCAGAATCTGGCCGGGTATGGTGGCTCACGCCTGTAATCCCAGCACTTTGGGAGGCCAAGGCAGACGGATCACCTGAGGTCGGGAGTTTGAGACCAGCCTGGCCAACATGGTGAAACCCCGTCTCTACTAAAAATACAAAAATTAGCCGGGCATGATGGCAGACACCTGTAATCCCAGCTACTCGGGAGGCTGAGGCAGGAGAATGCCTTGAACCTGGGAGGCGGAGGTTGTGGTGAGCCAAGATCATGCCACTGCTCTCCAGCCTGGGTGGTAGAGCAAGACTTTGCTCAAAAAAAGAATTTTAAAAAGTTGGAAATATTTTAACATTATTCAAACATTCACTTTTTTATTTTTATTTTTTGAGCCAGAATCTTTCTGTGTCACCCAGGCTGGAGTGCAGTGGCACTGTCTCAGCTCACTGTAACCTCCGTCTCCTGGGTTCAAGTGATTCTTATGCTGCAGCCTCCCAAGTAGCTGAGATTACAGGCATGAGCCACTATGCCTGGCTAATTTTTCTATTTTTAGTAGAGATGGGGTTTCACCACTTTTTTTTTCTTTAAATGATGGCTCAACTGTGGCTGGACATTAAAATCACCTGGGAAGGCCAGGCACAGTGGCTCATGCCTGTAATCCCAGCACTTTGGGAGGCCAAGGCGGGCAGATCAGTCGAGGTCAGGAGTTCGATACCAGCCAGCAAGATGGTTCAATAACAGCCGTCTCTACGAAAACTACAAAAATTAGTTGGGCATGGTGGTGCATATCTGTAATCCTAGCTACTCGGGAGGCTGAGAAAGGAGAATCGTTTGAACCTGGGAGGTGAAGGTTGCAGTGAGCCGAGATCGTGCCACTGCACTCCAGCCTAGGCGAAAGAGCAAGACTCCATCTCAGAGGGAAAAAAAAAAAATCACATGGGAAGCTTTTAAAAATACTGACAATGTGCCTCTACCTTACAATGGCTGGAGATAAGGCCCAAGTGTGAGGTTTCTTTCTTTTTTTTTTTTTTTGGTTTTTTTTTTTGTGAACAGAGTCTCACTCTGTTACCCAGGCTGGAGTACAGTGGTGCGATCTCGGCTCACTGCAAGCTCCGCCTCCTGGATTCATGCCATTCTCCTGCCTCAGCCTCCTGAGTAGCTGGGACTACAGGCGCCCGCCACCACACCCGGCTGATTTTTTTGTATTTTAGTAGAGATGGGGTTTCACCGTGTTAGCCAGGATGGTCTCAGTCTCTTGACCTCGTGATCCACCCACCTCGGCCTCCCAAAGTGCTGGGACTACAGGTGTGAGCCACTGCACCCGGCCAGGGTGGGTTTTTTTTTTTTTTTTTTTTTAAAGCAATCCAGATGATTTCAAGGTGAGACCCAGTTTAAGAATCAGTGCTCTCGGCCGATGGCCCAAGCCTGTAGTCCCAGCACTTTGGGAGGCTGAGGAGGGCGGATCACCTGAAGATGGGAGTCAAGACCAGCCTGACCAACATGGAGAAACCCCATCTCTACTAAAAATACAAAATTAGCCGGGCGTGGTGGCACATGCCTGTAATCCTAGCTACTTGGGAGGCTGAGGCAGGAGAATAGCTTGAACCCGGGAGACAGAGGTTGAGGTGAGCCGAGATCCTGCCATTGCACTCCAGCATCCAAGAACAAGAGCGAAACTCTTTCCCCGCCAAAAAAAAAAAAAAGAAAGAAAGAAATGTTGTCTCAGTTCCTACCCTTTTCAATCAGAATATGCATTTTGATAAAATCCCCAAGTGATTTGTTTGCACATTAAAGACTGTGGGAGCAGTGCTTTGAGCCAGTAGTTCTCAGTGGTGACCAAACATTAGAATTACTTTTTTACTTGAGGAGTTTTTTTGTTTTGTTTTGTTTTTTCTTTTTTCTTTTTTCGAGACAGAGTCTCGCTCTATCACCAGGCTGGAGTGCAGTGGTGCAATCTTACTCAAGGAGTTTTTAAACAATTGATACCTTGGCTCCCCCTCAGAGAGATTCTGGGGTAAGTCTGGCTATTAGTGTTTTTAAATAAAAGATTTGACCGGGCACAGTGGTTCACGCCTGTAATCCCAGCACTTTGGGAGACTGAGGCGGGCAGATTACCTGAGGTTGGGAGTTCAAGACCAGCCTGACCAACATGGCGAAACTCCGTCTCGACTAAAATTATAAAATTAGCTGGCCGTGTTGGTGCATGCCTGTAAACCCAGGTACTCGGGAGGCTGAGACAGGAGACTCACTTGAACCCGGGAGGCGGAGGGTGCAGTGAGCTGAGATTGCGCCATTGCACTCCAGCCTGAGCAACAAGAGGAAAACTCCGTCTCAAAAAAAAAAAAAAAAAAAAACATTTAAAAGTGCAGCCAAGGCTGAGAAGCACTGCACTAGCCCAGTTGCAGTGCTGCTTTTGCTGTCCCTGGGGCAAGAGGTAGAACTCCAAAGCTTCTTAAAAGTAGGACAGCAATGAGTAGAGAAATATTTTCTTAAATAAATGAACTATACATAACATTTTTCTGGCAATTTTGCAGAAGGATCTAATATAAAACAATATTGACACATTTTCATGGTTTCTCTCCTATAGGCTCAAACTGTCCAGGTTGCTGAAGTTGAACCACAGTCACAGCCACAGCCTTCCCCAGAACTTCTGCTTCCAAATTCTTTGAAGCCAGAAGAAGGGCTTGAAGTATGGAAAAACTGGGCCCAGACCAAGAATGCTGAACTAGAGAAGGATGCTCAGAACAGATTGGCACCCATTGGGAGTGAGTGTCTTGGAAGAAGAGTGGGCTGTGTCTAAAATGCAATGGTACTAAAGTAACAGGAGGACAAAATGCCAGAAAAGTGGTGTCTCCTGTCTTGGGGACAAGAGAGCAACATCTGTAATAGTATGTTGAATTCAAGCCTAGTAACAAGCAGTACTGACCTTGTGTACATAATAAGCAGGATATGTGGGGTTTGCCCAAAACCAGGCATTTTTAGACATACGGGTTTCAGGAGTTGACCCTACCAGACCTAAGCAGAGTGGCTTCTGGGAGGAAATGGGAACCAGGGATAGGCACTCAAGCCCTTCTTTCTTGGCATTAGGCTCATATACTCATGTTATAGGCCAGTTCTGACATTACAGGCATGAAACATTCTAGTAGATACAAGTGAGCATTTCTATCCCAGCACCCTGATGGGCAGTATCTGTTCTGAGCCTTCCAGATATGGACCCCCAGGACCTTCATTCATTTTTGAGGCTTCCGTTGCAGGGCGCCAACTGCTGCGATTCCAGGAAGATCTCATCTCCTCTGCTGTGGCAGAGTTGAATTATGGGCTCTGTCTAATGACACGGGAAGCTCGAAATGGAGAAGGTGAACCCTATGACCCAGATGTGCTCTACTATATTTTCCTGTGTATTCAAAAGGTAGGAAACAGATCTTCACAAGAACATGTTTGAGCTGTGTTCCTATTGGATGTTTGCTAGTTTAGTTAATAAATTGATAAGCAAGAAGTTAAAATAAGGAAGTTCTCTTTCAGGTATACAGTGAGTTTTAAAATACACATTTGTTGTTTTTTTTTTTTTTTTAAGTTTTAAAAACCTACACGTTCACTTTAGAAAATAACAGCCGGGGCCGGGCGCTGGTGGCTCACGCCTGTAATCCCAGCGCTTTGGGAGGCCGAGGCAGGTGGATCACTTGAGGTCAGGAGTTGAAGACGACCAGCCCAGCCAACATGGTGAAACCCCATCCACTAAAAATAGAAAAATTTGCCAGGTGTGGTGGTGCACTGCCTATAATCCCTGCTATTTGGGAGGCTGAGGCATGAGAATCGCTTGAACCCGGGAGGTAGAGGTTGCAATGAGCTGAGATCACAGCATTTTACTCCAGTCTGGGTGACAGAGCGAGACTCTGTCTCAAAAATTAAAAAAAAAAGAAAAGAAAAGAAAAAAAATAAGAGCCAGGCAAGATGTCTCACACCTGTAATCCCAGCACTTTGGGAGGCTCAAGGCAGGAGGATCGCTTGAGCCCCAGGAGTTTGAGACCAGCCTAGGCAACATAGTGAAACCCCATCTCTACAAAAAATTAGCTGGGTATGGTAATGCATGCCTGTAGTCCCAGCTACTTGGGAGGCTGAGGTGGGAGGATTGCTTGAGCCCCAGAGGTTGGGGCTGTAGTGAGTCATGATTATGTCACTACACTCCAGCCTGGGTGACAGAGTGAGACCCTGTCTGAAAAACGAAAAGAAAAAAAATTAGCTGGGTGTGGTGGCACACACCTGTAGTCCCAGCTATTTGGGAGGCTGAGGCAGGAGGATCCCTTGAGCTCAGGAGTGCGAGGCTGCATTCAGCTATGATTGTGCCATCACACTTCAATCTGGTCTACAAAGCAAGACCTTGCCTCTTAAAAAATAAATACATAAAATAAATAATAAAATAGGAAAACAAACATTATTCATCCTACTACCTAAACTTCTATTACATTATTGGTAATTACCTTGACTTTTTTTTTTTTTTTTTTTTTTTGTAATTCACAAAGCATTTATGTAACACTTTTCTTTTTGTTAAACCTGATTTTCATGAAGGTAATTTATTCAAAACAGAGTCTTGTGCCAGCATAGAGGTTTTCTTCTCATTGTTCCCTGCACTAACTACTTATTTGAAGGAGTCTAGCTAGAATAATATACCAATGTAGTTAGGTTTTCAGGACATCTGTGGTGAAGCATAACAGAAATTTGCAGACTGGCAGTTCAAGGGAGCAGAGGTGGATTTCTTAGTGTTTGAAGGCTCTTGAGGAGAAACCCACAGTATAATAGAATAGGGCTTACTGGTTGGGACTTATTCTGTTGCCTAGTCTTGAGAAATGTCTGCCTCCTAGTTTTTTCCTCTCTTGGTGGTCCTAACCTAAGTACTATGTGAATTGCTTTACATGCTTTCATTCTTTGCTCTCCCAGTCCTGGAAGGCAGATACCATCATCTCCATTTACAGGCAAGGAAACTGAGTCTCAGAAATTAAAAGACTTGCACATGTTGTTTAACTTATACAATATCTAATGGAAGGCTGACCCCAGAGCCTATTCATGATTTTTGCTAACACAAAATAATGCCTTTCTTGGGTGAAATAGCATTCACAACATCTGCCTTATTTACCCAACTCTCAAGAATGTCATGAGAATCAGTCACATGAGCTTAGGCATACTATGGAAGTGTCACATGCTGGTGCCTTGGTTTGTTGAGGTGTGAATGGGTAGGGAAGGATAGTAGTACTGGTAGAAAAATATATTTATTTCCCCTGAAATCCTTGTTCAGGAGACTACCAATAACTTCTATTAATTGTTTTTCTTTTAGTATCTTTTTGAAAATGGAAGGGTAGATGACATTTTCTCCGATCTTTATTATGTTCGGTTCACGGAGTGGCTACATGAAGTTCTGAAGGATGTTCAGCCCCGGGTCACTCCACTTGGTAAGAGTCTCCCTTGTCCTTGGATATCTTTCCTACCTGGATTTAAGAAAGATCAATAGCTTCTGTGGTTGGCTATGAAAAGCATGTGAGTGAGGGGGGATATAAATCCCAGACTGCAGCAGCATTGGCCACTGTGCTACTTGCCCTGATAGGGAAGAGGCACTGCTCACCAGAGAAGCCTGCTGGTTCCAGTGTGGGAAGGACACAGGAACAAGCAGAACTAGTGGGGTAGTTACTATCTTTTTTTTCCTATTAAAATGTATTGATTAAAATTAGAATCATAACAATTAAGGATTATGGACAGTTTTATCTGTAGAGCATAATTTTTGCTTTACTCACAGGCAGCCTTCTGGACAGCATGTTCTATTGGAACAAAAGCATAGGTTATTCAGTGTTTTTCTTTGTTTGTTCTTAAAAAAACATGGTCTTGGTATGTTGCTGAGATGGGCCTCAAACTCCTGAACTCAAGCGATCCTCCTACCTCAGCCTCCTGAGTAGCTGGAGCTATAGGCATGCGCTACTGTGCTCAGCTATTTTTGTTTTGTTTTGTTTTGTTTGAAACGGAGTCTCACTCTATAGCCCAGGGTGGAGTGCAGTGGCACGATCTTGGCTCACTGCAGCCTCCGCCTCCCAGGTCCCAATTCAGGCAATTCTCCTACCTCAGCCTCCTGAGCAGCTGGGATTACAGGCATGTGCCATCATGCCCTGCTAATTTTTGTATTTTTAGTAGAGACAGGCTTTTGCCACATTGGCCAGGCTGGTCTCAAACTCCTGACTTTGTGATCTGCCCACCTCGGCCTCCCAAAGTGCTGGGATTACAGGCGTGAGCCACCACCGTGCCTGGCCTATTTTTGTTTTTAATAGACTTTTTTTTTTTTTTTTTTTTTTTTTTTGAGACAGAGTTTTGCTCTTGTTGCCCAGGCTGGAGTGCAATGGTGTGATCTTGGCTCACTGCAGCATCCACCTCCCAGATTCAAGTGATTCTCCTATCCCAGCCTCCCAAGTAGCTGGGATTACAGGAGCATGCCACCACGCCTGGCTAATTTTTGTATTTTTACTAGAGACAGGGTTTCATCATATTGGTCATGGTGGTCTCGAACTCCTGACCTCAGGTGATCCGCCCACCTCGGCCTCCCAAATGCTGGGATTACAGGCATGAGCCACCACGGCCAGCCAATAGACTTTATGTTTTAGAGTACTTTTAGGTTTCCAGAAAAATTTAGCAGTAAGTACAGAGAATTTCCATATAACTCCTTAAGTATATACCCTCACACACAGTTTCTCCTATCAATAACATGTTGCGTTAGTATGGTACATTTGTTATAATTGATAAACCAATATTGATACATTATTGTTAACTATAGTTCATAGTGCTATGAACTATATTATTGTGTTGTACGTTCTGGTTTACATTCTGTATCTGTTGTACATTCTGAGTTTTGATGAATGTATGATGACATGTGTCACCATCATGGTGTCATATAGAATGTTTACTGCCCTAAAAAATACCTCTTCTGGGCCAGGCATGGTGGCTCACACCTGTAATCCCAGCACTTTGGGAGGCAGAGATGGGCTGATCACTGAATATTGGGAGTTCAAGACCAGCCTGGCTAACATGGTGAAACCCCATCTCTACTAAAAATACAAAAATTAGCCAGGTGTGTTGGCAGGTACCTGTAATCCCAGCTACACGGGAGGCTGAGGTAGGAGAATCGCTTGAACCAGGGAGTCGGAGGTTGTGGTGAGCCAAGATTGCGCCACTGCATTCCAGCCTGGTGACAGAGCGCGACTCCGTCTCAAAAAAAAAAACAAACCTTTTCACCTGTTTATCCCTCCCTCCCCCAGATACCCTGAAAACCACTGATGTTTTTACTATCTTCACAGTTTTGCCTTTTCCAGAATGTCATATAGTTGGAATAATTCGGCATGTGGCCTTTTCAGATTTGTTCCTTTCATTTAGCAATATGCCTTTAAGATTCCTGTGTGTCTTTGGCTGGGTGCAGTGGTTCATGCCTATAATTCCAGCACTTTGGGAGGCCGAGGCATGTGGATCACAAGGTCGGGAGATCGAGACCATCCTGGCTAACACGGTGAAACCCCGTCTCTACTAAAAAATACAAAAAAATTAGCCGGTTGTGGTGGTGGGTGCCTGCAGTCCCAGCTACTCGGGAGGCTGAGGCAGGAGAATGGCATGAACCTGGGAGGCAGAGCTTGCAGTGAGCTGAGATCGTGCCACTGCACTCCAGCCTGGGCGACAAGAGCAAGAGTCTGCCCCGTGCCACCCCCGCCCCCCCGCCCAAAAAAAAAAAAAAACACAGTCTGGGCGCGGTGGCTCACGCCTGTAATCCCAGCACTTTGGGAGACCAAGGCAGGTGGATCACTTGAGACCAGGAGTCCGACACCAGCCTGGCCAACACATAAAACGTTGTCTCTACTAAAAATACAAAAAATTGGCTGGGAGCTGTGGTTCACACCTGTAATCCCAGATAATCCCAGAGCTTTGGGAGGCTGAGGCAGGTAGATCATGATATCAGGAGATCGAGACCATCCTGGCTAACACTGTGAAACCCCGTCTCTACTAAATACAAAAAATTAGCTGGACGTGGTGGCATGTGCCTGTAGTCCCAGCTACTCGGGAAGCTGAGGCAGGAGAATTGCTTGAACCAGGGAGGCAGAGGTTGCAGTGAGCTGAGACCACGCCACTCCACTCCAGCCTGAGTGACAGAGTGAGACTCCGTCTCAGAAAAAAAAAAAGGAGTAGCAGCTGGTTGCAGTGGCTCACACCCATAATCCTAGCACTTTGGGAGACCGAGGTGGGAAGATCAGTTGAGCCCAGGAGTTTGGGACCAGCCTGGTCAACAAAGTGAGACCCCCATCTCATTCATAATAAATATCTAGGCTGGGCCTGGTAGCTCACACCTGTAATACCAGTATTTCGGGAGGCCATGGTGAGAGGATTGCTTGAGCCCAGGAGTTCAAGACCAGTCTGGGCAACATGGTGAGATCCTATCTCCACCAAAAAATAAAACACACACACACACACACACACATATTAAATATCTGACCAGATACCTCACCAAAGAAAATGCATTGATGGCACATGAGTATATGAAAAGATGGGCTGGGTGCGGTGGCTCACGTCTGTAATCCTAGCACTTTAGGAGGCCAAATGTGGGTGCATCACTTGAGGTCGGGAGTTCAAGACCAGCCTGGCCAATATGGGGAAACCCATATCTACTAAAAAAAATACAAAAATTAGCTGCGTGTGGTGGCACGTGCCTGTAATCCCAGCTACTTGGGAGGCTGAGGCAATAAAATCACTTGAACCCAGGAGGTGGAGGTTGCATTGAGTTAAGATCACTTGCCACTGCACTCCAGCCTGGGCAACAGAATGAGATTCTGTCTCCAAAAAAAGATGCTCTCATCAGGTGTCATCAGAGAGTTGCAAATTGAAGTAATGAAATACTACTGTACATTTATTAGAATGGCAGAAATTCAAAACACCGACAGCACCAAATGCTGACACAGATAGGGAGTAACATGTCATTTATCACTTGTGGAAATGCAAAAAGACACAACCACTTTGGAAGACAATTTGGCAGTTTCTTACAAAAGTAAACATTGTTGCCTTATGATGCAGCAGTTGCATTCCTTGACATTCAGAGAAGTTTAAAACTTGTGTTCACGCAAATATCCGAGTTTTAATCCCTGTTTAATTTAATAAAATACATTTATTAAAATGTATGCTGCTTTACCCTTAAAAAAGAAACTTACTGGTTAGACAAATTTTTTGAGTGCCTACTATGTGCCCAGCAGTCTGCTAGGTGCCGGAGAATATAATATAGCAGTGAAGAAAATGGAGCTTGCACTATAGTAAGGCAAGACAGTGTATAAATAAGTAAGTTAACTCTAGTACTTTGTCTTTTTTTTTCCCCTCCTTTTTTGTGGAGAGCAAGGTCTTGCTGTATTGCCCAGGCAGGTCTCCAACTCCTGGGCTCCAGCTATCCTCCCACCTCTGCCTCCCTAAGAGCTGGGATTACAGGTGTGAGCTGCTGCGCCTAGCAATTTAAGTACTTTGAAGAACAGAACACAAAGGAATGGAAAGTGTTAAGAGTATTACAAGGGAGGGCTATTGTTGGAACAGAGACATGAGTGACTACATCACTCTACATAATTTGGAAGTTTTCAAGCCAAGTATGGATATGCAGACTTCACTTTTCAGTCTGTTATTATGGAAGTTTCAAACATAAATAAACAATAGATTAATGAATTCCCCCATGTACCCATTTTCCATGGCAAATCTTTTTTTGTTGCTGTTTTTTGGCTTTTGAGACGGAGTCTCACTCTATCGCCCAGGCTGGAGTGCAGTGGTATGATCTCGGCTGACTTCAACCTCCGCCTCTGGGGTTCAAGTGATTCTCGTGCCTCAGCCTCCCAAGTAGCTGGGAATACAGGCATGTGCCCCACGCCCAGCTAATTTTTTTGTATTTTTAGTAGAGACAGGGTTTCACCATGTTGGCCAGGCTGGTCTCAAACTCCTGACCTAAAGTGATCCGCCTGCCTCAGCCTCCCAAAGTGCTGGGATTACAGGCATGAGCCACCGAGCCTGGCCTGTTGCTGTTTAATTCCTTTTTGTTTGTTTTTGTTTGTTTTTAAGTTTATTTTTTCCATTTTAAACCTTATGTATACCACCACCTGTTTCCCCTCTCCTGTATTGGAAGTAAATTCCAGATACTTTATCCATACTTTTTTTTTTTTTTTTTTTTTTTTTGAGATGGAGTCTCTGTGTTGCCTAGGCTGGAGTGCAGTGGTGCAATCTCAGCACACTGCCACCACCTCCTGGGTTCAAGAAATTATTGTGCCTCAGCCTCCGAGTAGCTGGGATTACAGGCACCTGTCCAGGCTGGTCTCAAACTTCTGGCCTCAAGTGATCGGCCCGCCTCGGCCTCCCGAAGTGCTGGGATTTCAGGCATGAGCCACCGGGCCCAGCCTATCATACTTACTTACTTATTTATTTATTTACTTATTTATTTGAGACAGATCCTCACTCTGTCGCCCAGGCTGGAGCGCAATGACACGATCTCGGTTCACTGCAACCTCTGTCTGCCAGGTTCCAGCAATTCTCCTGCCTCAGCCTCCCTAGTAGCTGGGATTACAGGCATGTGCCACAACACCCAGATAATTTTTATATTTTTAGTAGAGATGGAGTTTCACCATGTTGGCCAGGCTGGTCTTGAACTCCTGACCTCAGGTGATCCACCCGCCTCAGCCTCCTAAAGTGCTGGGATTATAGGCGTGAGCCACTGCGCCTGGCCCGGTTATGTCTTTTAATATTTACTTTTTATTTATTTATTTATTTTTTTGAGATGGAGTCTCACTTTGTCTTCCAGGCTGGAGTGCAGTGGCACGATCTTGGCTCACTGCAACCTCTGGCTCCTGGATTCAAGCAGTTCTTCTGCCTCAGCCTCCCAAGTAGCTGGGACTACAGGTGCATGCTGCCACACCCGGATAATTTTTTGTATTTTAGTAGAGACGAGGTTTCACTGTGTTGCCTAGGCTTGTCTTGAACCTCTAACCTCAGGTGATCCACCTGCCTCAACCTCCCAAAGTGCTAGGATTACAGGCGTGAACTACGGAGCCCGGCTCATACTTTAAAAAATAATTTAAAAAAATGGCTGGGCACAGTGGCTCACGCCTGAATTCCCAGCACTTTGTGAGGCTGAGGTGGGCCGACCACGAGGTCAGGAGTTCAAGACCAGCCTGGCCAATTATGGTGAAACCCCATCTCTACTAAAAAAATTACAAAAATTAGCTGGGTGTGGTGGTGGGAGCCTGTAATCCCAGCTACTCGGGAGGCTGAGGCAGGAGAATCACTTGAACCCAGGAGAGGCGGGGTTTGCAGTGAGCCGAGATCACACCATTGCACTCCAGCCCAGGCAACAGTGCAAGACTCAGTCTCAAAAAAATAATAATAATTAAATCAACAAAAAAGGTAAATCCATAATGTAATTAAAATCTACCCTTTATTAGGCTGGGCGCAGTGGCTCATGCTTGTAATCCCAGCACTTTGGGAGGCCGAAGCGGGTGGATCATGAGTTCAGGAGATCGAGACCATCCTGGCTAACACGGTGAAGCCCTGTCTCTACTAAAAATACAAAAAAATTAGCTGGGCGTGGTGGTGAGTGCCTGTAGTCCCAGCTATTATGGAGGCTGAGGCAGGAGAATGGTGTGAACCCGGGAGCTGAGCTTGCAGTGAGCCGAGATCGCGCCACTGCCCTCTAGCCTGGGCAACAGACCGAGACTCTGTTTTAAAAAAAAAAAATCTACCCTTTATTAAAATTTTTAATAGTCTTATAAATTTCATTATTTTGATTTATCTGAATCAAGGTCAAAATTAAGTCTACATATTGAAATTGGCTGTTGTGTTTTTGTTTTTGTTTTTTCTTGAGACGGAGGCTTGATCTCGGCTCACTGCAACTTCCGCCTCCCAAGTTCAAGCAATTCTGCCTCAGCCTCCTGAGTAGCTGGGATTACAGGCGCGCACCATCACACCCAGCTAATTTTTATATGTCTGGTAGAGATGGGATTTCACCAGGTCAGGCTGGTGTGGAACTCCTGACCTTGTGATCTGCCCGTCCCCTGCCCTTTTTTTTTTTTGGATACAGAGTCTCTCTCTCTTGCCCACGTTGGAGTTCAGTGGTGCAATCTCGGCTCACTGTAACCTCCACCTCCTGGGTTCAAGTGATTCTCCTGCCTCAGCCTCCCGAGTAGCTGGGACTACAGGCGCCTGCCACCACACCCAGCTAATTTTTGTATTTTCAGTTGATACGGGGTTTCACCATGTTGGCCGCGCTGGTCGCGAACTCTTGAGCTCAGGCAATCCACCTGCCTCAGCCTCCCAAAGTGCTAGGTTACAGGTGTGAGCCACCTTGCCTGGCCTTAATATTTACTGTTCATCTTAATTGCCCCCCTCCCTTTTGTCTTACAGTATATTCATGGAAGAAACTAGCCTTTGAAATTGTCACACAGTCTAATTTTTGCTGATTGCACTCTGTAGTGTAGTTTAACATGTTCTTTTTTCCCCATGTATCTACAATTGATTGGTAATTGAATATACAGATTGATTCCGGATTTTTTGTTTTGTTTTGTTTTTGGCAAGATTACTTCATAGTTGGCCTTTCTTTGATCACAGTGCCCATAATGTCTGAATCCATTGATTCTTTATGGGTTGCAAAACAGTATTCTAATGTTATTATTACTTCATAATTACTTGGAATATAAAGATAAACTTTCCTTTTTTTTTTTTTTTTTTTTTTAAGAGACGGGGGTCTCGATTTATCACCCAGGCTGGATTGCAGTGATGGGAACACGGCTCACTGTAGCCTGTAGCCTCAACCTCCTGGGCCCAAGCGATCCTCCCACCTCAGCCCTCCATGTAGCTGGGGGCCATAGGCACATGCCATCATGCTTGTTTAATTTTTGTATTTTTTGTAGAGATGGGGTTTTGCCATGTTGCCCAGGCTGGTTTCGAACTCCTGAGCTTAGGCATTCCGCACACCTCGGCCTCCCAAAGTACTGGGATTACAGGCATGAGCCACTGTTCCTGGCCCTAACTTTCCCTCTTTAACTCTTTGGGTTCATGATGGTATAGATTGTATAGAAGAGGAAGGGTTAACGGCTGTTTTTTTTTTTTGTTTTTTCTTTTTTTCTTTGCTTAGCCAGTTTTCACAAAAATGAGTTAGTTCATCAGCTTCTCTCAGTGATGTCCAATTAAGGTTTTCTTGTTTTAAGAGTCATTGTGAACTTACAGATTTAAACGTATTTAATGAGATTCAGCTGTTTGCAGTCATCTTTACTGATGCACAAATGTCCCATCATTGGCCATTAGAAGCCTCTTTAAATTGACCCCTAAGTCCTTTTGACATGACCCTAGTTGTCTTTCTTGATTTCTGATTTCACAGAATGTTTCAGTCCCATCTTGGACATTTCTTGTTCTAGTGTAGAATCCTTCAGTTCTGGAGCCTGGTTCCTTTTATTGGGGAATGGTATTTCAGTGCCTTACTCTGTATGCCAGGGGTGCTTATTGTTCCTAGATTGGTCTTGTTTCTAGGATCTTCAGTGGGCAGAACTAGAAATTGTTTTTAAAGATAAAATACATCATTTTGGTGCCTGTAGTTCAGATTCAGAACTATAAGGCTAATACCTAGGTTTTTTTTATCTATAGCCCCTTACTTCCATGCTAGGAGCCCTGGCCCTCAGTCAATAGAGTCTGTTTTATTTTATTTTGATTTATTTTTTTATTTTGAGACAGGGTCTTGCTCTGTTTCCCAGGCTGGAGTGCAGTGGCACAATCTTGCCTCACTGCAACTTCTACCTCCTGGGCTGAAGCAATCCTTCTACCTCTCAGCTTCCCAAGTAGCTGGGACTGCAGGTGCATACCACCACACCTGGCTAGTTTTTGTTTTTTTTTTTTTTTTTGTAGAAATGGGGTTTTGCCATGTTGTCTAGGCTGGTCTCAAACTCCTAGGTTCCAGTGATCCACCTGCCTTGGCCTCCCAAGGTTACACCCATGAGCCACCATGCCCAGGCTATTTTAGTTTTTCTTACAGGGTCTTGCTTTGTCTCCCAGGCTGGAGTACAATGTCATGATGATAGTTCACTGCTGCCTCACCCTGTTGGGCTCGGGCTGGGACCCAGGCTCAAGCCATTGCACTCAGCTGTTTTTTTTTGTTTTTTTTTTTAAGGTTTTTGTATTGACAGGGTCTCCCTATGTTGCCCAGGCTGGTCTTGAACTCCTGGGTTCAAGCAGTCCTCCTACCTTGGCTTCCCAATGTGCTGAGATTATAGACATGAGTAACCACACCCAGCCAAGTTTATTACAAATTGTAGAGAAGAGAATAAAATTAGGGAAGTGACATCAGAGGGAGCAAGTGACAGAGCGAACCCAGAGAAGTGGAACATGCCAAAGTATGGCAATAATTGTTCCCAGGAGAAAAATTATTTTTTTAAGAAAAGGAAGGCCAGGCATGGTGGCTCCCGCCTGTAATCCCAGAACTTTGGTAGGCCGAGGTAGGAGAATTGCTTCAGCCCAAGATTTGAAGACCAGCCTGGGCAACATAGCAAGACCTCATCTCCACTAAAAATCAAAAAAAATAATCGAGTGTGATGGTGCACACCTGTGATCCCAGCTACTAGGGAGGCTGAGGTGAGAGGATTCCTTGAATCCTTCTTTGCTGAGAAGGGCTGTTTTCTGCTCATCCTGGATCTTGGGGGCTTCAGATATGTCTAAGAGCAGAAAAGCTTTTCCCATTGCCACTGGGTCACAAAATAGCCGAAAAGTAGACAAAAAATAGAGTCAGAACTGCCTTAAAGAGATGGAAATGCACTATTAGAGAGCCAGCTTTGTTTTGGCAAGAGCATAGAACACAGAAGAGGAGTGTATCGGGCAGAATGTTCTTTTTTCTGCTTCCAGGAAGTGTCACACACTGTGCTTGCTTGGAGAATCCCGAAACCCTGCAGGAGAATACTGTTGCCTGCTCCTATCTCATTATGCACCCAGTGCACAAACATGTGCATACTGACTGACTTCAGCACATGAAGGGGCTTGGTAGTCATTCAAATGTCATCTTTCTTTGGTGCAGACCTGGCTGACCAGGGCTCTTATTCAAATTATTGACCTTTGCCTGTACCTAGCTCTGGGCTCACTTATGAACCAGGGTCTTACAGTAACACCAGCCCTGTGGGGGGGATCTTGTAATAGTTCAAATACTGGCATATTGGCTAGGCGTGGTGGTTCACGCCTGTATTTCTAACTGCTCAGGAAACTGGCAGGAGGAGTCTTTGAGTCCAAGAGCTCAAGGCTGCAGTTAGCCATGATTGTGTCACTGTACTCTAGCTTGGGTGACAGAGCGAAACCCCATCTCTTTTTTTTCCCTTTTTTTTTTTTTTGAGACAGGATCTCACTCTGTCACCCAGGCTTAAGTACAGTGGTGCGATCACGGCTCACTGCAGCCTTGACCTCCCAGGCCCAAGGAATCCTCCCACCTCAGCCTCCCTGGTAGCTGGGATCACAGATGTGCACCATCACACGACTAATTTTTTTGATTTTCAGTGGAGATGAGGTCTGGCTATGTTGCCCAGGCTGGTCTTCAACTCTTGGGCTCAAACAATTCTCCCACCTCCGCCTCCCAAAGTTCTCGGATTACAGGCGTGAGCCACCATGCCTGGTCTTCCTTTTTTAAAAAAAGATAAATATTGTAGAAGAGACCCTGTATCTTAGCTAATAATAATAATAATAATAATAATAATAAAATCCCCCAAAGAGTATCAGTCTCTTTATCTAGAGAAGAAATGACAATAGCCGTTTTTTTTGTTTTTTTTGTTTTTTTGTTTTTTTGTTTTTGAGATGGGAGTCTCGCTCTGTTGCCGAGGCTGGAGTGCAGTGGTGCAATCTCGGCTCACTGCAAGCTCCACCTTCTGGGTTCACACCATTCTCCTGTCTCAGCCTCCCGATTAGCTGGGACTACAGGAGCCCGCCACCACACCCGGCTATTTTTTGTGTTTTTAGTAGAGACGGGGTTTCACCATATTGGCCAGGATGGTCTCAATCTCCTGACCTCGTGATCCACCCGCCTCGGCCTTCCAAAGTGCTGGGATTACAGGCATCAGCCACTGCGCCTGGCCGGCCTTGCTTTTTAGAGACAGTTGAGATGAGAGAAGACTTGGTAAGGGCAAACGGGCGTGCATGCCAGTTCTTTGGGTCCTGGACCACCTTTGAAAATATGCAAAGCTCTGTACACTCTCAGAGAATTATGCATATATGCAGAGTTTGGTTTATAGTTTTCTGTACTTCACTGTCTCTGAGGGCAGTCTTTTTGCCCTGTGTTAGCCTTGGATTAGAGGGTAACAACAATCATGTAAGGCTGTGGTTCTCAAGTGTGGTGTTAGAAGTGCTCATCATCAGGTTCCACCTCAGAAACAGATTGGGACCCAGCTATCTGTGTTTTAAGAAGCTTTCCAGATGATTTTTGCCACACTTTAGGGAGAGTCCCCTGATGAAATTTATACTCCTGTGTGGTCCTTATGCTTCACACATCCCATATTGTACCTTTGAGAGACCACCTGCCATCCTCTTGTTGTGACAGTACTCTATTCCTCCTAGGCTATGTCTTGCCCAGCCACGTGACTGAGGAGATGCTATGGGAGTGCAAGCAGCTTGGGGCTCACTCCCCCTCCACCTTGCTGACCACCCTCATGTTCTTTAATACCAAGTAAGTGTTCTAGAGGCTCCACTGCTGGCATCTGTCCAGTGAAGAGTGTGGAAGCTATCCAAGAGGCCTTCTGAATTCCTCTGACATATATTTGAGAAACTGGGCTACTGAAAGCCCTAACCCCACTTGGCTGCATTTTATTTGGTAACCAGTGAGGCAAACACCCTTGCCAGACCCCTACCATCCATCTTGATGTGGTTCCTGCACTGGACACTGCTTGGGTACGGGCCTGCCCAGATCTTGGGAATGTGGGCAGTGGCTCCTCTGAAGCACCAGTGGGCAGAGGATGAGTCATGGTATCCTCCCGGCACCCCTCCCTCTGCCTTGCATTTTACTTGTGATCCAGGTACTTCCTATTGAAGACAGTGGACCAGCACATGAAGCTGGCCTTCTCCAAGGTCTTGCGACAGACAAAGAAGAACCCCTCTAATCCCAAGGATAAAAGCACGAGTATCCGGTACTTGAAGGCCCTTGGAATACACCAGACTGGCCAGAAAGGTAGGGAAAGGAGGCAGGGATGGCAAAAACAGGTGCTACTTGTCCTGCCCTGTCCTGCCCTTGTGCCTGTGAGGCTAGTGATAAGTGTAAAGGTTGGGATTTGCTGGATAAAATTCTCCACTCCCTTCTCCCCAGCCAAAAATTCCAAACTTTCCTCCTAGAAGCAGAGAAGCCCCAGACAGAATAGCTGCCTCTTCCCTTAGTAGTCACTGCCCATGCCTCATACCTTCCCTCCCCCGACCCTGTATTTCCTAGTTGGGCTGGCTGAAAGCCTAAGTTTCCTGATCTGGGCCTGAGGTAAGGCAGTCTGATGCCAGGTCTGTGGTGGTGGGGATGTGTGTTTTATAGTTACAGATGACATGTATGCAGAACAGACGGAAAATCCAGAGAATCCATTGAGATGTCCCATCAAGCTCTATGATTTCTACCTCTTCAAATGGTGAGGCTTTATTGTGACTTGCTGTCCATGTGTGCGCATGTGTGTGTATGCGTGTGCATGCTCACTTGTGTGATCACTTATCATAGGGGAGAGGCATTCTCTAGTCCCAAACCAAGTAAAAACACTTCCAGAAAGCTAAATTTAGAAGCAGCCTTGCTCTGGCTTTCCAAAGGTGTGTGATGTGCCTAGCACTGATAGAAAAAGGGGTCCCGGGTCCCTACAGTCACCTTTCATGAAAAGGGTATGAAGGTACAGAGAATCTACCTTCATCACATATTGAGCATGGCCCTGCTTCCTGACCTTGACCTTTTGTCACTGCCATCATTAATCTAGGTGAGACTCCTCTCAGCTTTTTCTCCCTTTTGCCCCTTCAATGGTTTCTCATTACATAGTAATTCTTTTATGGCAGACAACTCCTTTGATGCACTCCCCCTTGCTAACCTCATGTCTGTGGAGCTCTTAGTTCCCTAGCCACACTAGCTCCTCTCCACTCAAGGACATCATATTATGCCTCTTCTCAACTTAAACACAGCTTATCAGGGAAGCATTTCCAGATTCCCCACCTCTTCCCTGTGACTGTTTCCTCGGTAGCACTTATCACTGTTTTTTATTTTGTATTTGTTTAACTTTAATTGCTACCTGTGTCCCCTCCTATCTGTAAGCTCCATGGGTAGGAAATACTTTTCCTGCCCATTTTTTTAAATATCAGCACCTAGTGCTGACCTGGCACTAGTAACCCTTGAATAAATCTTGAATGGATGGATGAATAACTGTTAGAGGATACAGCATGCCAAGTACTTAATAGAGGTACAGCACAGTTCGGGGGAGGGGGGTGAACCCAAGTTTAGGGCCCCACTGTAATGGCCATCATTATTGGGTAGAAAACACAACATGAGGCTGGGCACCGTGGCTCACGCCTGTAATCCAAGCACTTTGGGAGGCCAAGGTGGGTGGATCACCTGAGGTCAGGAGTTCGAGACCAGCCTGGCCAACATGGAAAAACCCCATCTCTACTAAAAAATACAAAAATTAGCTGGGCTTGGTGGCTCGTGCCTATGGTTCCAGCTACTCCAGAGGCTGAGGCAGGAGAATCGCTTCAACCAAGGGGGCGGAGGTTGCAGTGAGCTGAGATCACCTCACTGCACTCCAGCCTGGAGACAAGACGCCATCTCAAAAAAAAAAAAAAAAAAAGCGCAAAGACTTGGAGATAGACGCTTTGAGCAGTGAAGCTGGCTTCAAGTAGGATAAGGATAGACTCACATGAGTCCATGAGAGCCCTAGGCTGGTGCAGTCAGTGATGGATCACAGCTGGTTTGTGGGAAGGAGGGGCAGAGGGGAAGTAACCCAACATTTGGGGGATTTGCAGTAGTCCCAAAGGAGGACCAGGATGTAGTGTGTGGTGGCTGCATGGAATTCAGTAGCTGTGCCACAATAACTTGGGGCCTTACTGTTTGCAGACAGCATCTGTCTGGGAAGTTCAGGGTGGGAGGGTTGAAGTTATATTGGTGGTACCCAACTTTTATCCGCATATTCTTCAGCCCCCAGAGTGTGAAAGGCCGGAATGACACCTTTTACCTGACACCTGAGCCAGTGGTGGCCCCCAACAGCCCAATCTGGTACTCAGTCCAGCCTATCAGCAGAGAGCAGATGGGACAAATGCTGACGCGGATCCTGGTGATAAGAGAAATTCAGGAGGCCATCGCAGTGGCCAATGCAAGCACTATGCACTGAGATGCCTTGGCCATGGCACAAGAGAAACCAGCCAGGAAAAACCAGACAGACTTTCACACTAAAGAAGAGGCCTCCATTTTTTTTTTTCTTTTTTTTATTGGTGTAGTTACGAAGCCTTTCAGGCTGCTTCTGTTTAAAATATAAAAGAAAACTTTGCCCCCTTTGCATCTTCATAAACCTGCTGCGGCAGACTCCTCAGCCGATGGTGGCTCTGGGTTTCCTTGAGTGTCATATGTCCTAGAAAGTTGCTGGCTGACTCTTTTTTGTCTGGGGCCTGGGGAAAGGGCTTGGACTGTGAAAAGAAATGTGGCCCCTTTCCATCTTCAAGAGAGATGGAATTAATGATGGATGGACCCTGGAGGGAATCTCCCCAGCCGACTTCCACTGGGCTGACAGACTTTGCTGACCACAGGGGAACGATGTTCTTTTCTTTCTTCATGATCAGACATAAACTTAGCATCTTAATGGAAGAAAAATGAGGGGAACTTCAATTATGATTTATTAAAGACAATTTCTATTACACCCTCCTTTATGACAAGTGACATTTTAGATGTAAAAGTAAAAACTTTACCATGCCTTTTTTTTTTTTGTTGGCCTAACATTGAGGCCTTAAAACCTGAGGCTCCTGTGCCTGATGGAATTCTTGTAACATACACTTGTGTATCATATAAAGATACCACTCTGTTTCTCTTATGTATTCTTACTCTAGTTGTTTATTAAGAATGACAAGCACGTCTTTTCAACATGTTAGTGAACAACGTCTCTTTATTTTGGGGAGGAGCCCGGCGGGACAGTAGAAGTAAACCCTTGCCTGTTAATTGAACTGGCCGAGGTCCTGCGGGGAGTGTGGGGTGGGACGTGAAGTGGCAGCTCCTCAGTGACAAGGCCACTATGTGCTATACGCATGCGCTGTTTCTTCAGCGCCAGCTCCGCCCCCGCCGCAGCGAGGCGGGTAGGTTCCGCCCGCGCGCACTACGCCCTGACGTCAGCGTCGCGCGCAGCGCAGTGACGAAATCGGCTGGTTTATATTGGCGCGGCCCAGACGGCAGAGGTCTCTGCGGCGCGGTCCTCGGAGACACGCGGCGGTGTCCTGTGTTGGCCATGGCCGACTACCTGATTAGTGGGGGCACGTCCTACGTGCCAGACGACGGACTCACAGCACAGCAGCTCTTCAACTGCGGAGACGGCCTCACCTACAAGTGCGGGCCTATGGGGCTCACCTGGGCGAAGAGAGGGGCGGCACCCTGGGGAAAAGGCCAGATGGGGGCTTCCGAGAGCCGCCTTGGGCGTGGGCGTGGGGGACAGGTTTCGGGAATTGGCCACCCACCTCCGGGGCTCACTTTGAGACATCTGGAGCGGTGCTTGGGGTACGGAGAAGCATCTCAGTAGTGCTTGGAATCTCAGGCCGGAGATTCCATGCTCCAGACACATGGAATTGTCAGGGTGCCAGGAGCACTGATGACAGCTCGGTGGCAGAAAAGGTCCCCTGTACCCATTTCCACCTTGTGCTGTGCCTGTGACACACAGACTCTGTCAGTGCCACTCTCTGCTCACATGCGTTACGGGTTGATTGGTACATGGGGATGGAGTCTCATGCTGCCCTAAGCTGAGAGCTTTACTCCCAATTCACTCCCTTCCCTCGCAGTGACTTTCTCATTCTCCCTGGGTACATCGACTTCACTGCAGACCAGGTGGTGAGTATGATCAGGAATTGGGTCCTGAACATCAAGGTGAGCTAAGGTGCTACTATCACCTGGTCTCTGGGCTAACTCACCAGATTGGGCTTGGGGGTGGATTTTATAGGATCATGTTGCTTGTTAGCATGCAGGTCATACAAAAGTGCCTTTTTGTGGGGGACTCAGTAACACCTTGAGGTGTAAGGGATGCTTTCCCACACTGGTTGACGTTTGTCTCCTCAGGACCTGACTTCTGCTCTGACCAAGAAAATCACTCTTAAGACCCCACTGGTTTCCTCTCCCATGGACACAGTCACAGAGGCTGGGATGGCCATAGCAATGGCGGTGAGCCCCATGGGGTGTGGGGGAAGGAGCAAGGACTCCATCGCCTTTCCCCAAAGGCATTCAGTCCTGCTTCTTGTCACTTAGTAGTAGTCTCTTTTTATCCTGTAGCTTACAGGCGGTATTGGCTTCATCCACCACAACTGTACACCTGAATTCCAGGCCAATGAAGTTCGGAAAGTGAAGGTCAGAAGGGCAACGATCATTAGCAAGCGCTCCTGGGAATTGCACTGAGGTGGGGTGGGGTGGGAGTAGGGGTTTATTCTAATTTAGTATTCTTTCTTCCCACCATGGGGTTCAGTTACTGAGAAGACCCTGAGATTCTGTTTCTTAAAGCAGCAGCAATAGACCAGGTGTACAGTGCCTCCAGCCTACCCATGTCTCTAAGATGTGTTGGTGTGATTTGGTCTTGTGGCACTGCCAAAGGGATCGATAAGCAGAGACCCCATGCTTCAGATCAAGAGCCTGATGAAAGTAGTTCAAAGATGCGATGCCCTTTCTCACCATCCCTTTCCAGAAATATGAACAGGGATTCATCACAGACCCTGTGGTCCTCAGCCCCAAGGATCGCGTGCGGGATGTTTTTGAGGCCAAGGCCCGGCATGGTTTCTGCGGTATCCCAATCACAGACACAGGCCGGATGGGGAGCCGCTTGGTGGGCATCATCTCCTCCAGGGACATTGATTTTCTCAAAGAGGAGGAACATGACTGTTTCTTGGAAGAGGTGGGTGCCACTGGCAGAGTAGATCCAAGCTCTAGCAGCCCAGGTTGAAGACAAGGGGCTTCTGTTGTCTAAGACATCTCTGATAGCCTCTTCTCTCTGGGAAAGGAGTGTCAAACCAAGTTTCTGACTCCTTTATTGGGTTCCTGCATCCTTTCCCCACCAGAGGCTTTCAAACTGCCCAAATGCTTGCTAGTATTCATGCTTTGTTCTTTTAAACCCCTAAGGTAGGGGCAGTGCTTGAGGTCTGCCCTGATTTTCTTGCCATTGTTCCTGTGTTGTCCTCCTTATTCCATAGTGTAAGAGGGTGCTCCCTGTGCCATGTTGTCCTTTCTACTCATCCCTCACTCAATACCATACTGCTAAGAATTATTGGGATCCCTTGAGGAAGGGTGTTTTGGGTGTGAATGTATGAACGTGGTGGTCCATAGAACTTCACCCCTGTAATCTCAGTACTTTGGGAGACTGAGGCAGGCAAATCATGAGGTTAGGAGTTTGAGACCAGCCTGGCCAACATGGTGAAACCCCGTCTCTACTAAAAATACAAAAAATTAGTTGGGTGTGGTGGCGCGTGCCTCTGAGCTCAGCTACTTGGGAAGGAAAGAAAAGAGTTAACTGGTCATAGTCGATGACTGGCCCTTCTTCACATCTCACCTCCCACGTAGATAATGACAAAGAGGGAAGACTTGGTGGTAGCCCCTGCAGGCATCACACTGAAGGAGGCAAATGAAATTCTGCAGCGCAGCAAGAAGGGTAAGTCCTAGAGCTGGGAAAGGGCCTGGAACTAATGCCTAGGGTCCTGATTCATGTCCTGCCCTGACCACAGGAAAGTTGCCCATTGTAAATGAAGATGATGAGCTTGTGGCCATCATTGCCCGGACAGACCTGAAGAAGAATCGGGACTACCCACTAGCCTCCAAAGATGCCAAGAAACAGCTGCTGTGTGGGGCAGCCATTGGCACTCATGAGGATGACAAGTATAGGCTGGACTTGCTCGCCCAGGCTGGTGTGGATGTAGTGGTTTTGGTGAGCTGCTACACAGGTGGGTTGGGGCAATAGGGGCAGCTGCCACATCACAGTCTGAGACTTACTTCTTGTCCTAGGACTCTTCCCAGGGAAATTCCATCTTCCAGATCAATATGATCAAGTACATCAAAGACAAATACCCTAATCTCCAAGTCATTGGAGGCAATGGTAAGGCAAGATTGTGCCCTGAAGGATGTGTGGTGGGAGTGGGTAAGCTGGGCTCCCACCTTAACCTTCACATGAGCATTTTCCTTTCCTTCACCATAGTGGTCACTGCTGCCCAGGCCAAGAACCTCATTGATGCAGGTGTGGATGCCCTGCGGGTGGGCATGGGAAGTGGCTCCATCTGCATTACGCAGGAAGGTAAGAATATACTTTGATAGGGCCCACAGAGACCCCAGTTTCAGGCCCCACATACCTTGGAACCAAGCACTCTTATGGGGACAATAGAGCCCTCCAATAGGGGCAACCCTGGGGCCAAATTGGCCTCTTGGATGGGTGACATGGCTGGAAGCAAGACAAGGTCTTGTCATCCATCACCTGCCACTCCCTTGCCTAGCCTGGCCTTCTTGCTCCTGCTCTGCACCTTCTCTAAACTCTGGTCTGTTTGTTTTATTTAGTGGCTCCCAAGATCCCTCCAGACATAAAGTCCCACAGCCCCAAATGCCCTTCTACTGTCACGGGTTGCTATAGTAAGTCCAGCCCGGCCCACTGGCCCGGCCCAGCTGCCCACTGCCCGGCTGCTTGGTTGACGTAGCTGTAGCTCCCGGGGTTTGTGGTGCTGATGGGTGGGCAAGGCCAACTGATACACAGACCATGGTTTGGGGGTGGTGCTCAAGAACATAGCTCCCTCTTCCTTCTGGGGTGCTGATAGGGCAGGACCTTCTTCCCTAGGCAGGACCTTTTCTGCCCACATCTTCTGCAGTAGGCATAGTTCAGGGACCAACTCCTTTGTGTGGTCCTTGCTCTCCCACACAACCACTGCCTGCTCCACACAACCACAGCCTGCTCTCCTACACAACCACTGCCCTTATCTTGCCTGAGCTGCCCACCATTCAGGGAGGAAGGGCTGGGCCTGACCTCAGTGCCTCTGGGGACTAACTGCACGGTGACTCCTGCCCCATCTGATACCAGCTGGACGGGGGCTTTCCCGGCTGCTAAGACTGCATGTGCCTGAGGCTGCCCTGGGCACTGCACACATGCACGTGCACATGTGGGGGTGAGTAGAGGTCAGCACAGCTGTTTGTACTATTTAAGGCAGATGTGGCAGCAGCCATCCCAGACACGTCTGTTCCTCAGCCAAGCTGCAGTCCTGATGCAGATGTAGCCAAAAGCTCCTGGGTCCTAAATATGGCCACAGGGTCCACTGCCCGTCCCCATTAACCCTATCCACCCATGTGTTCCTCCATCTCAACAGTGCTGGCCTGTGGGCGGCCCCAAGCAACAGCAGTGTACAAGGTGTCAGAGTATGCACGGCGCTTTGGTGTTCCGGTCATTGCTGATGGAGGAATCCAAAATGTGGGTCATATTGCGAAAGCCTTGGCCCTTGGGGCCTCCACAGGTGAGGCCCAGTACCCGTGAAGGCCAGTGGGACCCCCTCCCTAGTGCTGCTTAGGCTCTAACCCAAGCACTCCATCTGTCCGCAGTCATGATGGGCTCTCTCCTGGCTGCCACCACTGAGGCCCCTGGTGAATACTTCTTTTCCGATGGGATCCGGCTAAAGAAATATCGCGGTATGGGTTCTCTCGATGCCATGGACAAGCACCTCAGCAGCCAGAACAGATATTTCAGGTGGGACAGGCAAGCCAGTTACCCCACCCTAATCCTGCACTGACAGTCTCATCTCTGCTGTGACCTTGCCCGTGTCTCTGCCTCTCCCTGCAGTGAAGCTGACAAAATCAAAGTGGCCCAGGGAGTGTCTGGTGCTGTGCAGGACAAAGGGTCAATCCACAAATTTGTCCCTTACCTGATTGCTGGCATCCAACACTCATGCCAGGACATTGGTGCCAAGAGCTTGACCCAAGTCCGGTGAGCTTGGGGAGCTGGGACATGGGTAGAGGGGCTGGTCCAGGGCCAGCTACCCACATTTGACCTCTGCCCTTCTTCAGAGCCATGATGTACTCTGGGGAGCTTAAGTTTGAGAAGAGAACGTCCTCAGCCCAGGTGGAAGGTGGCGTCCATAGCCTCCATTCGTAAGTCACCCTGTCCTTGGTGGGGCCTCTGCCATACCTCATGCCTCCTTTCTCCTGCCCTCACCTCACAGGTGGTCCTTCTGCCTGCAGGTATGAGAAGCGGCTTTTCTGAAAAGGGATCCAGCACACCTCCTCGGTTTTTTTTTCAATAAAAGTTTAGAAAGAAAAAAGTGATGCCTGATCTTTCAACAGACAGGTGGGGCTCTGTAGCTGCCACTACCACAGATGCACACAAAAACAGCACCCTCATTTCCAGGGGGAGCCTCAGGCCCCGAGATAAATGTGCTCCATGGACCTGGAAGCGGGTAGTTCCAGGTCCAAAAAGTTCCTCCTGAGGCTGCTCACAAAACAGCTGACTATAGCTATAGCTATGGCTCTTGGGGTTTCAGTCTCACACTGAGCATCTGACTCTGGCTCCCAAGGGGTCAAAGAACAAGCCCTGGGACTGGCATACACAGGGCATCCTGCTAGCCCATAGCTTGGCCATATAGGACCAGGTCAACACACATATATATTCCCTAACTTGAATCTCTCTCGGCCAGGCACATTGGCTCACGTCTGTAATCCCAGCACTTTGGGAGGCAGGTGGATCACTTGAGATCAGGAGTTCGAGACCATCCTGGCCAACATGGTGAACCCTTTCTCTACTAAAAATACAAAAATTAGCTGGGCGTGGTGATGCATACCTCTAGTCCCAGCTACTCAGGAGGCTGAGGCAGGAGAATCACTGAAACCCAGGAGGCGGAGGTTGCAGTGAGCTGAGACTGCGCCACTGCACTCCACCCTGGCGAAAGAGCAAGACTCATCTCCAGAAAAAAAAAAAAAAAAAAAAGCCCAGTGTAGTGGTAGGGGCCTCTAATTCCAGCTACTCAGGAGGCTGAGGCACGAGAATCGCTTGAATCCAGGAGGTGGAGGTTGTAGTGGGCCAAGATCACGCCACTGCACTGCAGCCCGGGCGACAGCGAGACTCCATCTCAAAAAAAGAAAAACAATCAGCGATTTTGTGAGAAAAGCCGTTGAGGTCCTCTCAAATCTGCATGTGAGCAAGTAGGTCTACAACAGGCAAACATACTGCTTCCCGACTTCTGAAAAGTCAAGGAATCCTAAGTAATCTAGATGAAAAAGTGACTCCTTGGTTTCTTCACATTCCCCTCCAAGAGCCCAGTGAGCCATCAGCTCCTGGCCAGCAACACACCTGATACAAAATGGGAGAAGTGTATAAATTATTATGTTGATAAGCAAGATAAGTGCCAAAGGGTAGATAAGAGTGAAAGCATTGGGAAGCCTGGCAGAGTGCAGTCAGCAGGTCAGTTCCTGGCGGTTCATTGAGCAGCTTGGCCCAAAGATGTAAGTGAAGTCCCTCCTGGTGGAGGGATGAGAGCAGCTCCAGTTACTCGGCCTTCATGACACAGGAAGTTGAAGGTGGCACAGGCATTGGGCTGCAAAGAAAAGGCCAGCATCAGCCTGTCTAGCGCCAGGCCTGTGCTCCCCGCAGCATGCCCCAGTCCCGGGACTCACCGTGTCCTGCACTTCCACAGCAATGCCCCGCTGCCTCATGGCTTGAAGCACCTGGGACTGCAGCCTCTCGGTCCGGTCTCCAGTCCCCACCACCACGATCTCTAGGGAAGGGTGGGTGTGGCTAGTCTACAGTTCTGTTGAGAGGCTGCAGTGGGGGTCGCCTTCTGGGGCCCAGAACACCTCTGTTCTCCCTCCCCTTCCCCAGTACCTATCCGGGGCTCCAGCAACCAGAAGAGGGAAAAGCTGTCTTCGGTGATGTCCTGGTGGGATCCCACCTGTGCAGGGAGGAGGCACATTTAATACGACAAATCCACGCAGCCTCTCCCCATCTCCATCCACTGCAGGAGGAGACAGAGGAAAGCCAAGTTTGCAGGGACCAAGCAGGGTGAGGGCCTGTGACTCTGGGCCTCAGTTTCCACACTGCGGGCCAGGACTCACGTTCCACTGCACCACCGAGTGCGGGAGCAGAGCGCAGGGGCCGAGCACGCGGTTTCCGTTTATCATGAAGCCGCGGCTGTTGTAGCTGTCGATGTACATTGCCTGAGCGGCCTCGCGTTGCAGCAGAGAGATGCGCGTCCGCTGATACAGCTCGTCATCCGCCGGCGAGAGCCGATGCCCTCGCCGCGGGGCCCTGCGGAGGGAAAGGGTCAGGGGCGCGGGGCCGGGCCGGGCAGCCCGAGAGGCCGGAAGGTGCTGGGCTGGCAGTCGCCGGCCCTAGGGGGCTGGATGGTCGAGGGCGCGGGGTCCAAGCTCACCAGGGAAGCTCAACGGGCGGACAGCGCAGCGAGGGTCGCGCTCGGTACAAGCTACGTAGCGCGAGAGCGGTGGCCATGGCTGACCAACGCGCGGCGAAGTCGTCACCGGCGCCGTTAGTCCCCGGGTTGGGAGGGCCCTGCGGAGCCTGACCCAGCGTGGCTGCAGCGCCCCCTGCGTCCCGGAGGGCACCGCACAGCTCGACCGGCCCAGCAGGCGAGTGTCCTCAGTCTTAGGAGGCCGAGTTCCCCGACCTCCGGCGCAGCTCCAGTGTCAGCACCTGCCGCCCTCCCCGCCCCGGGCCCTTGCCCATAGTCCCGGGGGAGTGGAACACCTGGCAGCGTGGCCACCCTCAGGGCGTTGCCTGGGCCGCAGCCGCGGCCTGGCCCCCGGGCTCTCAGCTATTAAGCCGCGCTCCCGGGGCGGGGCGACCGCCCACCTGGTCGCGTCCCGAACACCTGGCCAGGCGGTGGGTGCCAGACTTCTAGCCCCTAATTCCAGCCTTTGGGGCTTCGGGCACCGTGGGCGGGGCAGCCGGCTCAAGTTTCTCCGGCTAGACGCGGAAGCACGCCCCGCCCTAACCGTCACCCGCGCGACCGTTGGCCTCTCCGCAGCGCGCGGAGAGGGGCGTGGCCGAGCGTGGATTGGCTTCTCGGGTTCTCTAGGGGGCGTGGCCAGGTGGTTTCTCCTTAAAATGGCTCCAAGTCTGCAGGCAGCCAGAGCAAGCGGAAGGGCAAGCTGTGATAGTGTTTGGGTGGCTGTTCGGCTGGCCCAGACCAGGCCGAACCGGACCAGACTTGAAGTAGAAGCGCGTGGAGCATCACCTTGTCCTCGTTCACTCTGCTCGCGTCCTGGGAGTCCCCCGTCCCCCGTCTTGATCCAAGTCAAGGGCCTACTGGCGCGAGAGTCGCTGGCCCCCGCGCGGGGTTTGGGCATCTCGGCACGCCGGCTCTGTCGTGGCCTCAGGGGAACATTGTCGCTTTCGCTACCCGCGGGGCCGGGCGAGCGGGAAGCTCGGCACAGTGGGAGCCTGGTGGTGGGTCTCCTGGGGCCGGTCGCAATGGGTTTCCGGGGGTCCCGCGGCTGCTCTGTGGACCCCTTCGGCCCCTGGTGCTCCGGGCGCTGGCAGCGTCACCGGACAAAGGCCACCGAGCGCGGGGGTGTCCCCGAGGTGGACGCGCGGGTTTACTTCCTCTCCGGCCCCACGGGCGCGCTTCCCTCCTGACGGATTCCGAAGCCCGCCCCACCACCGTCACCGCACCAGTGGCCCAGGCTTCGTGGGACCAACAGGGCTAATCCTGCCCCACGGATCTAATCCGGATCGGGACCCGGTCCCAGGGGAGGCCCCCACCTCCCCTTCTATTGTTCTGTGGCCCAGGTGAGCGTCTTGTTCCCTCTAGACTCCGTTTCACAACCTACTCCCGGGTCTTCCTCCTGGGACTGGGGATGGGCGGGTTCTGATGTGGCCCCAGGGCGAGTGACCTGGGGGCAGGAGCTCCCCCGCCCCCCGCCAACGGCTGGACAGCGGGCAACGGAATCCCAAAAGCAGCTGTTGTCTCCAGAGCATTCCAGCTGCGCTTGGATTTCGTCCCCTGCTCTCCTGCCTGAGCAGCGCCCTGGCCCAGATGGGGTGCCCCTGACCCCCAGACATACTTTACTGAGCTGCTTGGGTCTCAGTTCCTCTCAGTTGCGCCCTCAGGCTGGAGGTGATGGGTGTAGACGTGGGAGAGCCGAGGCTGGTGGCCATCTCTGGAACCCTGGGGAGGATTGGCGAGGGAGGGTGGACCCAGGACCTCTGGGTAGGGCTGCAATGGTAGTGACTCCCCCAGGGCTGCCTCAGCCCGCATCTCGCTAAAGATAGCCCTCTTACTTCCTGGGGAAAAACCACCCCAACCGTCTTCGTGGATGAGAGTATCTGAAGTCCTCAGTTTGACTGAGGGTTCCCAACCCTGCTAAGCAGTTGTCTCCAGGTCATGCACCTTCAGAATGGAAAGCGCTTTGGAATGACACGATCACTCCCGTTGAGTGGGCACCCGAGAAGCCATCGGGAATGTCGTGTCCGCCCAGTGCTCTTTCGGCGCCTCCCAGCAGGGCCTCAGCCCTGGCCCAGAAAGGGGCCTTGCCAAGCTTTTCCTGCCCCTGGGTTTCCCTGCTCTCCGGATTTCCCAACTCTCTCTACTGAGTTAGCTTCTCTATTAAAAGGAATGGGGGTGGGGTGGGGGGTGAGTAAGTTACAGTGAAATGAAGACATTTGGGAACCTTTGTGGGAGAAAGAAAAAGACCTTTCCTATTGGTAGAGGAGCAAGATACTCCAACTGAGGCCTATTTTCTATTATGGTCGCATTATTTGGTTGGCCCGTAAATGGCTGTTGCCTAAAACAGGAAGCTTTAAGGATCGTTGTTAAAGCACACCAGGTTAAAGGAGTCACATTAAAAGCTGGTCATTCTGAGCCGGGCGCGGTGGCTCACGCCTGTAATCCCAGCACTTTGGGAGGCCGAGGCAGGCGGATCACCTGAGGTCGGGAGTTCGAGGCTTGACAAACATGGAGAAACCCCGTCTCTATTAAAAATACAAAAGTAGCCGGGCGTGGTGGCGCGTGCCTGTAATCCCAGCTACTTGGGAGACTGAGGCAGGATAATCACTTGAACCCGGGAGGGGGAGGTTGCGGTGAGCCAAGATCACACCACTGTACTCCAGCCTGGGCAACAGGAGCGAAACTCCGTCTCAAAAAAAAAAAAAAAAAGTCTGGTAATTCTGGAAGCCATCATGATGGTTGTGATTTCTCAGGTATCAAGAGAAGAAAACCGCCAACTGTATCAGAGTGCTTATTTATTGGGCATAAAGACCACCCGGGCTGGGTGCAGTGGCTGATGCCTGTAATCCCAGCACTTTCGGAGGCCGAGGCGGGCAGGTCACGAGGTCAGGAGTTCGAGACCAGCCTGGCCAACATGGCGAAACCCCGTCTCTACTAAAAATACAAAAATTAGCCGGGCGTGGTGGCGGGCGCCCGTAATCCCAGCTACTCGGGAGGCTGAGGAGGAGAATCCTGTGAATCCGGGAGGTGGAGGCTGCAGTGAGCCGAGATCGTGCCACTGCACTCCAGCCTGGGAGACAAGAGCAAGACTCCGTCTCAAACAAACAAAAAAACACCCATATCTCAAACGAGAAAATGCTTGCAAATAACCTGAAACCGCGGAACACTATTCTTTTTAAAACGAGATATTTTAAGTAGGTCGTGAAAGTGGCCTTAATGTTATACTGCCTTATTCCAGTGACGAATATTCATCATGTGTAAAATGGGAGAAATGAAATGTTATTAAAACAAACATGTGAGACTTCGATGAGAAGAGACGGTACCCGGTCTAAGCGCCCACCGGGTCGCGAGGATCCTTTTCCTGGTTAAGGCCTGGGTCACAGCGAAAGAACCCTAGGCCCAGGGAGGGCCCCGAGATTTCAGATCCGGGGCCCGGCTGTGCAGGTGGACCACGCGGAAGGGGCGCTGGGGGCGGTAGGTCGAAAGCAGCCGACAGGGCTACCACTGGCGCACCTGTCCACTTACGGGGACCACCGCCGCATCCCCGCCCCAGCTAGTCGGTCCTTTCCGGAAGTTCCACCTCCCTAAATTTTTTTCCGGTTCCGCTTACTCCTTCCGGTCACCATGGCGACCAGGCGCCTTGGGGTCGGGGAGACGCTGGGGGCCCTCAACGCGGCCCTGGGGCCAGGCGGTCCGGTGTGGATCAAGGAGACGCGCACCCGCCACCTGCGTTCCCGAGACTTTCTGGCACCGCACCGCGCGCTGCAGGCGCGCTTCGATGACGGCCAGGTGGGCGTGAGCCGGGCGGGGCCGTGCGGCCGGGAGATGGGCCCCGTGCCGTGGCTCTTTTACACGCCCGTTCTCCCGCAGGTTCCGGAGCATTTGCTCCATGCCCTCGCCTGCCTGCAGGGCCCCGGTGTGGCCCCGGTGCTGCGCTGCGCGCCGACCCCCGCGGGTCTGTCTCTCCAACTGCAGCGGTCCGCCGTCTTCGAGCGCGTCCTCAGCGCCGTGGCCGCCTATGCCACGCCCGCCTCGCCTGCCTCGCTGGGCCAGCGCGTCTTACTACACTGCCCAGCACTGCGCAGCTCCCCCTGCGCACTCCGCTTGAGCCAGCTGCGTACGGTGCTCGTGGCCGATCACCTGGCGCGAGCCCTGCGCGCTCACGGGTGAGCGGGGCCGCGGGGCCGGAATGGAGAAAGTGGGACTGCCGGGTACCTAGAAAGCGAGCGGCGCCGCCCGTGGGGACTGCGGCTGGAGGTGGGAAGTCGTGGCGAGCTGGACCAGGTGCTCAGACTGAGGCGGCCGCCCTCCCTTCGCAGGGTGTGCGTGCGCCTAGTGCCAGCTGTGCGGGATCCGCACATGCTGACCTTCCTGCAGCAACTGCGGGTGGACTGGCCCGCTGCCTCGGAGAGAGCTTCCTCCCACACCCTGAGGAGCCACGCCCTTGAAGAACTTACCTCTGCTAATGACGGGAGGACACTGTCCCCTGGCATCCTAGGCAGACTGTGTCTGAAGGAGCTGGTGGAAGAACAGGGCCGCACAGCTGGCTATGACCCCAACCTGGACAACTGTCTGGGTAGGACCTGAAGCCTAGCAGGGCCAGAAAAGGCAGGAGGGGGTTAGGGGCACATCTCTGCTTCTTGTCAGTCTCAGCACCTGTCTGTTCTCTTTTCAGTGACTGAGGATCTCCTCTCTGTGCTGGCTGAGCTGCAAGAGGCTCTATGGCATTGGCCCGAGGACAGCCACCCAGGCCTGGTTAGTGACTCCCAGCCCTGTAGGTTCTCCCAAACCAAGTATACTGTACTTCCACAGTTATGATTGTCCTCCCTTAGGCTGGGGCCTCAGATACTGGTACAGGCGGCTGCCTGGTTGTACATGTTGTTAGCTGTGAGGAGGAGTTCCAGCAACAGAAGTTGGACCTGCTTTGGCAGAAGTTGGTTGACAAGGCTCCACTCAGACAGGTAGGTTAATAATGATGGTGGAGCTCCCCACCACCTAACCCCCAACCTCAGAGGGCCCTTGAAAACCCACCGAGGGGCTTGTTAGCTGACAGAAACCAACACTTGACCTTGGGGGAGTTGCTGGACTTGAGAGGGCATGTACAGCAGGTGCAGAGGCTCTGGGGAAGGGGGGTCTGTAGACACATCCCAAGAACACTGAAGACCAGGTTGAGAAGGATGAACCATGCGTAGCCTGAGTGGCTGGGTAGACGGAGGCACTCAACCTGGCAGTTCCAATTTGAGGGAGTCTGGGCTGAGTAGAGGCACCAGATTTGGGCTCCTCAAGGGACTTCCTGGAGAGTAGCGCCAACTAGGCTGAGCCCCTGACATCTTTCTGACAGAAGCACCTCATCTGTGGCCCTGTGAAAGTAGCTGGTGCACCTGGCACTCTGATGACTGCCCCTGAGTACTACGAGTGAGTGAGGCTGGGAGGAACACCAACCTAAGCCAGGGTAATGAGGGGGGACTCTTTACCCAGGACCCTGCCCACTGGCCTTCCTCTCTTCCAAACACAGGTTCCGGCATACCCAGGTGTGCAAGGCCTCAGCACTGAAGCATGGTGGGGATCTGGCACAAGGTGTGCCTGGGAAACCCTGGCTATGTTCTGGGTTAGGGGCAGGTTTTTTGCATCCCTGCCCTTGCCTGCAGACTGACTGACCAACCCTATACTCCCTCAGACCCAGCCTGGACAGAGATCTTTGGTGTTCTCTCTGTGGCCACCATCAAGTTTGAGATGCTGAGCACAGCCCCACAGAGTCAGGTGAGCCTGGGAGCCTGACAGGGCCAGTGTTGGGGCACAGGGTGTGGTGGCTGCCTTCTCTCTCTGCAGCTGTGCTTCTATTCCCCAGCTCTTCCTGGCTCTGGCTGACAGCAGTATCTCCACGAAGGGCACAAAGAGTGGCACCTTTGTCATGTATAATTGTGCCCGTCTTGCCACACTCTTTGAGAGTTACAAGTGTAGTATGGAACAAGGTCTGTACCCCACTTTTCCTCCTGTGAGCAGTCTGGACTTCTCACTGCTACATGATGAGGTGAGTGTCCCTCCTGGTAGCTGGCACAAGGAGGCCTGGACTTCCCCTCCCAGCACCTTTCTCCCCAACAGGGTGAGTGGTTGTTGCTCTTCAACAGTATCCTCCCCTTTCCGGATCTGCTGAGCCGGACAGCAGTGCTGGACTGCACAGCCCCGGGGCTCCACATTGCTGTACGCACAGAGATGGTGAGGCATAGACAACCAGGACACTCTACACTCTATTCTTTATTCTGGCCTGGGGCACAAGAGCAAAGAGATGGGCCAGTGACTCAGTCTCTGTCTCTAGATATGCAAGTTCCTGGTACAGCTCAGCATGGATTTCAGCTCCTACTACAACCGGGTACACATCCTGGGGGTGAGCACACAGCAAAATGGGGTGGGACGTGCAGAGAGGTATAGGGTAAAGGCAAAGGAAGCAGAGGATGAGACCAGCAGGCCCTTTCTCTTTCAGGAGCCTCGACCACACCTCTTTGGTCAGATGTTCGTCCGCCTGCAGCTTCTGAGAGCTGTGCGTGAGGTGCTCCATACTGGCCTGGCTATGCTGGGTCTCCCTCCACTGAGCCACATTTAAGGCCACAGAGGCTCCAATACCTGGGAATGTTCACAAAGTCATCAACTGGAAAAAAAGCAAAAACCCACGGCCAAAATAAATTGGTACTGTTTGTTACAAAGTTCTGTCTTGTCATGGGGAGTCGGGCATATTCTTGGCAGCACTCCACTCACCTTCAGCTCCTGCACCGACATCAGGAACCCACGGCCACCACCTCCTCCCCTCAAGGCATGCTGAGCATGGGCACAGACAGCCCATCCCTGCTCCATGCTGTCTGTGAGCAGGCCCCATGCCCAGCACGCCAGCCACCGCAGGATACCTCAGTCATACCAGTTGTAAACCTCAAGCCCCTGACCCCCAAGGGCACAACGGTGGCCAAACTCAGGGCTCACAGGCCAGCAGTCCATGTCAGCCACATCAGGCACATGGAACACAGTGCTATTCATGAAGGTGGGTTCACCATGCCCCAGACGCCAGAAGGTCAGCCGTTGATCAATGGAGGCTGAGACCATGATGCTTGGGCTTAGGATCTTGAGGCCTGTCACATGGGCAGCATGTGCACAGGGGACAGAGTATTCCTCTAGCACACGCAGCTGGGGTACCAGCCCAGCCTCTCCCACAGCCTCTTCTAGCTGTAGCATCTCCACAGCAAGCACGAAGACATGGAGGGATCCATCTTCACTGCCACTGGCCACGAGATGGTGGCCCTCACGGGTGGGCAAGGTGTGCAGGCTGTTGATACCACAGCTGTGGGCCTGGAGAGTCAGGGAGGGGGTGCCAAGCCCTGAAGGAAGAGGAAGAGGGTAGTTGTCAGGGCCCCGCCTGCCACATGTGTGAGGGCTATGTGACAGGTGAGGAGGGGTAGCCATGGTTGCACATTAGCTACTCACGGTAGGGAAGCCCAGGATCCACTGGAGGCTCCAGGACAGTGGAGTCATGGTCTAGCATGGTGGTGAGATCCCAGAAAGCCAGGCTGCCATCAGTAGCTGCGCTGCACAGGAGGAGCCTCCTGAGAGCCAGGAAAAGACAGCCTGGTCAATAACAGAGATGAAGCTCAACAGGAACCCCCCAACCCAGCCCATGCAGGACCATCATCCAGCCCCTCTCACCGCCTCTGGTTGGGTGCCTCGTGTGTAAAGGAGTGGACCTTGAGGACACATCGCTTATGGTGGAAGGTTTCAGCAAGGAGCTGCAGAATCCGCCCAGAATCCTGCAAAAGAAAGAGCCTGGGGGGCGGGGGGTGGCCCAGCTCAGAACGCATCCTAGACAACCTTACTTCCTTTGTCTCCTGTCCCACTGGGCCCTATGCTCTCACCTTACGGCCCCATCACTACAGGCTGCAGCCACAAGGGGGCCAAGGCCGGGCTGGTCAAGTTCACACACAGCAAGGGACATGTACCTGCAGAGACAACATGCAGCTGTCAGGTGGAGCCTGCAAGCCTGGGAGCATCTGCATGACCCATACCACACCCTGCCCAGGAGCATATATTACCTGGTCTCTGGGTCTACCTTAACCATCCGATGCCGATTGCGTTGCCGGTCCCAATACTCATCTAGCCGGTGGGACGAAAGGTGCATGACATGGCAGGCGAGGCGGCTTGGGGTGCTGGGGTCCGGAGTAACCATGATGCTGAAGCAGTGCATCTCAGCCCGCCCCCCCGCAGACACCACATGGGCAGTCAGGCCTGGCTGAGGATCCTGAGGGCCACCTGGGGTGCCAATGCCCCACACAGCCACAGCACGTACCGAGGAGATATGGTTACAAACAGCTGTGAGTGCGTGGGCTGAGCCTGTGGTTGTAGGGAGTGCTAGGACACAGACAGTAGTGTCCTCACTACATGTGATCACAATGTCAGTCAAGTCGGGCCCCTCACTGCCAGGCTCCAGGTCATCAGGCTGCATGAAGCTGGGCACTCCATATTCAGGCCCCAGGGTAATGGTGCCCACACGCTTTACACAAGTGATCTCACGGCCATGCAGACCCTCCCGGAGAATCACGTGTGGCCGGGTGCAGCCACCCAGAGCCCTGTACAGCATGACATCCCCATCCTTGAGGTAAGCAAAGGCCATGGCCGCCTCAGTATCAGAGAATGCCCACGAACGGTGCCCTCCACCACAGTTGACGATGTGCAGCTTCTCGTGTGACCGAGGGTTCCACACCACAAACTCATTGGCATGGAAACCCAGGATAACCATGCTCCCATCGGGCACTATACGGAGCCCAGCTAGCCAGTTCATGCCTCGACAGGACTTCTGCCTTAGGACTGGCTGGAGCTGGCCGTCTCGTACAAACAGCTGGTAGTAGGCTCCATCACGCCCTGTGGTATACACATAGCCACCATGGCATGTGACTGAGGTCACACCCTGCTTCCCGTGCAGAGAGGGCAGGGTAGACACTGGGCCCAACCCAGTGAAAGCATTCCCACCCCCACTACTACCACTACCCACTACAGGTGCCCCAGCACCAGCCCGAGCCTTGCCTCCCACCCCAGGGTCCTTGAGCAGACCTGGTCTGGAGGGGAATAGCAGCACAGAGCCCCGGCGGTCACCACACACCAGGAAGTCACCTGGGGGTAGGAAGGCACTGCATGTGTGCCATCTCTGCTTGCTTGGGGGCAGCAGGTACCGACAACGTTCCTTGACAAAGATGGCCTTGCCAGAGGGTGCGGCTGAGATCTCTAGGCAAGCTACTACCCCGCCAGGGCCCGATGCCAGCAACAGGAGCTCCTCATAACCACGCAGGGCCCAGCTCAAGCTGTGCACCTTCCCAGGAAACAGGGTCTGGTCCACAGCAGCAGTTGGAGTGTTGATGGGGACAACCTTGACACGACCTTCCCCATTGGCCATAGCACACAATCCGAAGCCCTCGGGACCAGGAGCTGCCTCCAGCAGGCAGTAGGACTGGAAATGTTTATCCTCTAGCAGCTGCTCCCAGCACTTGACCTCGACGTCATAGAGATACAGGGCCCCTGTATCAGTCACTGCCAGCAGTCGCCAAGAGCCAGCCAGAGTCACAGCCTTGAGTGTACCTGGCCTACTACGGGACTTGAAGCAGAGAGCCGAGACCCCCAATCCCCGGTACCCACGCCCTACCAAGTGCCACAGCCGAATGCCTGAGTCATCACCCCCAGTGATCACCCAGGCCTGCCTCTCATGGGCAGCTATGGCCCGGATCCCACGTCCCTGGTGTCCCCGAAAGGCCTGGAGGATCTCACCTTCATGGCTCCACACCAAGCAGACACAATCCTCTCCTGCACTGATAAGGTAATTCTCTAGAAGCTTGACCTGCCACACACGGGCGCTGTGCCCAAAGCAGTGCCCAATATTCTGCACCCGACCCCCAGGCACTCGCAGGTCGCCCACCTTCCAGATACGAACGCTTCGGTCTTCTGAAGCTGTAGCCAGCAATCCCTTGCTTTCCAGGTATGACATGCTGAAGATGATGCCCACATGCCCACTGATTCGTCGGTCAGGTGCTACAGGTTTGTTGTCTGCTAAGGCAGTTGCTGGGTACCAGACCAAGAGCTGGTTGGAAACAGCACCTGCCACTATGGTCAGCTCCTTCCAGGCGTCTCCAATCAGGCAGGCTGAAGAGAGGGTGCACCTGTCTGTGCAGGGCACCTCTTGCAGGATGCACCCTACTACAGGGTCATATAGCACCACTGAGTTGTGGCCCAGGGCCAAGGCTATATTTCCCTCAAGCCAGCGTGCATCCCAAATCCAGTCAGACATGTTCCACAGGCCAGAGCGCCAAAGCTCCCAGAAGTGGCCCTGTCCCCAGCTAATTTTCACAACTCGGAGTCCCTTGCTTCCAAACACAGCCACCATGGCCTCCAAGTCAAGGTCTCCATTAGGCTCTGGCCGTACCCGGAAGCCATGGATAAGATAGTGGCCAAGCAGGTTCTGCACTCGCTTTATCATCCGCAGATGCCCACCAAAGTCCAAGCTGTACACCAGGACATCGGGACCCTCACCTAGATAGAGGCAAAGAGCCATGTCAGAGCTAGGTACCTAACTCTGATGACCCACAGGGAAGAGATGGGGATCAGGGAAACTTCTCGGCATGTAGCCTATGAATGCATCAGGACACACAATCCTGCAGCTTGAATCTTAGAAAATCCTTGGTCTCGGCCGGGTGCGGTGGCTCACGCCTGTAATCTGGGCACTTTGGAAAGCCAAAGCCAGACTCTGTCTCAAAAGAAAAAAAAAAAAAAGAAAATCCTTGGTCTCGGCCAGGCACGGTGGCTCACGCCTGTAATCCTAGCACTTTGGGAAGCCCAGGCGGATGAATCACCTGAGGTCAGGGGTTCAGGACTAGCCTGGCCAACAAGGTGAAAACCCCATCTCTACTAAAAAATTAGCCAGGTGTGGTGGCACGTGCCTGTAATCCCAGCTACTCAGGAGGCTGAGGCAGGAGAATCGCTTGAACCCAGCGGGTGGAGGTTGCAGTGAGCCAAGATCATACCACTTCACTCCAGCCTGGGCGAAAGACTCAAAAAAAAAAAAAGAAAAAAGAAAATCCTTGGTCTCAGCTTCAGCTGGACTTTCAGTGCTGACTTTGTGCTTCCCTCATCAGTCATTCTTTTTTTTTTTGAGACAGAGTCTCATTCTGTCGCTGAGGCTGGAGTGCAGTGGCACCGTGCAGCTCACTGCAACCTCCATCTCCTGGGTTCAAGCAACTCTCCTGCCTCAGCCTCCCAAGTAGCTGGAATTACAGGCGCCCACCACCACACCTGGCTAGTTTTTTTTTTTTTTTTTTGAGACGGAGTCTTGCTCTGTAGCCCAGGCTGGAGTGCAGTGGCACGATCTCAGCTCACTGCAAGTTCCACCTCCCGGGTTCAGGCCATTCTCCTGCCTCAGCCTCCCGAGTAGCTGGGACTACAGGGGCCTGCCCCCATGCCCGGCTAATTTTTTGTATTTTTAATAGAGACAGGGTTTCACCGTGTTAGCCAGGATGATCTCGATCTCCTGACCTCGTGATCTGCCCGCCTCAGCCTCCCAAAGTGCTGGGATTATAGGCGTGAGCCACCAAGCCCGACCAGTTTTTATATTTTTAGTAGAGACAGGGTTTCACCATGTTGGCCACGCTGGTCTCGAACTCCTGACCTGCGGTGATCCACCCACCTTGGCCTCCCAAAGTGCCGGGATTACAGGCGTGAGCCATTGTGCCCGGCCCCCTCATCAGTCACTCTTTTTTTTTTTTGAGACAAAGTCTCACTCTGCCGCCCAAGCTGGAGTGCTGTGGCGCGATCTTGGCTCACTACAAGCTCTGCCTCCCAGGTTTACGCCATCCTCCTGCCTCAGCCTCCCAAGTAGCTGGGACTACAGGCATCCGCCACCATGCCCGGCTAATTTTTTGTATTTTTAGTAGAGACGGGGTTTCACTGTGTTAGCCAGGATGGTCTCGATCTCCTGACCTCATGATCCGCCCACCTCGGCCTCCCAAAGTGCTGGGAATACAGGCGTGAGCCACCGCGCCCAGCCTCATCAGTCACGCTTGATGTTCACTTCAACCACAAATTTCTCAAACTCAGAGCCTCCTCCTCACCTCACTTTTTTTTTTTAATTAAAAAAAAAATAGAGATGGGGCCTGGCACAGTGGCTCACACCGATAATCCCAGCACTTTGGAAGGCAGGAGGCTCGCTTAAGCCCAGGAGTTTGAGACCAGCCTGGGCAACAGGGCAAAACTCCACCTCTAAAAAAATTATACAAATGAGCTGGGCATAATGGCGCATGCCTGTAGTCCCAGCTACTTGGGAGGCTGAGGTGAGAGGATCTCTTGAGCCCAAGAGGTGGAAGTTGCAGTGACCTGAGATTGCACCACTGCACTCCACCCTGAGCAATAGAGCAAGACTCTGTCTCAAAAAAAAAAAAAGTAAAATAAAATGAGAAGGATTTTGACAATGCAAAAAGAAAATAAAAGATGTAAAATGAGAAAGTCTAATCCAGTGGTTCTCCACAGGGGGCAACTTTCCCCACAGGAGACATCTAGCAATAGCTGGAGACACGTACGGCTGTCTCCAGGGGTTGTGCTACTGGCAAGTAAGGCCAGGGATGATGCTAAACATCCTACAATGCACAAACAGCATTCCAACAAAGAATTATCTGGTCTAAAAGGTCAATCGAGGCAAGATTGAGAAAACCCTGGTCTAATCTAACAAGACTGGGTGAGTGTAAGGGGAGGCCAACTTGAGGACACAATATTTAGAGTTAGGATTCAAGGATAAGCAGCAGTTAGCCAGAGGAAAGGAGGCGGAAGAGGGGGACTGGGAAATGTTGGGGCGGGGGGGGGGGGGTGGGGAGCAATGGGAGGGTTTGCAGCTTTCTTGGTGGAGAAAACAGCATGTATGATTGCCCTGAGATGGGCAAGAGCATTGAGTATGGTGGATGGAACAGGAAATGAAGAGCTCAGGAAGAGGCTAGAGAGGCCGGGTATGGTGGCTCATGCCTATAATTCCAGCAATTTGGGGGGCTGAGGCAGGCGAATCACTTGAGGTCAGGAGTTTGAGACCAGCCTGGCCAACATGGTGAGGCCCCATCTCTACTAAAAATACAACAATTAGCTGGGCATGGTGGTGGGCACCTGTAATCCCAGCTACTCCGGAGGCTGAGGCAGGAGAATCACTTGAACCTGGGAGGCGGAGGTTGCAGGGAGCCGAGACCGTGCCACTGCACTCCAGCCTGGGTGACAGAGGAAGACTGTCTCAAAAACAAACAAACAAACAAACAAAAAACACACACACACAGAATTGTAGCTATATAAAAGTCACTTTGGAAGCCACAGAAGTAGGTGAATTCACTTGCAGAGCTTCTTAAACTGCATTTCCCAAGTTATTCCCCACCTTAAAACCCTTCAATAGGTTCTCCCCACTGCCCTTAGGGATAAAGTCAGATCAAGGCCTGAAACAATGTGGCCTCTGCTCGCTTGTCCAGCTTCCTTTCCTCCCAGACTCCATTCCTGCTCTAACTTCACAAGAATTCCCTCCTTCCCCCAAAATGACAGATTCTTCCAGCCTCAAGGCCTTTGGCATGCTTACCCTCTTGCCAGGAACTCACCCCTTTTCCTAGTTCACTCTTGTGGTTCTTTGAGTTTCTGCTTCGTTGTTCCCCCTCAAGGAGCCTTAGGAGTTTAGCTCGCGGTAGGAACTCCGCGCTCCAAGAACCCCCACACCAGATCAAAACTGGATCATCCCCACCCCATACACACACCCTCTTAGGACTGGTGGCAACTCACTCAAGGCCTGACCGCCAAGGCCCTGCCTCAGGACCCTTATACAACTCAGCAGCACCAACATGGGTCATTAGTGGCTTCATGTAATGACTGTTCGAGACCAGCCTGGACTCTGACACCTCAGGTCCCAGGCCTCGCCTGTCCTTTGCGACCCGGTTCTCCTTGGAGGGACCTCCACACCTGATTTCCTGGACCTCAACCATCTCAGGAGGGGGTCTCAGCCCCTGCTTCCCCGGGCACCGCCCCCTACTCGGAAAGGTCTTATCCGCCGTTTTCCGCGACGCCACCCTCCTCAGAGGATCTTCACCCCCACCTTAGGGGGAAGAGACTCATCCCGCCCTCGAGAGGCCACACCCTTGCCCTCTCCCGGCCCCGCCTTCCCCAAGAGGCCACACCCCCTGAGGGGCCGGGGCCGCCTCCGCCTCCTCCTCCTCCTCCTCCCTCCGCCCCCCCCAGCTCGGCCCCGTCTCCTTCGGAGAGGCCAAGCCCCCGCCCATCTCCTAGAAGGGAGCACACCCCCTCAACCCTCAGCTCCCGGGCCTCCGCCTCCGCCTCCGCGCGGCCGCGTTCCCCTGCACCCTCCCGCGGTTCCACCCGCCCTTTCCACGCGGGCTGAAGTTTATGAAGCGCCGCGGCGGCCACATCAGCTTTGTCTCTCGGGCCCCGCCCTCTTCAGGTTGGCCCTCGTCCCCGCCATCTCCGGGGCTCCCTTCCCACCTCCGATCGGCCTCAACCTGCTGCCCGTCCTTCTCCTCAGGGCACCCCTTTTGTCCCTGTGGCACCGCCCCTGGGAGGCGCTGTTTCTTTCCCCCTTTCCACCAGGCGTGCCTCAAGCCAAGCCTCACCCGCCAACAGCCGGTCCCCCACGCACTCCAGACCCGTCACTGGGAGGAGTATAAGCTCCGAGGTTGCCCGCGGCCAAACGTAGTCCTCGAGAGCGTCCATGTCGATCCTCGAGGTGCTGAGGCAGCCACGGCTAAGAAGGGAGCTGAACTCTCGCGAGAACGAGCCTTCCCAGCGCGCCGCGCTGCCCATCAACAGCGCCCTCAGCTACAGGTAGCAGAGACCAGGGCGCCCGCGGCGGTTGTCCAATGACGACCCTTCGTCCCACGCAATCCAGCTCATCATTGGCGGGGCCCGCGGAGGGGCATCCCGCCCCTCGCCCCCTCACGTGACGCTTGCGGGGCGCTCCCAGCTGCCAGCCCGCTGCACCTATCGCGGACTCTGTTTCGCCGACCCGGAGTTTGTCGGGCCCGGCGGCTCGAACCTTGTGGTTTTTTATTTGACGGGGCAGATGGAGTCAGTACACAATAAATAACATGAATATAGGAACTGCGCCGTATCGCGGCTGGCGGGGTGGGGCAAGACATTGGCCAGACCTTTAGTCTGCAGCAGGACAGAAGGACAGCCGGACCCCTGATCTTGGGCAACTGGCGACCCGCGGCTGGGAACCGGGGCTAACTCTTCCCTCAGAGTTCCACGCGCGCATCGCGGTAGGCCCGGTCCAGAGCCCACTCGGGCTGTGAGTCGGTGCCCCCTTCTCGGGCAAGGCGGGCCATCTCCTGTTGGAACAGCGCTTGCCGCGCTCGGCTGGGGTCCACATTAATCCAGTTGTTGGCAATCCACTTGGTGCCGCGCGTGACCAGGCAGCCCCCGTGCAGCGAGTAGTCGTCTACGTCACCCACCCAACCTAGAAGAGGAGGGTGACGTGAGATCCTAGGCTGGGCTGGCCAGAGCTTGGCCTCATAGGCACCAAGAGCATGACCAAGGTGGGTCCAGCTATGCATTCCTTGTGTAGCAAACACCCAGACCTAAAGCTTCCTTGGAGGCTCCTCATCTCAGCCCACTAATGTATAGTCAACACTACTGGCCCTCTGAAACCAGCTTTCTTGCTGTTGGGCCTGTCCATATCCCTTCCCATCCTGGGTTAGCAAGGGACATGTGTCCCAAGCCCCAGGGAGTAGGAAGGCTGGGGCATCAGGGAATGATAGGGATGGATATAACCCAATAAGCAGTACAGGTCCTGGGGCAGTCTGCTAAAGTCACTAAGGATGGCCTTTGGGAGGCACCAGGAGCAGAAAACTATTTGGAAAGCAGCCAGAAACAGCCCTCCATTGTGGCAGACGGGGGCTGGGTAAAGGGAAGCTGTACTCAGGGCACCCCCCCCAGGCCTGGCCATAGGCCCTCACCTTGCCCATCAGGCAGGTAGTTGTACCAGAAGACTGCTGTGCCCTGTTGGGGCTTGACACGCAGGTTTCCCTTGTCACAGTGCCTCCGTGTGTCACGGAGGTCCACGTCATCCTGAATCAGACTCTGTGGGCAGCAGGGTGGTGGGGTGTTCAACCTGTCCCCACTCTATGGCCAGGCCAGCCAAGGGTGACCAAAGGGAAACCAACCAGATATGCCCAAGGAATAATTTGGGCCCACATCCTTAGACCTGGAGAGGTGTGTACTTCACTTGTCTAAGCCCCTGCCAGCCCACAAGAGTAATAGCCCAGTTGACCCTTACCATTTCATCGTAGGTTCTGTTATCTGCTACAGGGAAAACAGTCTCGCCCCCACCAGTGACGTTGTTCAAATAAAACAGCACTGTCATGTAGCTGTAAGGCAGGGGGGGCACTGAGCAGGTCCCCAGTTGTGGATGCTCCCAGGGGCTTACCTGTGGGCAGGATAAGCTGCCCAGGTTCCTGTTGCCAGGGACCAGGACAGACTAGGATGGGAGACAATAGGGCAGGCCAGTGCCAAAATGTCCCTAGCCCCTCCTTCCCCGAAACCCAGTCTCTTACTGTGAGTTGCAATGGTTTTTTGGCCAAGATCACAGGTGCACTTAGTTAAATGCCATGGCCCTGAGCAAGGGCCTGGCAGGGAAAGGTAGGCTAGCAGAAGCAACAGGGCGCGCTGAAGGGCTCCTTGGGGATGGGAAGGGGCTGGGCCAGAACAGCCACCTGAAGAGGAAAGAACTGGCTTGACAGGGGAGGGAGGCACAGCTTCAGCTTCTCTAAGTGGAATCAAGATCAACACCTGGAGGAATGGGCAGGACAAGCTAGGGGCCCAGCCTTGCCCCTTGCTTCAGAACTCAGGGGGCAAGTTTTGGTGTCTGTGGGTACATCAGTCTGTGTTGACTCCAGTGGTCACGATGACCAGTAGCCACCCCTTTCCAGCCATTGGGTAAACAACTTGTGGGGAGAGGTGAGGGCATCACTAACCGGGATAACCCAGTGATCTCCTGGCCCCATGCCAAGGGGCACGCCCACAGTGCAGGGCTGTGCCTGTGTCATGGGTGTTCCTGGTCTGAGGATTGAAGGCAGCCCCCAGTTGGGAGATACTTGCCGGCAGGAGGTCTCGAAGGGTACAGACTCGTTGGCTACCAGCTTGGTATGGGAGCAGATGGTCTCTGGGTACACAGGCCCACTGTCCACGTGGGCATGGTAGTGGCCCCCCTCACCATATCGAACAACCTGCAGCGGCTCGCTGAGCTCCACGATCTCAGGCGACAGGCGAGTGAGGCGCAGCACCCTGGTGGGCAGCAGGCATTTGGCTGGGCAGCCCCAGGCAAGGTGGTGATCTGAAGGAGCTGGCCAAGGTGGACCCTAGGCCTGCCACAAGCTTTGCCCCTACCCACCTCCCCTGGAAGTCCCTTAAGCCATCTCAGACTGGCCCTGTAAGAGCAGGAGGGGGTTACTCATGATGATCCTTCTCCCTCAGATGCCAAAGACAGAGACACCTGCTATGTGGAAATGTTGACATTTCCACTAAATAAAGGGGGCGGGGAGTCCTGAGGTCCTCCTCCCTGGAAGAAAGTTGTTTATTTAAAAACCCTTTTCCTGCTGTGACGGGGTCAGATAAGGGGTCAAAGATAAGAGGTCATTTATCTAATCAGAAAGAAGTGCTCAATCTCTATCTAACCCCAGTTGCCCATTGTGTGCCTGCAAGGAGGGCTAATTTGCCTTTGTTAATTGCCTGTCTTTCAGTGGGTCCCAATCCTGGTCTAACAAATGGAACTTAATCCCAAATGGGTTAATCCATTCTGTCCTCTTGGCCCCAGACAAGGACTTCTGTGGAGGCCCTGCCCAGTCTTCTCCCCCTGCTCCAGTGAGAACAGCTTCAGGTGCTCACCTCTGGCGGATGGCACGCATGATGTGGTGGGCACCCTCACCCTGGTAGAGCCAGGTATGGTGGCTGTTCCGCACCAGCTCACTGGACTCTGCCTTGTGGCTCCTCATGTACTTGTGGAAGTCCCGAAGGTCCATGTTGGAGAACTCCTGCAGACTCAGCACTCCTGCACAGGGCACCCACCATCAATGCCCACCAAGCCCATATTGGGAGGCAACAGTGGCAGGCTGCACTTCCCTACCTACCCCAAAGGCAGCAGCAGCCCCTGACCTCAGGCACTGAGGGGCCTTGTACACTTGTCCCCCACCTGGACTTTTGGGTCAGATGAACCTGGTTTCTGTCACATCAGGCCTTACAGGAAGACCCAGAGCAGTTCCTTTTCTCAGTTTAAGCCCTAATTTGGCCCTAAGAAGAAAGAGGCCCACCCCCTATTAGAGTGGCCAGAGAAGGTTCTCCAAAGGAAGCTTGAGCCATATGGCCAGGACCCTGGCCTTCCAGCCTGGCTATATAGAGTGGTGGCCACTCTCCGGCCTGTGGAGGGTGAGGAGAGAGCAGGCAGTGCTGGGCCTCATCCAGGGCCTTACATACATACGCCAGGGTGCAAGCAGGGCCAGCCCCCGGGGAGTTCCTCATGACCCCAGGTTTCATCCTGGGTGGAACCTACTTCGCCAGCCCTGCCTACTGCGTTACCAGCCCACCTTAGCAACGAAAGTCAGGCCACCCCCTCTCATGAGAACATTCTCCACTGTCCCTGCTCAAACCATTAAGCAGGGGTTCTACCCTCTTGGGGTTCTGGAAGAGTAGTTGGTATCTTTGCTCCATGTTATTCTGGCTGACCCAAGGACATCACCTTCCACTCTTTGGCCCAGATTCCTCTGAGGGTGGGGGACATTCAAGGGCTGTGAGACTGTCACCACCTCTGTTCTGGGGCCTATAGCAGTGTGGCAGCCATCCAGCCACAGGTCACGGCCAGATTCTTCACTCTGGTTCACCAGCCGCAAAGCCACTGTTCCAAGTCCTTTCTAACTGCTGTATCTTCCTCTCTTGGTCCAGAATTTGGGCATGAGGGTGATGACCACACCTCAGAAACCTCCTGAGAGTTATTACCAGAGGGGGCACCACTTGCATGACAGCTTCCCTGCCCACCCCTCCCCAGCAGTTAGCACAGGTAGCAGCACTACCATTTTAGGCGCTTCGGCATGACTCCAGGTGGACAAGAGGAAGGCAAGGGAGATCTCACTTAGACCAGGGAAGCTGTCTGCTGGGGTGGACCTCGTGTCTGGCTGGAGAGATGGATGGAGCAGGGTAAACAGCCAAGCTCTAGCTGGCCTCACTGTCGCCTTGCTCCTGCTCCACCCACTCTGTTCTCTGCCAACTAGCAGCCCTACTTCCTGTCCCCAGGCTCTCAACTCTGCCTGATGTTATCAAAAGGGTCTCCAAGAACTGCCCTCGAGACCATCACCAAGGGGAACGGGGGGCCTGGCTGCCTGCCTACTTCCCAGGGGTAAAAAGCAAGGCTGGATCTTCACCTCCCCATCTCTGGCCACTATAAAGGGGTGCAGAGAGGCTGCCTGGCTGTGGGGGAAGGGCCCAAGTTTTCAAAATTGTGCACCTGGGAGTGGGCAGGAGGCTCACGGGGATAGGACTGTGCAGAGGTGTGAGCTCACCGTCACCATCAGGGTCAGCCTTGATCGCGGCGTACATCTCCTGAATGCTCTCTGGAGTCATCCACCATCCATTTCCCAGGCGAGTCTGGGCCAGAACCTAAAGCATAAGAGGGTCCCTCAGTGGGTGACCCCAGTGATGGAGAGCCAGCAGAGAACAGATGGCCCAGTGCTTGTTGTGGAGCAAAGTGTTCAGGTGAGGGCATGGATGAGGACACAGGGCAGAGCCCATTGGGCCAAAGTGAGTGCAGGTAGAAAGGTACAGAGCATCTGAGGAGAAGGCCGGGGGCTGGGGGTCAAGAGGCGTAGGCCATTTGCATTCCCGGACTAAGGCCCCGTGGCCTTCATGGAGAGCACTGTTGGTTGGAAGCAGAGTGAAGGACAGGCCTGTGTCCCACTCAGATACTCCGGGTGAGATGGGGAAAGCCAAGTCCTGGGTGTTAAGGGAGAACAGGCACCAGGGGGAGACCTGGTTAGGGCATGACCACCAGATCCCTCAGAAAGACCAGGCTCAGTGGGGTGTTCTGTGTGGGCAGTGCCCCGCACCACCACCCTGCCAGACTTCTCTCAGAAGCTTGGCCCTCCAGCCTGGCTGTAGAGTGTGTGAGAGTTATGCAGAGAGAGAGGCAGGCTGCTGGCCACCTCAGAGCTGCCACCCCATCCACCATGAGTTCTGTGGGGCCCCCAGCCATGAGAGCAAGGAATGCAGGCTACAGAGGTGCATCCCTCCAAAACTATGGTGATAAATGCCATCACCCCCAGGTGGATTCTCCTGCCATCTTCTGAGGTTCCCAGGGTAGCCAAGAGCTCTCCAGAGGGAAAGGGGACCTCCTGGGTCTGGGCATGCCCAGGCAGGTCTGGGTAGTATCTGACTTTTGGGACCAGGCCTGGGCTGGACAAGTGACCTGGCCACCAGAAAGGTGATTCTGGGCACTCCCACCCTGAGCCTACTCAGGTCCCAGGATTCCAACCTCACGGAGCTGAAGGTGCCCATCACGGTTCTGGTCCAGCAGCCGGAAGAGGTCCAGCTGGCTGACCTGCATAGTGCTCATTGCCTCTTCATACTCTTCAGTAGGCAGGATCTGGCTGCGCTGTAACCCCTTCATCTGCGCCAGATGGATGATGAGCCGACACTCTTCATCAGTCAGGAAGCCGGGGATTTCTGCCAGAAGAGGAGGTGGGTGAGGCCAAGGACTGAGCCAGGGCGCTGGTGCACCCAGTACCTTCCTCCCTTCAGGGTTCCTGGGGTACTGCATGTCCCTCAGTGGCCACCAGGTCTGGAGGATGGAGGATTTTACAGACCCCTTGATTCTGACTTGTCAAGATTGAGTTGTCCTGCAAAGGCTGGCTGGCGTTGGAAATGTGGGACCTCTCTTGATGATGAGAGCACACATTTTCCAGGAGAGCCCTGGGAGGTGAGCCAGAGCTAACCTGGATATGGGCTGACCCATCTTTGGGTTGGGACTGAAGGCTAGAGAGTGATCCTGAAGGGCAGAGGCTTGATTGCTACTTTTTACTGGGTATAAATATTTAAAGTGGGGAGATGGTGGCTGCTTCTTGCTTTCATTTTAACTTTTCAGCATTATTCAAATAAAAACAGCACAAGACATCCAATGTTTCAGGCCAGTCCAAGGGCCTTCCCCTCCAATTTCCTGCAAAGATGGGTGCTGGCCATCTGACCAGGGCTGAGTTGCCCAGTGCTGGAAGATCAGTGAGGGTTACTCAGGTTTTGGGCAGATACTGGTCTCTGAAAAGATGTCCCAGGTGTCCTTTGCTTCCTTGATTCCTTCCCTGGTACAAATGTTCACTTAGTGCCTACTCTATGCCTCTACACCCCTGAGTAAAGATCAGTCAGGCCTGGGGCTTGGCTTCAGTGGCTGGCTGCCTGCACACCAGGCACAGCTGGTAGGTGGCTTGGTGGAGCTAGAACCTGAGCCTCACATCTAGGGAGCCCACATTCTGGTAGCCCCAGACACTTCCAGAGCAGGAGCATGGGCCCTGCTTCCTTCCCTTGTTCCTGGGAGAGCGGTCTTCACTGGAGGACAAGAAGCACGCAGAGGAGCTGACTGGAGGAAGGGCAGCACTGCTACCTGCGGAGTGGCCTGCCGCTTCTCTCAGTTACACTTCCAGCACAAAGTTCCAGTCATTGCCAAGAGGAAGGAAAATGGTCACTCAGCACCAGGGTTGGAGCTTTTTTTATTTTTTTATTTTTTGTAGAGATGGAGTCTCCCTATATTGCCCAGGCTGGTCTCAATTTCCTGGGTTCAAGCTATCCTTCCACCTCGGGCTCAAAAGTGCTGGGATTATAAGCATATGCCACCACACCTGGCCTGGAGTGGTTTTTAATAGTAATTACAGCAGAAAATACTTAGGTAGCACAGACTCTGCCCAAGGCACTGTCCTAAGCACTTCATACACATCAACTCCTTAATCCTTATACTTACCCTAGGAGGCCAGGCCCCATTAATTCAACCTTCCTATCTAAGAGGAAACCCAAGCACAGAGAAATCAGTGCCTTGCCACTGGCCACCCAGCCTGCTGTGTTCCAGAAACCATGCTCATGACCAGATTCAGCTACTAGGAGCAGGTGACCCTGATGTGATAACACTGAGGATAGGACAAAGGCCCCCACTCTTGGCCTGCATGATCCCGTGACCCCAGCAAACCCAGAAAGGGTGTGATCCAAGGGGAGACAGCCCTGTGGAACAATGGATTAGATCAAATTGCAAATCAACAGAGTCACCTCTTGATTGCTTAACACACAAAATTTAAAAAGAAAGAAAAAGGAAGCCAGAAAAAGAAAAGAAAACACAGGCCCAGGTTTCTTCAGTTTATTAGGTGCCAGTAATCTGCAAGCCCAGTGGAGGTGCCTCCAGCCTCTACAGTCCCCTGCTGTGTGCTAATCAAAAACAAACAGCCCAGTCAGCATGTTGGGGCCTCACCAGGTGGGTCCGGGCACCTCGGAGCTGTGCAAACCCCTGCAGGATCTCCTCTGTTGGCTCCCTGGGTGCAGGAACAGCCCTATAAAACCCTCAACCTCAGTTCATTAAGGCCAAGGCACAGAAGGCAGTGATGGAGCAGGGGCTGTGGCTGCTGGTGACACTGGTGATGCTGTGGGATGACAGCAGGGTCAGGGGCTCCCTGGGGCTGCATGAGGTGCATGCCCATTCCCCAAGCCATGGCCCTATGCCACGACATTGGCTACACAGATGCGTCTGCCCAACTTGCTGGACCACATCACAGCAGCTGAGGCCATCCAGCAGTTGGTCAGCTGGCTGCTCCTGCTTGCCTGGGAGTGCCACCCCGATGCCCGCCTCTTCCTCTGCTATTTACCCCTGTATGCCTTGACAGGTAGGACAGGGGCTTCCAGGTGCAGGGCCCTGGAGGGCTCCCTCAGGGCCCTGCTCTGGTGGCTCAGGTCTTCAGTAATCCTTGCTGAGCACCTGAGCACCTATCAGGGCTGGGCGCTGACAGGCACAGAGAGGAAAATGGATCGTTTTGTTAGAGTGTTCCAGACAGAGGGAACCAGGTGCCCTTAGGCAGGAGACCATCAATGGTGGTCAAGGGCTCTTGAATGTCAAGATAGGGCAGGTGGACAAGTCGCTTCAGGCTGGGGGTTGGGGGCAGGCGGGCTGGAACCTCCTCTCCAATGAGGCGTGGAAGCTATGTCTGTCCAAAGAGACCCTGGCAAGAGATGGAGCAGAGGCCCTTCTGGTGGCCTTTTCTCCCAGAGAGTCCAGAGATCCCAAGGCTGTTTCCTCTTCCCCAGCCTAACCTATCCTGTGAACAATGGTTTCTCCCAAGAGCCTCTGGGTGGCCATGTCAGCAGAACTCAGGATCAAGCCCTTGAACTGTTTGCCAACCCCAGCCCTGGCTGCGGTGCCCCGAAGGCCTTTCAGGACAAGAGGGAGGGCCCTGTTTCCTCACTTTAAGATGGAGAGTAAAGGCCCAAGGTGCAGGCCACCTCTTGCAGACAATGGATGTCCACAGAGCCGGAGGGAGAGGTGCACTGGAAAGCTGGCAAGGCACCTGAGTGGGAGGGCGGGAGTGAAGAGGCAGAGCTGAGGGCTGAGATGTGGGGCAAGTGGGAAAGCCAGGCTACGGGGCTGTTGCTAGGCGACCAGTGTCGTTGCCCAGCAACCAGAGAGTTCCAGGCCACGAGACAGGGGTAGGAACATGGAGAGGTTCCAGCTGATCTGGGTGCTCAGCCTGTGGCGGTGCAGCCCCCGACCCTTTCCCCCAAAGGGTCATCTACCCCTCCTACAGCCTGTGCGAGGCCATGCAGGCCAGCTGCGAGCCCATCATGGCCTGCTACAGCTACCCCTGGCCAGCCATCCTGCATTGTGGACGCTTCCCCTTGGGCCATGATCTCTGTATCACTGCTGTGGCCAACAACGGCTCCCGCCTGGACCGCCCATGTGAGTCTGCACATGGCTGGTCTCCACCTTGCTCGGCCCCACCCCTTTCAAATCATTCAAATCATACAGGGATCAGGTAAACTGTACTCAATGTCACCTACAGCAGGCATCCGTCTCAAAAAGGGTAAAAAAGGGGGAAAAGTGGAGGGATCAGCCCCCTCCACCCCCTCCTCACTCCACCCCCAACCACACTGGCCAGTGCCTCGCCTTGCCCCTCTTCCCAGCGCTGCATGCCAGCTGCAGGGACTGCGAGTTGCAGGATGCAGGCTCCTCCAAGGAGGTTCTGGACACTCTCTGCACCAGTGACTTTGATGAGTCCTGGGCCTGTAGCTTTACACACCCCTTCCAAGTGCCTCCATTGCAGCTCCTGGCTCGGGGCTGAGGCAGTGTAAGAGGGAATATCCAAATGCTATGCCTGGTTGGAACAAAAAGAAAAAATTCCTTTACAAGCATAGGACATTGCTAAAACAACAAAATGAAACCAAAAATTCTGCTAAGGAAGGTGGCAGACTGATTCTAAGGGCAGAGCATCAGACAAAAGGGTTTAGTCTACTAGGTGGAGGGGACTGATGGACTAAACACTCTTGGGGGTTTAGGGAGGACTCCTAGAGGCCCATCTCCTCACCGGCCCCTCTGTTCCCACTCAGCAGTGAAGGTCAGGTTCTCCAGGACCAACAGTACTTCCTCTGGCCCCTGGGACTGCAACCTGTACTCCAGACTAGAGGTGCTGAAGACAGGACCACTGCCCCCTGCAGAGCTGGAGCCCACCCTGCAACGCTGGCTGCAGCTGGATGTCACATGTGTGTACAATCTTTTTCGAGGAAGGCACACAGGGACCTATGTGTTGAGTGGGAAGATGGAGGCCTGCTGGCTGTTGGTAACCACGGCCTATGCCTGGAGCCAGGGCCACCAAAATTTTCGACTGGCTGTGCGCCATTGGCACCCTCACCAGTGCCAAGAATAGGGGCTAACCCCGCCAGGGAGAGCCTGGGACTTTGTAGCCATGGCCTCTGCAGTGGCCATGCAAATTGTGTGTGCTTCCATGGAAACACATACAACCCTCTTTCTGCCGCCCCCCAAGGAGATTTACAAACCAGAATCCAGAGAGGCACAAGTCTCAAACAGGGTGGAAGTACACTTTCCATGGACACAGCTAGGAACTGCTTTTTGAGCAGGTAGTCCTCTGTCTGGCCAAGAGGACAGACAGGCTCCCAGGCAGCTGTCTATGCTGGGTAGGGAAAACCACCTTCTGTCCTTCCCAGGCCTAGGATGACAGCCTGGCTAGTGGCCTGCTACTACTGCCCACATGCCTCGGAACCCCAAGCTGAGTCTCCGGGCAGGCACATAGCCTTGGGCTATGCTCACCTTGGACAAGATGCTGTTTGTCGAACCCCGGACAGACTTAATTATACCTGATTAACCTTTACCGGTCCGTAGCTTTGCCAAGCAGCAGGCCTATGAAAGAGCAGGGGTGTGTGTGGCAATGCAGCAGCCTGAGCTAAATTCCTTAAAAACTCGAACTAGCCAGGCGCAGTGGCTCACACCTGTAATCCCAGCACTTCGGGAGGCTGAGGCAGGCGGATCACGAGGTCAAGAGATTGAGACCATCCTAGCCAACATGGTGAAACCCCATCTCTACTAAAAATACAAAAATTAGCTGGGCGTGGTGGCGGGTGCCTGTATTTCCAGCTATTCGGAACGCTAAGGCAGGAGAATCACTTGAACCCAGGAAGCGGAGGTTGCAGTGAGTCGAGATGGTACGCACCTGTAGTCCCAGCTACATGGGAGGCTGAGGCAGGAGAATTGCTTGAACCCGGGAGGCGGAGGTTGCAGTGGGCCAAGATCGCACCACACTGCACTCCAGCCTGGCCATAGAGCGAGATTCCGTCTCAAAAAACAAAACAAAACAAAACAACAACCTTGAACTGATACGCACACTAAAATTGTTTCTCTACTTTTGGGCCTCCAGTGTTTGTCATGAGGAGGACTATGGTCTGATGTAGCTGCCTAATTGTTTTCTTAAGCTGAAAAAGAATACATTTAGAAATCCTAAGATAAAGCAGTCATGATTTTAAAATAAATTGTTTTGTATACTGGTGGCAATTACTCATTTACCTCAAATTGTTAAGAAAAATGGATTAAAACTCTTGCTGGCCACTGGTAGTACCCCCTGCTGCCTTTGAAGAGGGTGCCAAGTCAGAAGGATACGTGGAGGATGCTCTAAGCCAGCAGGCAGATGCTGGACTGGGCTGAGAGCACCCAGTGAACTCCTCCAGCCAGCCAAGAATTAGCGGGAGGCTGGGCACGGAGGCTTATGCCTGTAATCCCAGCACTTTGGGAGGCTGAGGCAGGCGGATTACTTGAGGTCAGGAGTTCGAGACCAGCCTGGCCAACATGGTGAAACGCTGCCTCTGGTAAAAATACAAAAATTAGCTGGGCATGGTGGCAGGCGCCTGTAATTTCAGCTACTCAGGAGGCTCAGGCAGGAGGAGAATGGCTTGAGCCCAGGAGGCGGAGGTTGCAGTGAGCCGAGATCACACCACTGCACTCCAGCCTGGGCAACAGAGCGAGACTCCATCTCAAAAGAAAAAAAAAAATCAGCAGGAGATACAACTCTGGCCATTGGACACACAGCTGAGACAAATCAGTCCTCTTACATATGCAGCTCACCTTTGTGGGCAGAGGTACAAATGACACAAATAAATACGGAAAATAGTTTCCAGCAGTCCTAAGCATTTGAGAACAAAACCCAGCAGGCTGATGCAACAGGGTGCCTGGGAACCTTTTAAGATGGGTTTGAGGACAAGAGGTCTCTGAGGATGGGATGTGTGAGCAGAGGCCTGCTGGAGCTGAAGGCACGCTCTGTGGGAAGAGCCAGGTCTAAGCCTTTTAGTGAGGGAATAGTACATACAAAGGCCCTGAGGCAGTAGTGAGCTTGTGGTGTCTGAGGATCAGCAGGGAGTAAATGGAGTCGGGGGTGGGGGCAGGAGATGAGTCTAAGAGGCGAGAGGGCTTTTAGGCATCAAATGAGACTTAGAAGTGAAATGGAAAATGTTGGAGACATTTAAGAGAGTGATGAGCGGCTGGGCACGGTGGCTCATGTCTGTAATCCCAGCACTTTGGGAGGCCAAGGTGGGTGGGTCACCTGAGGTCAGGAGTTTGAGACCAGCCTGGCCAACATGGTGAAACCCCATCTCTACTAAAAATACAAAAAATTAGCCAGGTGTGGTGGCGGGTGCCTGTAGTTCCGGCTGTTTGGAAGGTTGAGGCAGGAGAATCACTTGAACCCGGGAGGCGGAGGTTGCAGTGAGCCGAGATGGTACCATTGCACTCCAGCCGGGGCAACAAAAGTGAAACTCCATCTCAAAACAAAAACAAAACAAAACAAAACAAAACAAAAAGAGAGAGCCATGAGATCTGATCTGCTATGACAGAATCAGTGTGGGGTGGGGTAGGACAGCGGGAGAAGTGGGCCACATGTAAGAAAGCAATGTCCCCAGAGAGGTGGCAATGGTTCAGAAATGGAGCACTTCTGTTCTGAACAGGATGGTGCCCTCAGCTGACACCCAATATTCCAAATCCTTTATTTCCCTACCAAGGGAAAATGACCTACCAGTCATGGAAGTATTTGCCAGGAGCTCAAGCGTGGGCCTTTTGTGGCCCAGGTCCCAGTTGCCAAGTGTCTTTAGAAACAAGGGTGGGAAACAGGAAATATTTCTCAAGGAGAGACTGGGGGCTGCACGGGGTCTTCCTTGAGAAGTGCTAGGGTTCCCTTCTACAGAGATGGAGGCACCTTGGGGTGGACCCCAGTTCCCTTGCCCCAGCTCACATCTTTAGCATCCACTCTTCGATCCCAGGTATCTTGGGTCCCTGAAGCTGGCAGGTCACAGGTTTAGATCCAAGAACAGCATGGCAGAGGGGGCAGAATCTATAGCAGGTCCACTCTTCTTGGGCCCTGCTTGCCCATTTAGAATAACTGGGTAGCAGACCAATGGACAGAGGGACAGGCAGGCCCAGAAGACAGACACTGCTCCTGCTGGGGATGAGGCATCCTTCTTTGTAGTCATCCAATACCACAGTATTCAGGAACTGCCCCACCATGACCACCCTCTTCCCTCTCACACATCTGGACTTCCTGTAATCATTGATTGCAATCTCTTGGTTATGCCTTTTGAAGTTCATCTGCAGAAACAGAGATCCATCTGATGGCTTAACCAGAACCAGTTTACCTTTTGTCAAATCTCTTCTGCTTTTCATAATTTGCCCTTGGTGACTTTAGATCTGGGTTTCTCATTCTATGCTTTTTTTTTTTTTTTTTTTTTGTGATGGAGTCTCACTGTCACCCAGGCTGGAGTACAGTGGCACGATCTTGGCTCACTGCAACCTCTGCCTCCCGGGTTCAAGCAATTCTCCTGCCTCAGCCTCCCGAATAGCTGGGATTACAGGCATCCACCACCATGCCCAGCTAATTTTTGTATTTTTAGTAGAGACGGGGTTTCACCATGTTGGTCAGGCTGGTTTCGAACTCCTGACCTCAAGTGATCCACCCGCCTCAGCCTCCCAAAGTGCTGGGATTAGAAGCATGAACCACCAAGCCCGGCTCATTCTCTGCTTTATAGGACAAGCTGTTTATTAGGGAGACTTTGGCTTCATGGCTTACTTAACCTAACATCAATATGAATTAGATATATACAGATCCCAGGAAGGCTGCTGAGAGAAAACAGTGCCTCCTCAGATGTGTCTGTTCATAGTAGTCGTTAGTAGTGTAGTAGTAATGGGGTGAGTATTAGTTCCTTCCTGGACCCCTCTTTCCTGACAGTCATCTGGCTTTATCCCATACTTCCCACAAGTCGTTGCTCAGATTTTTTTTTTTTTTTTTTGAGATGGAGTTTCATTCTTGTTACCCAGGCTGGATGCAATGGCACAATCTTGGCTCACCACAACCCCTGCCTCCTGGGTTCAAGCGATTCTCCTGCCTCAGCCTCCCAAGTAGCTGGGATTACAGGCATGTGCCACAACGCCCTGCTAATGTTGTATTTTTAGTAGACGGGGTTCCCCCATGTTGGTCAGGCTGGTCCCGAACAACCTGACCTCAGGTGATCCACCCGCCTCGACCTCCCAAAGTTCTGGGATTACAGGCGTGAGCCACCGCGCCCAGCCTTGCTCAAATATTTTTTTCAGGCAGGTCCACCTTGGCTACCTTATTAAGGGTTCCAGCCAGGCATGGTGGTTCACACCTGTAATCCCAGCACTTTGGGAGGCTGAGGAGGGCAGATCACCTGAGGTCATGAGATTGAGACCATCCTGGCTAACACGGTGAAAGCCCGTCTCTACTAAAAATGCAAAAAATTAGCCGGATGTGGTGGCGCATGCCTGTAATCCCAGCTACTTGGGAGGCTGAGGCAGGAGAATCACTTGAACCCGGAAGGCGGAGGTTGCAGTGAGCTGAGATCATACCATTGCATTCCAGCCTGGACAACAAGAGAGAAACTTAGTCTAAAAAAAAAAAAAAAAAAAAAGAGTTCTAATCCCAGCTGAACTTCTGCCTTACTGTCTGCTATTTTTTTTTTTCTTTGAGATAGGGGTCTCTCTCTGTTGCCCAGGCTGGAATGCAGTGGTGCGATCTTGGCTCACTGCAACCTCTGCCTCCTGGGTTCAAGTAATTCTCATGCCTCAGCCTCTTGAACAGCTGGGATTACAGGTGTACACCACCACACCCGGCTAATTTTTGTATTTTTAGTAGAGATGAGATTTCACCATGTTGGTCAGGCTGGCCTCAAATTCCTGACCTGAAGTGATCTGCCTGCCTCAGCCTCCCAAAGTGCTGGGATTATAGACATGAGCCACCACGCCCGGCCCTGTCTGCTATTTTATGTTGGCAAAAAAGAAAAAAGAAAAAAAATCTGCCTTACTTGTTTGCAATCACATATCACCATCTGACACACCAATGTATATATTTATTTGTTTGTTTATTGTCTGTTTCCTCTTCATTTGAATGTCAGCTTCAGGGTTTTGTTTCATTGTTTATATTTAGTTCAATGCTGTGTTCCTGGCACCTAAAATAGTGCCTGGCACAGACTTCAACGTTACTCAATAGTAATAGTAATAATAACAACAACCAGCTTTGGGTGCCTCTCCCACAACAGGACTGACAGCATAATCTATTTCCCTACAAACAGCATGCATATGACATCATTCTGACAGGTCTAGGCATAATCCCCAACCAGGACCCTCTGCCTTGGAGGTAATGACTTGTGCTCAGATGTTCTACTTTGGCCCCAGCTCCTAACCCATTCCATCCCCCGGCAGGCAGGAATGGCCCTGGGTTTGCAAATATGTTTGTCACGGAGGCCAGGTACCCAGGGCTGGGCTACACAAACACCCTGGACAATGTCCATGGGACTAGGGGTCCCCACCCAGTTGACACTGGTGGTCTTTGAAGGACTCTGGGGTCTTCACAGCTCGCACTGTGGCTTTACTGCATAGGCCTTAGAGGCAGGCTATGTGGGTTCTAATCCTAGCTTCACCACTGAAGTAACCGTGTCAGCCTGGCCAAGCCACAGCAGCTCTCTGTCCCTAACTTTCCCCCTCACTGGCCTGAGTAGGATCTACACCCACTTCACAGAGGGGTTGCAGGAATTAAATGAAATAATCATATGAAGGCAAGCACATAACTAGAGCTCAGAAACGATGAGCTATGTTGTGGCTCCAACTGGAGTCACCCTAGAAAGCTTTGCCCATGATGGCTGAACAAAGACTTCACCTTAAGAAGAATCTCAGAGTGCTGGCAGCAAAAGCTGAGCCTCTGACTGGTACTCCAGTGGAGGAGGCTGGGGGGGTACCAGTTTATCTACATTTGGACGGCCTGCTTCTCATCAGACCACAAGGCCCACTTCGGCAGTGGGATTTTCCCCAGAGGTCCTGAGGTCGGCAGAAAGCTGGTTATCAGTCTCCCACCTTCCTCCCAGTTCTAGAAGGTGACAGAATTAATGGTGGCACGGAAGACAGGTGCAATGAAACGTTTAGACACCAGCCTCAGGCTCACCCTGCCAGCCCTGTGATGGAAGAATGGACTGCAGGGAGTTGGGATAAGAGGGAGTGTTACCCTATTTCGAGGACGGGGAAGGTCCTTCACTTTGGTAATCCTCTGGAAGGGCTGCTCTGAAGCAGCCATTTTCAAAATAGAGGTCACGTGGTCACAACGAGCCTCAAGGTGGCCACCAAACCGCAGCCCCTGGCCCTTCCCAGGAGTATCTGGCGGACTTACCGAAGAGCAGCGGCTTGAGGCTGAGGGTTCGGATGAAGTGATCCCTGTCGGTGACCAGCTGGACCTTACGCTCGTGCCCCACCTAAGGAAAAGGCGCACAGCGGGCAGCTGGGGCGCCAGACCGCGCTGCCCAAGAAGGGCCAAGTCGCCCCGGCCCGGAGAGCGACAGCAGGCGAGTGAGTGGGAGCGCGCGGGACCGACGCAGAGCAGCGCCGGGGGCAGCGTGGGGACCCGGGCTGAGCGCCGGTCCTCTCGGGCTCAGCCGTGCAGGGCCTGGAGCGCGGCGGGGCAGGGAGGTCCTCACCTTGATGCCCTCCAGCCGGGTGAGGGGACCTAAGGTGGGCTCGGGCCCGGGGCCCTGGGCACGGTGTTGGGGCCCGGGATCGCTGCTTTCGTCGCCGTTGCTGTAGTGCACGAAGAGCAGCAGCGCCAGCACGTTACCCAGGTACAGGTGCACGAACACCATCAGCACCAGGAAGTAGGCGCGCGAGCAGATGCCGCGGGGCTTGCACAGCGGACGCACCGGTGCGTCCTCGCCGTCGCCCAGCCCGGCCGCCGCCTGAGCCTGGCAGTGGTCTGGCGGCGCCCACTGCGGCCTCGAGGCCTCCTCGGCCGCCGCGGTCTCAGGCCGCTGGCCTGTCACCGCCGCTGCCGCCATGGCACCCAGGTCGCGCGCGCGCCCAGGGGAGGGGCCGCGGGGGTGCCCGCGCTGCGCAGTCGCCCGGACAACGGCCGCCAGGCCCGCGAGCGCCGCGGTCACTAGGAGACGGTGCCTGGGGGTGCTGAGCCCGCCCGGAGCCGCCTGCGTCCGCGCCGGGCTCGGCCTTCCTGCGCCTTGAGCCCCAGCCCACGCTGGGGCTTCTCTTCCCAAGCTGGGTTGCCGTCGGGCAGAGCTGTACACTCTCCAAGTCAGAAGCCAAGGTCCCAAGCGTAGACGCGGACAAGAGCGGCACCATTAAGGCATACACTAGTGGGAGCTTCTCGGTGCCTGCGTGAAGACGCCCTCTTGCCTCCGGGAAAAGTATCGTCTGCATCTTCTTGCTCCAGGAGCGGGGGTGGGGAGCGCAGCGCGGAGGAGGCAGCGCTGAGATGACTCAACAGTGCGGCATTTGGGGGCGCCGCGGAGGCTGGGACTGCGTAAGCGGCGATAGGGTAGGACCCACAGCCTCCTCGCAGGCATTCTTGGAGCTCGGTTCCGCGGTCGGTCCGGATCTCCCGGGAAGTCTCGCCGGAGTCAGGCAGGCCTTAGGAAGAAGCTGCCTGATGTGCAAGGTTTCATAGGCCGTCAGAGGGGGCATCCTGGAGGAGCCCTGGCATCAGGAAAGTGAGCCCCCCATGGCAGCCCGCAGGAATGAACCAGTGCTCAGGTATATGGAACACTCCTTGCATCAAAGCTGGCACGTGTGAAGAGGCGGGAAGGGACTCTTCCATAACTGAGACACCATTACCTCAGAGAAAAATTAAACAGATTATCACCAAAAACGGGGGTGGGGGGAGGACATACCTACCAGTGGTCAAGTGCCAAGGCATCCCTGCTCTTCTAGAGCTGGTTATCCTCAGGAAGAGATTACTACACGCCCTCAGGGCAGAAGCTGACCCCCCTCCCCGAGGTGGACTTGCAGGCAAGAGCAACACTTTTAAGGCAGGTCACACTGGTGGTTTCTCCCTACCCTGGTTAAGACCCCCACTACCTCTACTCCCATCTCCTCTCCCTTCCCCATAGCAAAGCATAGTCTGCATTTTCTAGTCCCCTCAAGTCAAGGCAGGCCAGGGGCTCCAAGGGCAGGCCCACCTCTTTCTTCTAAGATTTTTTGTGTGTGTGTGACGGAGTCTCACTCTGTCGCCCAGGCTGGAGTGCAGTGGCGCGATCTTGGCTCACTGCAACCTCTGCCTTCCGGGTTCAAGCAATTCTCCTGCCTCAGCCTACCAAGTAGCTGGCATGCGCCACCATGGCGGGCCAATTTTTTTTTTTGTATTTTTATTTATTATTATTTAGTTTTAATTTTTTAATTATAATTTTTTTTTTTTTTTTGATACAGAGTCTCGCTCTGTCGCCAGGCTGGAGTACAGTGGTGTGATCTCAGCTCACCGAAAGCTCCGCCTCCCGGGTTCAAGCAATTCTCCTGTCTCAGCCTCCCAAGTAGCTGGGACTACAGGTGCCCGCCACAATGCCCGGCTAATTTTTATATTTTTAGTAGAGACAGGGTTTCACCATGTTGGCCAGGCTGGTCTCAAACTCGTGACCTCAGGTGTTCCACCCACCTTGGCCTCCCAAAGTGCTGGAATTACAGACATAAGGCACCACACCCAGACCAAATCTCCTAAATTCTTAAATATAATAAACCAACCAACAGAACCATAATTTTACCAAGGATCTCATGGCTTTCTCATACCTTTTCTGGAATGAAGTTGAGACTATTTCCCTCTAGCCTTTTTTTTTTTTCCCCGAGACAGAGTCTTGCTCTGTCACCCAGGCTGGAGTGCAGTGGCTTCATCTCGGCTCACTGCAACCTCTGCCTCCCGGGTTCAAGCAATTCTCCTGCCTCAGCCTCCCAAGTAGCTGGGATTACAGGCACGTGCCACCACGCCCAGCTAATTTTTATATTTTTAATAAAGATGGGGTTTCACCATGTTGGCCAAGCTGGTCTCAAACTCCTGACCTCGTGATCCGCCCGCCTTGGCCTCCCAAAGTGCTGGGATTACAGGCATGAGCCACCGCGACCGGCCCCTCTAGCCTTTTAAAAACTAGAATTTGATCACCATAAAATCTGTACTTTGCTTAACCTATTTTCCTGAACTCCATTCTTACACCTATTACCTGAACTAGGCCTACCACTAAGCACAGGTACTGATAGCTCATTGCCAGACAACAGAAAGCAAGCAGGTTGCAGGGCTGCTCCACCTGCTGTCAGCTGTGGGAATTTCACAACCACATCAGAAACCAGAATTTCTCAGTCTTTTAAAAGCCTGGCCCTTTGATGCCATGACAATACATACTACCAAATCCAGGCCTTCTATTGATCTGTATTCTTTTTTTTTTTTGAGGTGGAGTCTCGCTCTGTCGCCCAGGCTGGAGTGCAGTGGTGCCATCTCGGCTGACTGCAAGCTCTGCCTCCCGGGTTCACGCCATTCTCCTGCCTCAGCCTCCTGAGTAGCTGGGACTACAGGTGCCTGCCACCACGCCCGGCTAATTTTTTTGTATTTGTTTTTTAGTAGAGATGGGGTTTCACTGTGTTAGCCAGGATGTTCTCGATCTCCTTGCCTTGGCCTCCCAAAGTGCTGGGATTACAGGAGTGAGCCACTGTGCCTGGCCTTTTTTTTTTTTTTTTTTTTTTTTAGACAGTCTCGCTCTGTCGTGCCCAGGCTGGAGTGCAGTGGCGCGATCTCAGCTTACTGCAACCTCTGCCTTCTGGGTTGAAGCTATTCCCCTGCCTCAGCCTCCAGAGTAGCTGGGATTACAGGCACCTACCACCAGGCCTGGCTAATTTTTTGTATATTTTAGTAGAGGTGGGGTTTCACCATGTTGGTCAGGCTGGTCTCAAACTCCTGACTGCAGGTGATCCGCCCCCTCGGCCTCCCAAAGTGCTGGGATTACAGGCATGAGCCACCACGCCTGGCCTGTTTAAGACAGGGTCTTGCTCTGTCACCCAGGCTGGAGTGCAGTGGTGTGATCACAGCTTTCTGCAGCACCTACCCCCAGGCCCAAGCAATCCTCCTAGCTCAGCCTCCCAAGTAGCTGGGATTACAGGTGTGCAGCACCACGCCCAGCTAATTTTTATTTTTTATTTTTGTAGGAAGAGATCTCCCTGTTGTCCAGGCTGGTCATGAACTCCCAGGGCTCAAGCAGTTCTCCAGTCTCAGCCTCCTGAAGTGCTGGGATTATAGGCATGAGCCACCACGCCAGGCCCCTAACTCATTTTAAATGGCTGTGTAATGTGGATGATGACAGCACCTACCTCAAGGGGCTGCTGTGAGGACTAAATGGGTATGTTCTCAGTTAACATTAGTGTGATTGTCTTTGTGAGGTCCCACTTCTATCACTTTCTATCCCGCCCCAAGCAGAGCCTGTTATACAGGAGATGCTCAGATGCTTATTGTGTAAACCCCTGTGGGCTACATGGAAAATCCCTCCTGACTTCGCTAGAAGGTGCTATCTTCTCTCTTTTTAGGATTGCCAAAGGTATGGTGCCAAGGCCATAGTACCCTGGCCCCACTGATCTGCAGGAGTGGCCCTGAGCATGGGTGGTCCTTTGCTCCTGGCCTTGCTGCTCCAGTAAAAACATTCACTAGTGGGCTGGGTGTAGTGGCTCATGCCTGTAATCCCAGCACTTTGGGAGGCCAAGGCAGGAAGATAGCTTGAACTCAGGAGTTTGAGACCAGTCTGGGCAACATGGCAAGACCCTGTCTCTACAAAAAAAAATACAAAAATTAGGGGAGCATGGTGGCACACACTGGTCCCAGCTACTCGGGGAGCTGAAGCAGAATAATTGAGCCCAGGAGTGGAGGCCGCAGTGAGCAGAGATCATGCCACTGTACTCCAGTCTGGGCGATAGAGCGAGACTGTCTCAAAACAAAAAACAAACATTCACTAGTGATCAATTCCTTCTATGTTCCCCATGGATTGGAAGCTCCTGGAAGCTAGAGCACGTGAATCACTTGCATACCACTGTATGCCCAGGTGCCAAGCGTGGGGCTTGGCACACCTGAGGTCCAGAGGAAGAGCTGCGGAGTTCAGACTGGCAATGTATGAGGCCTCTTCTAGCCACAGGTGCCCTGTGCATGTTGCCCACAGCTATGGAGCCTCCACTCTACCCCTGAGCTACTTATCACTGACACTACTGCCACTTCTGACACCACAAATGTGGACCCCCTTAATCAATCCAAACCTCATTTCCTGTCCTTCACCCTTGAGATTAGACTCCACACTTGTTTCTGCCCCAAGTTGTCTCTTCATAACCCTTAGGGCTCCCGTGAAGCTGGAGTTCACCCTGCCATATTCCACAGCCCTACATTCCCATGTCTGCTTTGGAGGGGTCCGGAGGTCTCAGAATGGGGGGGTTGGGACATTTATATCAGTACTCTACCACAACCCTGGGATCTATCTGTGGTGGGGAATGATTCAGCCTGTACTGAGGGAGAGGAGAGCGGAAAACTGGCAGGATTTTCTACTTCATTCCACAGGGATCACTTACAGGTGCCCTCTCCCCCAACAGCCAGAAAGGGAAAACAGAGCCGAGTTTGGCCACTGGGGCCTCCACAGCCCTCTGGAAGAAGGGGCTGACTGATAGGAAGGCACTCCTCTGGTGTTCACTGGCCAGACCCCTGTGGGCTCAGAAGACTACCTAGACCCCATGAAGAAAGACTCTAGACACATTTTTATAATCAGAAACTTACAGTTTATTGTGAATAAACCACTCAACTTTGAGCAGATGACATTGCCTCAATTAACTTTTTCGTTGAAGAAAAACAAAGATATATGGTAAATTCATGAAAATACTGTGTCCTTTCTCTTCCACCCTTTGTAGGGCAGAAAAATTCTGCCTGACCTTTCCCATCTTCCTGATGATGTTAACAAACGACAGCCACTGAGGGCACAGGAGGGGGCTCTACACAGGCCAAGAGCTACAGGCTACAGTCTGAGCACAGAAAACCCTCCAGCTCCAGCATCCAGGGCCACAGCTGGACACAAGTACAGAACCTGGCAGCCCTGCAGCCCAGACAATGCCCAGGGTGTGATTTAGGGTGCAGAGCTGCAACTCAGATCCTGTGCCATGGCAGTATCACAGGAAGGACTTGACGGAGAGGTGAAGGCTCCAGACGCCAGGATATTTATTCCCTGTGCCAATACAGCATTCACACCTGACCTCCAGGTCCTGCAGCAGGTACTCTCCTCATTCACAGTTAGCTCCCCACTGTTCCATTCTGGGTTCATTTGCTATACTCCTAATCTGTTCTCCCAATCCACCCCACAGTCTCTCCCTTGCTGGGGACAACACAGGAAGAGACAAAACCTGAGGAAGGAAAAAGGGAACCTGCAACCAGCCATGGACCTCATGATCCCATGAGTCACAGCTATCCTCTGTCTTTAAGAATGACTGTTTTATAGCTTACATGGTACCTGGGAAATTGCTGACTTGCAGCTGAAATGTATGAATACCAAAGAATTTCTATCACAATATTCACAGATCTCTGTATCAGCTCTACTTGGAGGTCAAGCAGGCTTGGGAGAGTATAGACTGCTCTGCCTGCCCTAGAGTGGAAGCATTGAACAAAGCCACAAAAACCCCAGAGATCACAGATCTAACTTTTCAATGGCCCACAGGACCAGGTTCAGGACAGGTAGGACACCAGGCAAACCACTTGTTCCCTTGCGCTTCATTGTGCAAAAGCTGGTCTGTTCCTCTGGCCAGACCCTCCTTAGTACAGGATCTCGGACCACAAACCAAGGAGTCTCGTGGCCTTGGATTCCCAGACCCTAGGATGGTATCCCTCTGACAGCTGGAACCAGGCAAGGGGGAACACACCTCAGCCTCAGAGCAGCCTCTGGACACTCTCCAGGTAACATGAAAATAACTTGTGCAAACACAGCCCCCATGCCAGAAAGTCCAGTGCCCTAGGAAGGGCTATCCTGAATTCTGACCCTGATGTTTGCCAAAGGAGAATGCAGCAAGACAGTGTCAGGTTTGGCCAAATGTGACCCTGCTCAGAGCTATACCACTTGAATACTGGCACAAAAGAAAGGACCAAGGTAAAGCAAATTTATTTGGGAGGAACAATTCCCTTCAAAAGTAGATCCCTATCTTTAGGAGACAAAAGGCAACACTGTGATGAACCCACACCCCCTAGTTTGGGGGGCCACAGGCCCAACCCCATTCTGCTGTGGGCTCTAGCCTCAGTAGCCAGATCCAGGTAAACCTCAGTTTCAAGAATAAAGGTGAGCCACAGACATGCAGCACCACCAGAGACAACAACACCCCGTGGCAAGAAGACCATGTTCTGGACTGTCTCCGTACTGCCACGGTAAGGCAGGAGGCATGCTGTGACCCCTTGTGCTCCATGCCCATTGCACAGGCCAGTTCAATTCCCTACCATCTGCCACCCATGCTCTTCTTTGGGACTACAACTCTGGCCAAACGTGAATATGGAAAGCAGAGGCCCAGGGCCCTCTTGCAGTACAGACATTTTGAGGTGGGTAGGCAGCATATGTTACATTCTAAGTAAAACAGCTAGAGGGTAAAACACTCCAATGCCAATTTATTTTCAAAAAGGGCTCTGTGTTATCCTATAGTTTGCCTTTTTTTTTTTTTTGTATAATTGTACAACCTTTGAAAGTTACATAAGTTGTAATGATCTAATACTATTAATAGCCATTCAGAAAACACTTTCCCTCCCTCCCAACAACCATCCAGGGGGAAATAAAAGTCCTGAAAAGAGGCCAGTTCAACATGGCCTCTACCCTGGTAGAAACAAAAAGTGAAAAGAGAAGAAAACAGAAATCAACTAAGAGGTGTTGCCAGTGTCTCTCAGGAGTGGGGCCCTGGCTGTTGCCTGGGGTCATGAAAGGCAGAGCCTGCAGCATGCAGTATGGCAGCCGGGAGACCTTGCAGCCACATCTTCCTCACCCCGGCACATCCACATCCCAACTTAGGTGTCATGGAAATCTTTCAGCAGGGTTCTCCTCCGCTGCTCCGCTATATGCATCTGGTTCTCCAAGTCCTGCATCAGAGAAACAAGGTGTGTGCTTGCATGGCCCAGGCCTGGGAGCAAGGAGTAGCCAAAGCCACAAACACCCTCCAGGACCTCCAAGGAGTCAAAAACACTGCCCTTCCCATTCTTAGCAGCAGCTACCAGTGCACAAGCCAACAACGCTGTCACCTATTACCATGCCAGTCCTCTACCTGCAATATAGAATCCAAGAGGACAGTAGGCACTTACCCCTCTGTCATAGCTGTCTGCACGCTCCACTTTCCATGAGAGGTTTTCGATCTCAGCCTCCAGCTGAGCCTGCTGGTATTCAAACTGTATAGGCAGAGCAGGAGGGTCAAAAGGTGAGTGGGCTGTGGCTGGGGCAGGGCCTGTACACGGGGGTGGGCACATGCAGCACCTCAGGCTCACAGGAACTACAGACAATCCTGATACTGTCCTCAGAAAGTAGTGTTATTCCCTGTGCCCAGAGCCAGAATCCAAACAAAAGGCTATCCAAACAGCAAGGCCACATTCACCCTCGACCCTCAAAAGGTCCACTCCACCCTCCACACTCCCAAAGGCAGGCAAAGAATTTAAGCCACTAAAGAGAACACTCCCAACATGAAAGGGAATGGATGCTGTAAAAAATAAGTCAAATGAATATTCTCAGACACTATCACTTCATTTTTTTCAGTCCTCCAGCAAATCAAGAGCCTTAAAAATATTCAAACTTAAATACTTAGTAATCATACATCTAAGAAGATATACAGCTTTATGCACAAAAATATTCCTCAATGTCCTATTTATAGCAGTGAAAGAAAGAAAGAATAAATGTCCCAAGTGATGGTACAATCATGTAATGACACATTTATGCAACCATTAACAAAATGGTATTTACCAGGCAGGTAAATCATAACAGCTATAACAATAAACTGTTATAACAATAAAATGTTATATATAACCTTGATTATATATACACAATGTTAATTTTAAAAGGCTGGAAAATGCTGACAGTGGTAATTTCTCTCTGGACAATGTAAATGCTTTTCTGTTTTCCAGCATTTAAACAAAAATGTTAATTACTAGTTTATTAACACTATTGGTAATAACAATAAATTCATATTCAAATTCAACTCTAAGATGAAGAATTAAACAAGGTATAAAACAGTCAAATATATCTTAAGGACATGCATGCTAAATATCCCTCCCAAGCATGGGCACTACTGGCCTCCCACTGGCCACAGACCTTTTTAGCCAATCGCCCTTTAAATACAGTTGTTCAGAGGATTAGGTGCATGTGCCTTATATGACACAAAATAATAGCACCTGAGATCTATTTTGGAGGTGCCCAGAGCAGAAGTGGAATTTTGCAATTAGAGTTTTGTTTTAACTTTGCCCTCCCAATGACCAAGGTCTGGTCCTCACTCTCCTGCAAAGTGCTGGTAGAGAAGGGCACCTTTGAGGCTAACGGGACAGAGTAGAAAAATTGCTTTGCCTTACCAGCTTCTTCCTGGGTCCGGACTCCATGTAATATGCATATGGGTAGGTGTATTGCAGGGTGTATCGACACTGCAACAGGAGAGAAGAGAAGGAACCTGTGTCTGTGATTCTAAGCTACCTGCATCTCAGGTGGCTCTTACAATTCCTACCCTCAACATGCAAATTAGCCCAGCTCTATAGATATAGGCCTGAAAGAAATGATACTAGGCCAAATAGAGGATGAATTGGGAAAAGACATGAGGGAAAAAACAAACAACGATGGTCACAGAACACCCACAGTTTCTTTTACAAACTGATTATCAGCAGCTGCCTCAATGGATTTTCCCTCTTGAGTAGGACATCAGAGTCAACACATCTATCTCAATGCTTAGCCAAAGACAACCTTTTTTTTTTTTTTGAAACAAGGTTTTGTTCTGTTGCCCAGGCTGGAGTGCAGTGGTGCAATCCCCACTCACTGCAAACTCTGCCTCCCAGACTCAAGCGATCCTCCCACCTCAGCCTTCCAAGTAGCCAGGACTACAGGTGTGCATCACCACACCAGGCGAACGTTTGTATTTTTTTTGTAGAGACGGGGTTTTCTCATGTTGCCCAGGCTGGTCTCAAACTCCTGGGCTCAAGCAATGCACCTGCCTTGGCCTTCCGAAGTGCTGGGATCATAGGCGTGAGACACTGCACCCTGCCCAATCTTTTTTTTTTTTTTTTTTTTTTTTTTGACAGTCTTGCTTTGTCACCCAGGCTGGAGTGCAATGGTGTGATCTCGGCTCACTGCAGCCTCTGACTCCCAGGTTCAAGCAATTCTCGTGCCTCAGCCTCCCAAGTAGCTGGAACTACAGGCATGCACCACCATGCCCAGCTAATTTTTGTATTTTTATTAGAGACAGGATTTCACCATGTTGGCCAGGCTGGTCTCAAACTCCTGACCTCAAGTGATCAGACAATCTTTTATTTTCCTTTGAGTGATACATAAACAGGACAAAAGGAGAAGAAAAGTGCTCTAGTTTTCCCTGCAGGCAGAGGCAGTGCAACACTCTTATAAATCCCCTGGACATCCATCAGAGGACTGGGTCCTTAATGGGCACAGCACATGAAAATGTGGATCCACAAGCAGAAGCATGAAAGGCTGCACAGGGTGCTAAAATACCCTCTTTCAACAGAGCTTCCCACTATCAGAGGTCTGTGCCTGACGGAGCCAGGCACTGGACCAGGGATAAGATGAGTGAAGTGGTAGATACCTTGGCCAAGAGCTTGGCAGCATTCTGTAGGTACTGCCAGTCGATCCATGTCCCCAGATTGTTCATGACCCTCTCCTGAATCTTCTCGTGAATCCGCTGGTATGTCTGTGCCTCTAGCTGCAAGCTTTTATTGTGGTTTTCCCACTACAGGGCACAGAAGAAGAAGAAAACCACAGGAGTCCCATGAAGGTGCAGAGGTCTACACAGGAGTTCAGGATAGACACCTTGCTGGCAGGACATGGCCACAGACTCCTCTAACTTATTCCCCAAAGTGCAAGAGCAGGTCTTCTTCAGTCCATCCTTCTAACCTGTCCAGAGCAGCTGTATGCTTACTGCCAGATCGCTCTACCCTTCTGGGGCAACAGGACTCGAGCCCTGAGGACTCTGCAAAGCTAGGCCCCTGATGGTCTACTATGCTTAGAGACCATTATGCATGGGGCTCTTTGGGCTTCTAAAGGGCTCCCTGGGAGAAACTGCCTTCCAAATCTGACTACTAAGATGATACTATGGGAACAGATTGTGAGGACAGAAAGAAAAAAATAAATAAAAATTAAAAACGTAGAAAAAAGAAAAAAAAAAAAAGATGGTACTAGATGGAAAAGACTGTCTGATGGCCCTTCATTGTCCTTCAATCCATCATTCAACCAAGGTCAGTACCAGGTCCTTCCCTGTTGGCTGGGGATATACCCTATAGAGCTTGAAAGGCACATCTATAGAGGCAGCACCAGGGATACTGCAGGAGCTCCATTCACTGACTTCTATGTGCACAGGCTAGCTCTGTCTACCAGTCCCTGGGAATCCCACCAGCAGGCCAAGTGGAAGAAGCCTACCCTGTAGGGGAAGGTACAGGAGAGGACACCTACCCTCTCAAAGTAGAATAAGTACTTCTTGAGGGCTTCCCTCGCCTGGGCTTGTTGGCTCTGGTTCACGATGTCAGGATTCTCCTTGTAACGACTGCACTCATAGTATTCACTGCCATGAGTCTTCCAATCTCCTAGACACATCCAGCAGAAGTCTGTGCAGAACAGAGGAAGAGTCATTTACATCTACAAGACAACTCCACTTTCCTCCATAGGCAGAGGAGTGAGACAGACAGACCCTGCTCCCAAAGGGGTCACCTGAACACAACTTCCCAAGGGTGCCTCTTTCCCGAAGGAATGTGCACCTCTCATCCCTGTCACATCCTACTGTCCTTGTAGCCTGTACTTGCTGATAGGAACAAAAGCCTATGGATAATTTCTATTCCATGAGCACATGTGCCATGCGCCTTATTAATCTAACACAGGCAGATGCTGACCATACAGACTACTGGTCTGCTATGTCAATGCCACTATAAGAAGGAGGAACTAGTCCAACTGAGGCCGACCTGACTGTCTTAAACGCACATCATCAGTACAAACTGACCTCCCTACTGCTTCCTACCCTCACACTTGTCCTAGAAAGATTTTTGTATATGAAACTAAGAATAAAGGCTTTCCCCCTTTTTCTTCTATTTTAAAAAACACATTTCTTATTTTTCTTTTTCTTTTTTTTTTTGAGACAGAGTCTCACTCTGTCACCCAGGCTGGAGTGCAGTGGCGCGATCTTGGCTTACTGCAACCTCTGCATCCCAGGTTCAAGCGATTCTCTTGCCTCAGCCTCCCGAGTAGCTGGGACTACAGGTGCCTGCCAACATGCTGGCTAATTTTTGTATTTTTAGTAGAGATGGGGTTTCACCATGTTGGCCAGGCTGGTCTCGAGAACCCCCAGTGTTCAGTGATTCGCCCATCTCTGCCTCTCAAAGTGCTGGGATTATAGGCGTGAGCCACTGCGCCTGGCAAATAACACATTTCTATAAAACCTAGAGCTATCCAATGGTTCATAATCAGAATTATGATTCTGCTTTTGCGGTAGCTCACACCTGTAATACCAGCACTCTGGGAGGCCAAGGCGGATGGATCACCTGAGGTCAGGAATTTGAGACCAGCCTGGCCAACATGGTGAAACACCCGTCTCTACCAAAAAAAAAAAAAATATATATATATATATATACACACACACACACACACACACACACACACACACACACACACACATACACAAATTAGCCAGGTGTGGTGGCACATGCCAGTAGCTACTTGGGAGGCTGAAGCACGAGAACTGGTTGAACCTGTAGGGCGGAGGTTGTGAGCCGAGATTACACCACTGCACTCCAGCCTAGGTGACAGAGCGAGACTGTGTCTCAAAAAAAAAAAAAAAAATCCCCTATATGTTCAAAAAATTATTGTTAGATGCTCAAAGAATTACTGCAGTCTAATGGAGAGAAGCCAACCACAGTTTTGTTGGATGAACAATGGCCTGTTGATATTCTGCATTCCATGAGCACATGGGCTATGTGCCTTGTTATATCTGTGTCAAGGCTGCTATGAGAAGCAAAACTTGTCTGAAGTCCTCCTGGTTGTCTAGAACACACATTGTTCTAATAATACCTTATTAGATTTTATATCTGGCCTATTCTGCCTCTTCCAGACCCTGACAATGGTAAATCCTGTTTCCCAGGATTCACTCTCCAGGGATAACTTGGCTTACTGACTTCCCCAAAAATGAGGCTCTTGAATCATTTTAGGGAAGCCAAAGCAAAACCCGGAGACCCAGAGGTTGTTCAATTTTTCTCCTCCTGGGAGCCTTCACCTAATAGTGGCAACAATGCCCTCTCCTTAATTAGCTAGGTGTGCTTGCTACCATTTTAAAGAACAATACAGGCCGGGCACGGTGCCTCACGCCTGTAATCCAAGCACTTTGGGAGGCCAAGGTGGGCTAATCATGAGATCAGGAGTTCACAACCAGCATGGCCAACAAGGTGAAACCCCGTCTCTACCAAAAATACAAAAAATTAGCTGGGTATAGTGGCGGACGCCTGTAATCTCAGCTACTTGGGAGGCTGAGGCAGGAGAATCGCTTGAACCCAGGAGGCGGAGGTTGCAGTGAGCCGAGATCGCACCACTGCACTCTAGCCCAGGCGACAGAGTGAGACTCTGTCAAAAATTAGCTGGGTATGGTGGCATGTGCCTGCAGTTCCAGCTACTCAGGAGGCCGAGCAAGGATAATTGCTTGAACCTGGGAGGTGGAGGTTGCAGTGAGCCGAGATCGCACCACTGCACTCAGCCTGTCAGCCTGGGTGACAGAGTGAGACTCCATCTCAAAAAACGAAACAAAACAAAACAAAAAACCACATTCCCTACGGTTGCCCATATAGGTGGTATAAAACATACAGCAAAGAAAGAGATGGCAGTTTTTTGTTTGTTTGTTTGTTTTTGAGACGGAGTCTCACTCTGTTGCCCAGGCTGGAGTGCAGTGGTGCGATCCTGGCTCACTGCAACCTACACCTCCCTGGTTCAAGCGATTCTCCTGCCTCAGCCTCCCGAATAGCTGGGACTACAGGAGTGCGCCATTGCGCCTGGCTAATTTTGTATTTTTTTTTAGTAGAGATGGGGTTTCACCATGTTAGCCAGGATGGTCTCGATCTCCTGACCTCATGATCCGCCCACCTCGGCCTCCCAAAGTGCTGGGATTACAGGCGTGAGCCACCGCGCCCAGCCAGTTTTTTTTTTTTTGAGACAGAGTCTCGCTCTATCGCCCAGGCTGGAGTTCAGTGGCACAATCTCGGCTCACTGTGACCTCCACCTCCGGGGTTCAAGTGATTCTCGTGAGATGGCAGTGAACTCTGGGTGTCAAGGGATATGGACACCCAGGGGGCTTCTTAGGCACTAGGAATGTGGTGGGTGCTGGGATGTTTGTCATTATTCTTTAAACTCTGTGTCTTCTGCATTGTTCTAAGTGTATGATACACTTCTCTCTCTGATATATACAAAGAAAAAGAGAGCGAAAGAATGTGGCCCCACAGAAGAAATATGCCACTACCCATGGCCTATCTTCGTTTGGCACTGCAGAGTCAATGTTGCTGTCTAAGATCCTGGCATGACCACTCTGATTGAGAGGGCTCCTGGGGCCGGGAGCGGTGGCTCACACCTGTAATCCCAGCACTTTGGGAGGTCGAGGCAGGCGGATTGCCTGGGGTCAGAAGTTCGAGACCAGCCTGGCCAACATGGTGAAACCGCATCTATACTAAGAATATAAAAATTATCCAGGTGTGGTGGTGGGCGCCTGTAATAGCAGCTACTGGGGAGGCGGAGTGAGAATCGCTTGAACCCAGGAGGTAGATGTTGCATTGAGCCAAGATCACACCATTGCATTCCAGCCTGAGCGACAAGAGCAGAACTCCATCTTTGGAAAAAAAAAAAAAAAAGTACAGGCTCGGTGGCTCATGCCTATAATCCCAGCACTTTAAGAGGCCAAGGTAGGCGGATCACCTGAGGTCAAGAGTTGGACACCAGCCTGGCTAACATGGTTAGACCCCGTCTCTACTAAAAATATAAAAAAGTAGCCAGGTGTGGTGGTGAGTGCCTGTAATCCCAGCTACTCAGGAGGCTGAAGTGGGAGAACTGCTTAAACCCAGGAGGTGGAGGTTGCAGTCAGCCAAGATCACACCACTGCACTCCAGCCTGGGCGACAGACTGAGACTCTGTCTCAAAAAATAAAGAAAAGAGGGTTCCTGGAAATAGCATTTGCATAGGCCCTTACAAAGCAAAATTCTCGGTCGGGCACAGTGGCTCACTCCTGTAATCCCAGCACTTTGGGAGGCCAAGGTAGGGAGATCACCTGAGGTCAGGAGTTCGAGACCAGCCTCGAACATGGCAAACCCCCATCTCTACTAAAAATACAGAAATTAGCCAGACGTGGTGGAAGATGCCTGTAATCCCAGCTATTTGGAAGGCTGAGGCAGGAGAACTGCTTGAACCCAGGAGATGGAGGTTGCAGTGAGCCAAGACTGCGCCACTGCACTCCAGCCTGGGTGACAGAGTGAGACTCCTTCTCCCAAAAAAAAAAAAAAGAAACTGTCAGGGGCTCCTGTTGAGCATCAAAGCAGCTGCGTAGAAGACCCACTTGGACATATTTTCTACTTGAAGGGATTCTGTTTCTTCAGTTGACCTGGCCGGATGGCATACATGGGTTCTAGCTATGTAAATTATTCCTGATGGATGAAGGAGGTCTGAAAGGCTAAATCAAAACCCCCACTAGAAACTTTGTAAAACGGCAAGGGAAAACCATTATTTTACTACTTCTGGTAAAGGTATCTACAACGTAGCACAGATAAGCCCCAAGCTACTTACCTGCCTTGGCAAAAAAATGAAAGCAACACCCTGAAATCATCTTCTTGGATAACTGAGGATCATGAGGTTTATCCCAAACTTGACTTCTGACTATATGTGTTAGCAAGATAGCAGTGGGATTATAAGAGGGACCAAAAAACAGAAAATAAAAATAAAAAGCTACTTTATGCCAGTTACTGTGACTGTTAAGTGACTGAGGTTCTTCTATGTTTTGTCATTTCATGGCAGAAGTACTCACTTAAATAGTAACGGAGACCCAACCACAAGAAAGTGCCACTGGGCCTTACACACCAAGCTTGGAACTCACCGTGTTTACATTTGGAGCATTGCTGTCAGAGGGAAACAGAAGAAAACACGTTAAGGGCACACTGACCAAAGCTTCCATGTCACACATGCAAACTGCAGAGGCTTCTGCTCACCATGTGATTGCAGCCTCCATTCTTCTCAATGCAGATGTTGCACTTGGGACACTGAGGAGACAGAAGGGTGCCATTAGGCTCACACACCACCAGGTTGGTTTTAAGACAAATTACACAAAGCTCCTGGCACCTGTGCCCAGTTGCTCATGGTGTGAGCACTTCTGGGGAGGAGCACCTCACTTAAATGTGGCAGGTCGCTGAGGCTGGAACAGCAATTCAAGGAAATGAGGTCAGCACATTTAGCTTTGAAATGCTTCAAGCACCAGCTGAACCCCACTAAGTCTTCCACCATCTGCCCCTGCCATGAAGCTACTCAGATTAAGCACAAGTTGAATCAGCAGAAAGCCTGCCTTCTTGAGAGGACTGCCAAAGAAGCACAGGAGCTGCCACAATGGATTCAGTCCTGGTCAGCTTGCCTGAACTTCTGCTTCGAGAAGAGGGCAAGGAAACCACATCTAAAGCTCATCTCTCCCATTTGAGAGATGCCAGCAACCTGAGGCAGCAATGAAGACACCAGTCTGATGCTGTGATCTCCCACTGCCGTGAAGTCGACTATGTTTAATAATGTCGTTATCGTAACTGTGCTTGTGAGTGCACTGACTCGGCGAGTGACTGACAAAGGGTACAGTGGCCCCTAGAGCCCACAGGCCATACTTTCCCATGGGAGACTTCAAAATGAGTATCGTGCAGGTCTGGGCTTGCATTACAGCCTTATATGTATCAAGTGTGGCTATTAACCACCTCCCTTTCAGGGCTGTTAAAGGCTGGTAGGCGTTCAATCATAATTAGTTCTCTTCTAATTAGCTCCCCCTTTGGGTCCCCCTTTCCTGGCATTTTGGCATTTCATCATAATAAAGAAAATATGCACCCAATGCATCCTATAATAAACTGCTACGAGCTGCCAACTCTGTGTGAGGGTCCCCAAACCCCCAGTCCTCAGGAAGGGTCCTGGGGCTCTGGGTATTCTGCTCTCAGATGGCAAATCTCCAAGGCAAGGCCCTGGGCAGCACTAAGGAGGGCAAATCCATGAGAGGTAAAATACGGTCCTTACGTCTTTAGTGTGAGCACTAATGTAGTTGGCTGTTTCAGAGTCGTCTGCACACTTCGTGAGCCATTTCCGGATTGTGGCACAGTCTGTGGGTGCGTGATACATCTGACGACACTTGAAACTTAAAATTGGAAAAGAAAAACATTCAAATATTCATTAAGTCAGGGTCCCATGTTCAAAATTTTCCTTTTATCCAAGCCAACAAATCATGAATTAGAGCTTTTTTCTTTTTTTTTTTTTTTTTGAGACAGAGTCTTGCTCTGTCGCCAGGCTGGAGTGTAGTGGCGTGATCTCGGTTCACTGCAAGCTCTGCCTCCCGGGTTCATGCCATTCTCCTGACTCAACCTCCCGAGTAGTTGGGACTACAGGTGCCCGCCACCATGCCCGGCTAATTTTTTGTATTTTTAGTAGAGACGGGGTTTCACCGTGTTAGCCAGGATGGTCTCGATCTCCTGACCTCGTGATCCACCCACCTCGGCCTCCCAAAGTGCTGGGATTACAGGCGTGAGCCACCGCGCCCAGTCTAATTTTTGTATTTTTAGTAGAGATGGGGTTTCACCATGTTGGCCAGGATAGTCTTGATCTCTTGACCTCGAGATCTGCCCGCCTCAGCCTCCCAAAGTGCTGGGATTACAGGCGTGGGCCACTGTGCCCGGCCTAGAGCTTTTCAAATAGGTAAAGTTATCTCTCAAGGCTTGTGGAACCTTTACCTACCCAGAGTTATACTGAAATACTGCATGAATGTCTCTTCAACTTAAGCCTTTGTAAGACATGCTCTAACACGCACAAATAAAATATTTCTGTAGGCCGAGTGCAGTGATTCATGCTTGTAATCCTAGCACTATGGAAGGTTGAGATGGGAGGACTGCTTGAGCCCAGGAGTTTGAAACCAGCCTGGGCAATATGGTGAGATCCCATCTCTACAAAAAATGAAAAAATTAGCCAGGTGTAGTGCTATGTGTCTGTAGTCCCAGCTACTAGAGAGTCTAAGGCAGGAGGATTTGCCTGAGCTCTGGAGGTCAAGGCTGCAGTGAGCTGTGTTCGCATCACTGTACTGCAACGTGGACAACTGAGAGAGACCCTGTTTTTTAAAAAAAGGATTGCTTTAGACCAGGAGTTTGAGACCAACCAACCTAGGCAACATAGGAAGACCCTGTCTCTACAATTTTTTTTCTGAAATGGAGTTTCGCTCTTGTCACCCAGGCTGGAGTGCAATGGCATGATCTTGGCTCACTGCAGCCTCTGCCTCCCTGGTTCAAGTGATTTTCCTGCCTCAGCCTCCTGACTAGCTGAGATTACAGGCTCCTGCCACTATTCCTGGCTAATTTTTGTATCTTTAGTAGAGACATGATTTCACCATGTTGGCCAGGCTAGTCTTGGAACTCCTGACCTTAGGTGATCCACCCGCCTCAGTCTCCTAAAGTCACAGGGGTCCTAAAGCTGGGGTCACAGGTGTGAGCCACCACACTTGGCCCCTACAACAAATTTAAAAAAATTAGCTGGGCATCTGTAGTTTCAGTTACTTGGGAGGCTAAGGCAGAAGGATCACTTCATCCCAGGGGTTTGAGGCTGCAGTGAGCTATGATATGTATGTTAAATACCTTGTTTAAACATCTTGTTTACCAACTCCCAAGATGTCAAACACAGAGCTATGACTCTCAAAGGGCATGGTGAGGTGCTCTGAGAAGGACTCCTTAGCTCAGACCTAAGGCAGGATTGAGACCCACTTCCGGGAGTCTCATCGGATCTCCCAGTCAGATATGCACACAAGAATGCACAAATGCCAGAACGTGCAAAATCTGTAGGGTCATGATACATCTGATGACACTGAAACTTAAAACAGAAAAAAAAGACACTCCAATATTCGTCGGGCTAGGCTTCCATATTTTGAAATTTTCTTTTGTGGAGGCCAACAGTACTTTGTGGCTAGAAAAGGCCCTCAGGCAAATACCCAGGGAAAGAATTTCATAAAGTGGGACACAAGGATAAAGAACAATTACAAGGAGTCTTCTGAATCTGCTGTGATCCTGGGGGCTGCCGGATTTAAAATGAAAGAACCACTGCATTAGTGATTCTTAACCTTTGGTGTCAATAATGTCTTGAAATGCAGGCATGTGCGTACACACACACATCACATTTTCCATGTAGTTTCTCTGAAGCCCCACCATGAATATTCCAGGGAGGTATGATTAGGACAGATCTGGGCCTAAATTATGGCTCTACGATTTACTAGGTTTACCTTGTACCTTGATTTATTCATAGAATATAAGGGTCATGGCTAGGCGCGGTTGGCTCAATCCTGTAATCCCAGCACTTTGGGAGCCCAAGGCGGGCAGATCACGAGGTCAGGAGTTTGAGACCAGCCTGGCCAACACAGTGAAACCCTGTCTCTACTAAAAATACAAAAATTAGCTGGGCATGGTGGCACATGCCTGTAGTCCCAGCTACTCAGGAGGCTGAGGCAGGAGAATCACTTGAACCTGGAAGGCGGAGGTTGTGGTGAGCCAAGTATGTGCCACTGCACTCCAGCCTGGGCTACAGAGAAAGACTCCGTCTCAAGAAAACAACAAAAAAAGAGAGAATATAAGGGTCATATACAGTTGTGATAATGCAGGGTAAGTGATCAGGATAGTGCCTGTCACCTGGTAAGCCTTCGGTAAACTTTAGTTATTCCCATGGTATCTACTGAATGAAGTGAACCTTGAGTAGATGTAGAATATATTTATGACTTAGTTTAACAAAAATTAGCCAAGTAAGGCCAAGACAGAGAAAGATTAAAATGTTCAAGTTTATATCTTTCAAACACAGTAATATGTGATTAGCTATGCAGGCAGATACATCCCACACAATCTCTGGGCCATGAGACCTAGTAGCATAAGCCACAACACATTTTCCAAGAACCTGTGTCACTTCCTTGCCTCCAGACTGAGCATGTATTGAAGACCTAGTGGAATATGAGATGCTGGACATAAACCTACCCACTTGGAGCACAGCTGTTCTGTTGGCTCAGAGACCCTGCCTCTTCCAGTGCCGCCCTCACATGGAGCAACAGCAGTGGTGCTTTGGAGGATGGGGCATGAGCCCAGGGCTGCTCAGCACTCACACTCACTCTTACCAGAAGACCTCGTTGCACCGATTGCACTGTACTCGGCGAGCTCTAGGCTCCTGTACCCGAATAACCATGGGGCAGTCTGCACCAGGGCACAGCTGGAGCTGGTAATGACTCTGTGAACACACCAAGAGGAAACAATGAGGACATCTCTTAGTTGCTGTCTAAAAATCAGAACCCCCTGAATATTCAAACACTTTCTGTTCTCCCAGCTGATGACTTATACGAAGGGGCTATATAAATTCAGAAAGGATGTGAAGACCAAACGTAAGCCAGATATTAAAGAGGAATTTAGAACGTTTAGCTTAAACCAGGTAGCAACTCACTGGAATGATCTAAGTTTATATAGAATTGCACCAGGCATAGTGGCTCCTGCCTATAGTCCTAGCTACTCAGGAGGCTGAGGTGGGAAGACTGCTTGAGGCCTGAAATTTCAGGCTGCAGTGAGCTGATTGCACCGATGCATTCCAGCCTGGATGACAGTGAAACTCTGTCTCTGAAAAAAATAAAAAATAACAAGGCCGGGCGCGGTGGCTCATGCCTGTAATCCCAGCACTTTGGGAGGCCGAGGCAGGTGGATCACCTGAGGTCAGGAGTTTGAGACCAGCCTGGCCAACATGGTGAAACCCTGTCTCTACTAAAAAACACAAAAATTAGTTGGGTGTGGTGGCGCGAGCTTGTAACCTCAGCTACTCAGGAGGCTGAGGCTGCAGAATCGCTTGAACCTGGGAGATAGAGGTTGCATTGAGCTGAGATCGTGTCCCTGTACTCCGGCCTCGGTGACAGAGTGAGACTCCATCTCAAAAAAAAAAAAAAAACATATATCTGAGGAGCTCAATGACCCTCAAAGGCAGCAAACAGCATAAAGAACAAGGCCTTCTGTTTATCCTGCGGCATGTGCATGACAAGACCCAGACCATAAATTAATCTGAAAAGCTTAGGCAAAAAAGACAAAGATGAAAGTTATGCTGCATCGGGTGAATGGCTTGAGCTCAGAAGTTCGAGACCAGCCTGGGCAAGATGGTGAAACACCCATCTTTACGAAAAATACAAAAATTAGCTGGGTTTGGTGGTGCGCGCCAGTAGTCCCAGTTGCTCGGGAGGCTAAGGTGGGAGGATTGCTTGAGCCTGGGAGGTCAGAGGCTGCAGTGAGCCATGTTTGTGCCTCTATACTCCAGCCTGGATGACAGAGTAAAACCCTGTCTCCAAAAAAAAAAAAGAAGAAAAAGAAAAAGAAAAGAAAATTATATTGCATGGAATCAGCAGGCCTAGCAGATGGCCTAATAGAGGGAAAGGACTCCAAAAGTGACCACGCTGAATCCTGGACAAGTTTTCCAATTACTCAAAAAGCAATACCCCTTCTCTCTGCTCAACCACACAGGAAACTGAATCTAACAGCAGCTCCTAAATATGCCTAATTTGTATTCACCTGCTGACACACAATAGCTTCTTTAAGCAACTATGTATAAGGTGGGGAGGTCTGTCTATGGAAGAGAAAATCAAGACTCAGAGGTTAAAAAAAAAAAAAAAAAGAAAGAGGCTGGGTGCAGTGGCTCACGCCTGTAATCCCAGCACTTTGGGAGGCCGAGGGGGGCAGATCATGAGGTCAAGAGATCAAGATCATCCTGGTGAAACCCCGTCTCTACTAAAAATACAAAAATTAGCTGCGAGTGGTGGTGCATGCCTGTAGTCCCAGCTACTCGGGAGGCTGAGGCAGGAGAATCGCTTAAACCTGGGAGGCGGAGGTTGCAGTGAGCCAAGATTGCGCCACTGCACTCCAGCCAGGCAACACAGCAAGGCAGTCACACACGCAAAAAAAAGAGTGGTCACAAAGAAAGGAAGTATCCAAGTTTCACACAATGGTGTGTCTGATTCTAAGGCCTGTACTCTTCACTATCACTCCAGTGGTTTTCAAACTTTTTTTAAAGCCATGGAGCGCTTTCTTTGAACACTATCACTTAATGTCAGCCTAGTCTACAAAGTAAGTAACTGTGGTGACCCTCTGATGGAAGGTAGGCCCGGGAAGACAGAGGGCAGAACAAAGGCTGGCCATACCTCCACATAGTCCCTGAAGAGGTAGCGCCTGTATTTCTCTCTCAATTCTTCATTGGGAAGCAATGGAAACACAAAGTCCTCTGGTGTACGGAGTGGACAGTCCTGAGCCATGCAAGAGACTCCTGTTGAACAAAAACAACCTGATGGGGCCAGGTGCGATAGCTCATGCCTGTAATCCCAGCACTTTGGGAGGCCAAGGCAGGCAGATCACCTGAGGTCGGGAGTTCGAGACCAGTCTGACCAATATGGAGAAACCCAGTCTCTACTAAAAACACAAAAAATTAGCCGGGCGTAGTGGCGGGCGCCTGTAGTCCCAGCTACTTGGGAGGCTGGGGCAGGAGAATGGCGTGAACCCGGGAGGCGGAGCTTGCAGTGAGCCGAGATCCCGCCACTGCACTCCAGCCTGGGCGACAGAGCGAGACTCCGTCTCAAAAAAAAAAAAAAAAAAAAAAAATTAGCCAGGTGTGGTGGCACATGCCTGTAATCCCAACTACTCAGGAGGCTGAGGCAGGAGAATCGCTTGAACCCGGGAGGCAGTGGTTGTGGTGAGCTGAGATCATGCAATTGTACTCCAGCCTGGGCAACAAGAGCGAAACTGTCTCAAAAAACAAACAAACAAACAAACAAAAAAAAAACAAACCCAAAAAAGTGATGGACAAGCATACTGCAGAAGACACAACTTGCCCACCTAGTTCTGTCAACAAATCCAAGTTGCATAAAAGAAACTCTTCAAGCAACAGAATTTATTCAAAGAGAAGAGAGAAATTAGCATATTTTCACAGCAATGAAACTAAAATATTATCCCAAATTGTATCACTAACGGCACCATTAAATAACAAAACCATTTAAAAAATCCTTATATAGGTTCTTGACTAACAATTGAGTTTTGTGATGTTTAACATTATTTAGAGGTGATTATCACCAATTGTGGGACTTTGCAGATATCAATTAATGCGATGCTAATGTGTTTCAGTATCATCAAATCACAGTATAACAAATACTTCTGTAACTAATCATCAAATTTGATTTGTGCTATGTTACCTAAATAGCAGCAAACTCTTGTGGGCATTTCTGAGTTATGGCTGCCACTTGTGGAATCAAGGTAGGCAGCTTAAAGGATCGTTCTCCCAAAAGGTGAGAGAAGGTAGCTCTGCACTCACGCCAACATTTACAACAGTATATTTAGTTTTCTCGTTTTGCTGAGGACTGGGGAAAACTTTGTCACTGTTTGTATGGATGTATTTGAAAATCACTAGTTCTGATGATAAAAACCCCAATCAGGCTCAGAAGAAAATACTCAGTTTACTTGAGTACATGAAAAGGCAGAGTCAAAGATAAACACTTCATGCCAGCTTTTTATAAGTTTTGTGGCAGACTCACCCACGCCCACGCCGTCCTTGACGAGAACTGAGCAGTGCTGCTCCCAGCAGCTGCGGCAAAACTGGTGCTGACAGGCCAGAGAGAGTAGGTTTTCCTTTCGCACAAACTGCATACACACTGCACAGTGGTGAGGGGGATGGGATGTGGGAACCTGGAGAGAAACAGAGCCACATGAGCCAAAGAGGAGTCAGGTCCAGAAGGCCATAAGGGTACCTCATGCAGCCGGGTGCATGGAAAGTGATCCTCACCCTGCAACAAGTATCAGAGCTCAACTGCAATGTGTGGACTCTGAGTCCCAAGGGTACTAAGCTAAAAGTATATACCAGGAAGGCTTCCTGAAGGAGGTGGCAGCTGGGCTGGGCTTGCAAAATCACCAGGATTCAGAGGCAGAAACAAGGCTGAAATGAGAACTTACAGTGGTTTATAATGGCAGACTGAAAAACTCAGGGTTTCAGAATTGCCAAGGTCCTTAGAAGTCACTTAGTCCAAATTCTTTTAGAAGCTATCAGGTTTCTTTTGTAGACTACCCCTGTTAAGCACAGCAGAGTTGCCCCTCACAACTACTAGAAACCTAGTCACAAAGGTTATTAGAGGATGAGTTTATAAATCTTCTAACAGCCAACACTGTAGTTTTACTTGTCAAGGACAGTGGTTTCACTATATCGACGTACCCAAACCACAAAATACTACAGCCTTTACCAAGTTACAACTCATCCTTAATACACCAGATGTCACATGTAATTAATATTGGCGGGGGGGATGTGGAGACACCAACTAGGGGAAGAAACTCTTCTAGAATGTGTGCAAATAACTGTATAGCATGAACTCCAGAATCCACATCATGCTACACAAACTGGCAGAGAAAGACAATCTGGGGACCTTGGCTAAAACCACAAACCAATGGAAAAGTCCACTTACAAGAACATTAGGTTCTTTTTAGTTAACTGGGAATATAAAAAAACAAGTTGAGAAAAAGAACTGGATTCTCATGTTTATCCATTTTGCTTCTGGAAACCTTTGTCTTAAGAGGCTGCAGAAATTATGTGGTGATCTGAGCCCCAATTCTGCCTTCCAAGATCTATTTTAGCATGGCCCTCATTCAAAAAATATTCGACATATGTTCGTTTAGCTCCTAGATAAACAGGAAATTGCTATGCATTGTTAAAATACAGCTTCTATGGTAGGGGTGGTAAAATGATATGAGTTAATCACTATAACACACATGTAAAAGTTTATAGATATAATTAGGTGAGTTTCCAGGGGAATGATCCAGGAGACAGGCTTTGTCAGAGGTGGCTTAGATTTTTTTTTTCTTCTGATGGAGTGTCTGTCGCCCAGGCTGGAGTGCATGCAGGGGTGCGATCTTGGCTCACTGCAACCTCCACCTCCCGGGTTCAACCAGTTCTCCTGCCTCAGCCTCCCAAGTAGCTAGGATTACAGGCATGCGCCACCAGGCCTGGCTAATTTTTGTATTTTTAGTAGAGATGGGGTTTCACCATGTTGGCCAGGCTGGTCTCAAGCTCCTGACCTCAAGTGATCCGCCCGCCTCGGCCCCCCAAAGTGCTGGGATTATGGGCGTGAGCCACCGTGCCTGGCCGGACTGGGGTCTTTAAAGGTGAATTCCCTCCCTATAAGCAAAGGTGGAGCCAGAGTCTGAACATTCTAGGAAGGGAAGGCACAAACAGAAGACATATGCAGTAATCTCAGACACACCAAAGCACCCAGAAGGAATGGAGTGCAGGCTGAAAGTGCAGAGAGGAAAGTGGGGCTGGAGAGGGCCCAAGGACAGGCAATGACTTAGTCCCTATCTATAAGGAAACTTTTCAAACCATAACAGAAGATTTAAGTCAATACTAGAACAAATATTGTGGGCATGTTGAACTATAAACAAAGCAAAGAGAGCTCCTTTTTTTTTTGAGACAGAGTCTCGCTCTGTCGCCCAGGTTGGAGTGCAGTGGCATGATCTTGGCTCACTGCAAGCTCCGCCTCCCGGGTTCACGCCTTTCTCCTGCCTTAGCCTCCCGAGTAGCTGGGACTACAGGTGCCTGCCACCACATCCGGCTAATTTTTTTTTTTTGTATTTTTAGTAGAGACAGGGTTTCACCGTGTTAGCCAGGATGGTCTCGATCTCCTGACCTCGTAATCCACCCGCCTCAGCCTCCCAAAGTGCTGGGATTACAGGCGTGAGCCACACCGCACCCAGCCAAGTAAAGATAGCTCTTAAGGACACTGCAAGCCAAAGCAAGAACCACATGCAATTAGGAGAAGCCTCATTCAAGTAATAGACACTCACATGTTTTGATGGATTAGGCTGAACTCGAGCCTCAACAAGCAGTTGAGCAGAATTGGACTTGTATCTACAAAACAAAAAGCAGAAATGAAGGCAATCAGAAGCTAAAGACATTTTTACCCCTGAACAATAACAGGACAGAGAAAGATGTTTAGAGCATCTTTGTCTCTACTTTCTCACAGAACTAAGCTTCCTTTTATCTCAGTACAAAGACTTTTTTTCTCAAGACAGAAAATGCAAAATATAAAGGAATAATAAAAAATATAAAGCCCAATAAATCATGCTACATTTAAGAACCTCAATTCATCAGAAGACACCAAAGTCAAAAGCCAAGCCATAAGCTGGAAGATAATTCAATATATAAACTTCTAGGCCAGGCGCAGTGGCTTACTCCTGCAATCCCAGCACTTTGGGAGGCCGAGGCGGGCAGATCACTTGAGGTCAGGAGTTTGAGACCAGCCTGGCCAAGATGGTGAAACCCGTCTCTACTAAAAATACAAAAATTAGCTGGGCATGGTGGCACGTGCCTATAGTCCCAGCTACTTGGGAGCCTGAGGCAAGAGAATCGTTCGAACCCGGGAGGCAGAGGTTGCAGTGAGCTGAGATTGTGCCATTGCACTCCAGCCTGCAAGACAGAGCGAGATTCTGTCTCAAAAAAAAAAAAAAATTCTATATATATGGCTGGGCGCAGTGGCTCACACCTGTAGTCTCAGCACTTTGGGAGGCCGAGGTGGGTAAATCACTTGAGGTCAGGAGTTTGAGACCAACCTGGCCAATATGGTGAAACCCTATCCGGGAGTGTTGGCTCATGCCTGTAATCCCAGCTACTTGGGAGACTGAAGCAGGAGGATCGCTTGAACCTGGGAGGTGGAGGTTGCAGTGAGCAGAGACTGCACTACTGCACTCCAGCCTGGGAGACAGAGCAAGACTCTGTCTTTAAAAAAAATAAAAATAAAAATAAAAATAAAAAAAATAACTGGCAAAGGATCAGTATTCAGAGTAAACAAAACTCCTAAAAATCCATTTGGTTCTAGGAACTGGACATGGGAGAAGGGGGAAGGATCCATTTGGAATAACAAAATAACTCAATAAAAAATGGGGAGAAGACTTAACAGGCATTTCAAAGGAGGAGGCAGCACAAATGGCCATTAAACATATGAAAAGATTCTCAACCTCCTTAATAATACAGGACCATTGAAACAATTAGATGCCATTTACATCCACCAAACTGCAAAACTTTAAGTCTTACAATATCAGGAACACCTATATACCACTGCTGAGCGTGTAAAGTGGTAAATCACTCTGGAAAACAACCTGGAATTATTTAGCAAAGACAAAACTACACGTATGCTATAGCCAATAATTCCTTTTCTATATTTAACTCCAGAAAAATTACGTGACAGTAAGAGTTACCTACAATAATTTTCCATTTATAACAGAATTATCAAGTGGCAATAAAAGTGCCACACAAAGCCCAGGTCAACATATTTCCAAGATACCAGGAATTGGAGCAGAAAAGAATTATGTCTCATCTATGTGATTTCTACCTAGTCAGAATGCTTCCCTCAGCTATCCTTATTGAGGGGCCCGTTTTATTCCTAATTCCCACAGTAATATTTTAAGTATCTTTTGCCATCCAAATCTCCACTCCTGAGTTATGCTGAAAGAGTGTGGGCAGTGAGAGATATCCTATTGCCAGAACCTATGTGGTTCCAGAGTTTTGGGCAGTAGTATAATAATAAGGCAGCAGCAGTTCATCTGCAATTCCATCTAAATATATTCCGTTCTTGAGTACACAGGATGAGTGCAGTTAGTGAATCAGGAACGAATTTGCTCTTTCCTGACTGTGCTGAGCTGCTCCAGCTGGTATGTCCTTCCCAGTTGTGTTCAGCCCGGAGAAGGAAAGGCACGATCTTCCTCTGTAGATAAATTCTACTAAAAATACAAGAATTAACCAGGCATGGTGGCAAGTGCTGGTAATCCCAGCTACTTCATAGGCTGAGGCAGGAGAGTTGCTTGAACCCTGGAGATGGAGGTTGCAGTGAGCCAAGGTTGTGCCACTGCACTCCAGCCTGGGTGACAGAGTGAGACTTTGTCTCAAAAAAATAAAAATAAAAAAAAACATACCATACGAGAAAGGAAGATTCACTGCAGTGTGAAAGAGTAGGAATGGTAACAAGTGCTTCTCACCAGAGGGAATTTTGCTCCCCACGAGTTATTTGACAATGTTTGGAGACATTTTGATTGCCAAGGACTTAGAGGTGTGGCTTCTAATAGAGCCCAGGGATGCTGCCAGACATCCTACAATTCACAGATCAGGCCCCCCACAACAAAGAGTTATCTAGTCTAAAATGTCAATAATGCTGAGGATGAGAAACACTGTGCTAGACAGGGGCACACGCCTCCGAGGGTGAGCATAGGAGATCTCTACAGAGGATGCAGAGGAGGAGGTGCCCCTTTTCCTGACAACTTGTAAGACATCTTGAGACTCTAAGGTCTGTATCTTAAGATCTCTAGTTCTGGAGGAGGTGGAAAGAAATACTCAAATACACTGCTGGTAGAGGTGGTGGGTGGTAAAGTAGCCTATATTTTCTTTCTGTTTTTTTTTTTGAGATGGAGTCTCACTCTGCCACCAGGCTGGAGTGCAGTGGCACAATCTCGGCTCACTGCAACCTCTGCCTCCAGGGTTTAAGCGATTCTCTTGCCTCAGCCTTCTGAGTAGCTGGGACTACAGGAGTGCACCACCACGCCAGGTTGATTTTCATATTTTTAGTAGAGAAGGGGTTTCATCATGCTGGCCAGGCTGATTTCAAACTCCTGACCTCAGGTGATCCGCCCGCCTCAGCCTCCCAAAGTGCTGAGATTACAGGCATGAGCCACCACGTACAGCCAGCAGCCTACATTTTCTAAAGGAAATACAACTCGTACTATGATACAATCCTCAAGTTGACGTATCCAAAAGAAGTAAAAGATGTTGGCGCGTGTTACCTAGAAAGGCACTGATTAAAAATTAACAATGGGAAAGAAAATCTGAATTCACTGTCCAACAACAGAGGTTTGGAAAAAGTATGGAATATCTATGATAGAATACTGTGCTAGTATTAAAACTGGGGTAGAAGAATATACTGAAGACATGGGGAAAGTTCACAACATATTAAGAGAAGAGGATGTAAAATAGAATCCAATGTTTTAAAAATATACTATGCACATTGGAATATAGTCGAATATGGTCCAAAATGTAAACAATAATCACCACGGAGAGGGGAGCTATGGGCAATGTTCTCTCTCCTCCCCCAAATACCTTACCTGTCCAATATCTCTGAAACTTGCCAGTGGAAATTAACTAATATAAGTTTAGCAACTGAATGAGATACCTAGAAAGAAGAAAGAAAAAAAATCGAATTATAACTGCATTTTCTTTTAAAGTGTTTCGCATTTTGAGAACTGTATACATTCATGTCTATTATGCCAAGCCCAGGCTGGATTACCAAATTCCTCCTCTTGGTTCTCTGCTTTGTCTTTTAAGTTTAGACTCTTACAATCTTAGTGATTTCATGAATCTCTTGATTTTCAATCTTTGTTTTCATTAATAAATCTTTCAAGAAAATTAATTTTATCTGAAACTTAAAGACACTCATTTTACAGTAAATAACAACCTAGCATCTATTAATAATATAAGCAACAGGGCTGGAGTTTCCTTCATGTCATATATGTTCCCTCAAGCTGCTGTAGGAGGTTGTACGCCGGAAGCACATCTCTAGTTAGGCCTGTTACTTGTAGAAAATCCCCAGGCCTGGGTTTGCATAAACCCTACAGAAACACCAGAAAACAACAAACAAAATATAAAAACCCAAAACTCAGTTTAAAATCACTGAATTCCCAGCAGCCAATCAGTCCTAGTTGCAAGGACAGTTTCGAAATTTGTGGGCAGCCTTTCTGGCCTCTATATGCTCTCAGGGGACATTTAAAGCACATAGTTATAGCTACTAAAGAACCTCAGAAGGTGCATTGAGCTCGCAATTCTATTTCTGTAAAGTCTCCCTGAGGAAATGACAGAGGATATGTTTACCACAGGATTACTTACAATAGTAAAAAATTAGAAATAACCTAAATATCCAACAAAAATGAGTTAAATAATATATGACAGATCTATGCAATGGACTACTACATGGTTATTTTAAAAGATTGAGAAGTTTATTAACATAGAAAGACTTTTTTTTTTTTTTTTGAGACAGTCTTTGTCACCCAGGCTGGAGTGCAGTGGCATGACCTCGGCTCACTGCAACCTCTGTCTCCCAGGCTCAAGCGATTCTCCTGCCTCAGCCTCCCGAGTAGCTGGGATTACAGGCATGCGCCACCATGCCCAGCTAATTTTTGTATTTTTAGTAGAGACAGGGTTTCACCATGTTGGCCAGGCTAGTTTCGAACTCCTGATCTCAGGTGATCCGCCTGCCTTGGCCTCCCAAAGTGCTGGGATTACAGGTGTGACCCATTGTGCCCGGCCAGGTTTTTTTGTTTTTTTTTTTTTTAAATAATGAGCTGCACTACGGTTGTCTAGGCTGGAATACAAGGCTGTTCACAGGCATGATCATTGCACACTACAGCTTTGAACTCCTGGGCTCAGGTGATCCTCCCACCTCAACCTCTCGGGCACTACAGGTGCATACCACTTCACCCGCCTTAGAAGTTCACATTTTAATGTTAGGTTAAAGAAGCAAATAAGCATCTACATGTTATAATCGTAATTGGGAAGTTAAGCTAGTTACAAAACACCCTAAGTGTCAAGACTTGGGTGAGATCACAGAAGATTGGGATGTGTTTGGAAGCCTTAGATCAGGCTTCCCAGAGAGAGCAATACACACCATGAGGGTACTACTAAAGCAAGGAGAAAGTAGGAACATATTTACGGCTAGAGAGACAAGAAAACACACAGAACATTGTCTGCTCACTGGACTGAGTCCTTAAACAAGAGCTACCATGGACCTGTAAGGTAGTATGTGCCTGGTCCACAGATAAGAACTGCAGCAGAGGGAAGACACACAGTGAACACCACATGATCCCTCCTTCTAGCGCTCAAGTCACTCCTGAAAGGAGACAAGTGCGCACCTACTAAACAAGGGCACATCCCAGCATATAATGAGTGTCAAAGGCTATGCAATCAGTGAGTGCCTTCCTGTCCTACAGTCCAGGTACATCTGGAGAAAAATCAAGGACTCAAGACAGCTTACTTCACTCAGGATGGGGGTCTCTATTTTCCTTCCAAGGTAAGTGGCATCTGACCCGTGCATGCTGCCACTGTATTTTCTTTTCTTTTTTTTTTTTTTTTTTTTTTTTTTGGTATTTTTTAGTAGAGACGGGGTTTCACCATGTTAGCCAGAATGGTCTCGATCTCCTGACCTCGTGATCCGCCCGCCTCGGCCTCCCAAAGTGCTGGCTGGCCAGCCACAGTATTTTCTTGCAGAGGCCCACATAGACTCTAGGCCTAGGTTTCCCAAATTATGGCTGATATTTCTTCTGTGTCCTTAACAAAGCTATTCGTCCCCAACAGACACTATCACAAAATGAAAAGAGAGACAAGACATCTTGTTTAAACTTTAACAACTGCTGAAATACAGTCTTTGATACAAACAGCTTTTTTATTTATTTTTTATTGTATTTTTTTTTTTTTTTGAGATGGAGTCTCGCTGTATTACCCAGGCTGGAGTGCAGTGGTGCAATCTCGGCTCACTGCAAGCTCCACCTCCCGGGTTCACGCCATTCTCCTGCCTCCGCCTCCCTAGTAGCTGGGACTACAGGCGCCCACCACCACACCGGGCTAATTTTTTGTATTTTTAGTAGAGATGGGGTTTCACCGTGTTAGCCAGGATGGTCTTGATCTCCTGACCTCGTGATCCACCCGCCTTGGCCTCCCAAAGTGCTGGGATTACAGGCGTGAGCCACCGCGCTCGGCCTATTTTATTATTATTATTTTTGAGACAGGATCTCACTATGTTTCCCAGGCTGGAGTGCAGTGGCATGATCTTGGCTACTGCAATCTGCACTTCCTGGGCTCAAGTGATACTCCCAGCTCAGCCTCCTGAGTAGCTGGGACTACAGGTGCAAGACACCATGTCCAGCTAATTTTTTTATATTTTGTAGAGACATGGTTTCTCCATGTTGCCTAGTTCAGTCCTGAACTCCTAAGCGCAAGCAATCTGCCTGCCTCAGCCTCCTCCCGAAGTGCTGAGATTACAGGTGTGAGCCACTGAGTCCGGCCTTACCTTTTTTTCTTTTTTTTGAGATGGAGTCTCCTTCTGTTGCCCTGGCTGGAGTGCAGTGGTACGATCTCGACTCACTGCAACCTCTGCCTCCCGGGTTCAAGCAATTCTCTGCCTCAGCCTCCCAAGTAGCTGGGATTACAGGCGCCCGCCACCACGCCCAGCTAATTTTTGTATTTTTAGTAAAGACAGGGTTTCACCATCTTGGCCCGGCTGGTCTTGAACTCCTGACCTCGTGATCCACCAGCCTCGGCCTCCCAAAGTGCTGGGATTACAGGCGTGAGCCACCGTGCCCGGCCTATCTATTTTTTTAAATAGAGATGAAGTCATGCAGGCTACAGTGCGGTGCCTGTTCACAGACACGATCCTACTACTGATAAGCACAACAGTTTTTTGTTCTGTTTTTTACAGACAGGGTCTTGTTTTGTTGTCCAGGTTGGAATGCAGTGGCATGATCATATCTCACTGTAACCAAGAACTCCTGGGTTCAAGCAATACTCTCACCTCAGCCTCCCAAGACACTAAGACTACAAGCCCACACCACCACTCCCAGTTGATTTGTTGTTGTTGTTGAGAGAGGGTCTCATTATGTTGCTCAGGCAGGTCTCAAACTCCTGGTCTCAAGTGATCCTCCTGCAGCACGGGAGTTTTGACCTGCTCTGTTTCCAACCTACGTCAGTTTACCCCTCGAATAGTTTTAAAAAACATGAAGTGGGGCCAGGCGCAGTGGCTCACACCTGTAATCCCAGCACTTTGGGAGGCCAAGGCAGGTGGATCACAAGACCAGGAGATTAAGACCTGTTTGGCTAATATGGTGACATCCCGTCGCTACTAAAAATACAAAAATTAGCTGGGTGTGGTGGTAGGTGCCTGTAGTCCCAGCTACTCGGGAAGTTGAGGCAGGAGAATCGCTTGAACCCGGGAGGCGGAGGTTGTAGTGAGCTGAGATCGCGCCACTGCACTCCAGCCTGGGCGACAGCAGAGTAAGACTCTGTCTCAAAAACAAACAAACAAACAAACAAACAAAAACAATGAAGTGATACTGTTTTAGATGAACTCCCTGCTGGAACCTTTTCTTTCTTCTCATACCCAGTGGGGCCCAATCAGCCTTACACCATGCTTTCTGTTCTGACTTCTACATGTCTCATTATGCATGACCACCAAGTCCTAGCAAAGATACTATGCCACCTAGTAACTCAGAGGAATTCTGACCATGTCCAACAGCTGCCGTCTTTTTTCACTACAGATGGGCCCTTTACACTAAGAACAGGGGTCAGGGTTGACTCACAGATCCACAAAGCCCAGAAATGGACTGGACACTGGGTAGCCATTCAACAAATGCTGATTATTAAATGGTATGTCTTTAAGCTGTGGATTTAAAATAAAATTTTGTTGTTTCATTAGAAAGGTCAAGAAGGTTTAACACTGATCTCTTGATTTCAACAGCACCAACAGCCACAGTGAAGCCTCAGAATTAACACACTAGGTAGTGCTCACCTACAGATAACAACATAACCCTCTACTGAAGCCAAGAATTTCCTAATGATTACAAGTCTGATAATGACCAACTCAGAATATCCCAGCAGAGCTGAGTTCTGGTGAGAACAAACAATGTGAAGGGAGATATGCCTACCACTTTATAAAATGGACAGTGGTGAGGTGTAAATCTATTCTTTTAATGGCAACAGCCAAGAGGACATCAATACGTATAGGATAGGCCAGGCACAGTGGCTCGTGCCTATAATCCCAGCACTTTGGGAGGCCGAGGCGGGCAGATCACTTGACGTCAGGAGTTTGAGACCAGCTAAGTTGTGGCCAACATGGTGAAACCCCGTCTCTAATAAAAATACAAGAATTAGCTGGGCGTAGTGGCGGGCGCCTGTAATCCCAGCTACTTGGGAAATCAGGAGGCTGAGGCAGGAGAATCGCTTGAACCCGGGAGGCAGAGGTTGCAGTGAGCCGAGATCGTGCCACTGCACTCCAGCCTGGGTGATAGAGCAAAACTCCATCTCAAAAAAATAAAAAATAAATACACACACACACACACACACACACACACGTCAGCTGTATGCATCTCCCAGCAGCCTTCTGTAAGAGACACTACTGGGATCCCCACATCAAGGTGGGGGTGACTGCCAGGCACAGTGGTTCATGCCTGTGGTCCCAGCTACTCAGGAGGCTGAGGCGGGAGAATTGCTTAGCCCAGGAGTTCAACACCACAGCCAGCCTGGCAACACAGCAAAACCCTGTCTCTTAAAAAAAAAAAAAAAAAAAAAAAAAAAAAAAAAAGTGCCGGGCGCAGTGGCTCACGTCTGTAACCCCAGCACTTTGGGAGGCAGAGGCAGGCGGATCACCTGAGGTCAGGAGTTCGAGACCAGCCTGGCCAACACGGTGAAACCCCGTCTCTACTAAAAATATAAAAATTAGCTGGGTGTTGTGGCGGGCGCCTGTAATCCCAGGTATTCGGGAGGCTGAGGCAGTAGAATTGCTTGAACCCAGGAGATGGAGGTTGCAGTGAGCCGACATGGTACCACTGCACTCCAGCCTCGGTGACAGAGTGAGACTCCGTCTCAAAAAAAAAAAAAGTAAAGGAGATAATTACACATATTAGGTTGATAGTACACAGAAGATTGGAGACTCTCTCTCTCAAAAATCTACTACAAACCTGATGAGATTCTGAGACCACTAATTAAGGGAAAATGTAGTGTCACTGCACCTCATCCAGTAATGGACACCAGGAAGGATCTACAGGAAAGCCAGATTCCCCAGAGTCCTCTGAGCAAAAGCAGCACAGAGATGGAGAAAAACAGTGAGAAAATGATACTCTAGAATAATATATTCTAAAAGGTAGTCTCAGCAAGGAGGCTACCTTCTCCCTGATTTGGGTCACAAGAGAGAACTGACTGAACCCCCATCTCAACTCCCCAGCAGTTTTCCAGAGGAAGCAGTGGCCACCTTGAGCCATCTTGGCCTCCTGGCAGGAGGGCCAAAACAAATCTTCTAAACAATATTAAGCCAGATTAAAGGTAAAAATCTGTCTGAGTACAAACAGCTGAGCTTTCTAAGGAACGAACTAGTATTCACACCATTAGTCTTTAATGCTTGAAAGAGCTCAACAATCCATTTAGAATCTATCACAGTCAACACTTTCATAACTGAGTCCTTCACCCCCTGTCCCCTTGTTACCCTTTATAATTTGTTCAATTGTGAAGAGAAAACCTTTCAGTAGAATCAAGAAGAGCTCTTGCTGGGCTGTTGTAATGAAGGAGCTAACAACCTGTTGGTAGTTAGGATTAAGTATTATCAAGACAACTTATAAAGAAAAGGCCAAATCTTTTCCAAAAGAAAAATGGATCCAGGGTAGTAAACAACCAATGTAAGCCAAAAAAAAAAAAAGACTAATGACTTAGAAGGAACACATGTGACCAATGTGGTGTTCAGAAGAAACTTGCAGTTCTATTAGATCAACATGTAACCAGAGGATTAAAAGTCCTATTTATTTATGAATGCTTTTTCTTTTTCGTTTCTGTTGAGATGGAGTGTCATTCTGTCGCCCAGGCTAGAGTACAGTGGCGCGACGCTGGCTCACTGCAACCTCTGCTTCTCGGGTTCAAGTGATTCTCCTGCCTCAGCCTCCCAAGTAGCTGGGATTACAGGCACTCAACACCACGCCCAGCTATTTTTGGTATTTTTACTAGAGATGGGATTTCACCATGTTGGCCAGGCTGGTCTCGAACTCCTGACCTCAAGTGATCATCCTGCCTCGGCCTCCCAAAGTGTGGGGATTATGGGCATGAGCCACCACACCCGGCACTATGAATGCTTTTTCTATTTCTAGAAACATTAACTGAGGAAAAAACTAGAAATTAAAAACTAGAAAGTTTCTTGTCCAAAAGGAGTCTCAAGATAATTACTGAGTAATCTGAGTCTCTAATCAGAGATAAAAAAGGTATCTATTGTTCCCTCCATATCAAGGGCCAAAAAGGGTACCATTCATTAGGTTACTGTTTCCAGCAAACCCATTCTCCAATTCATTTCCACTATTCCCCAGAGGAAATCTCATCCCTGTTTAAAGAGCAAACCCTAAGATGGTGGAATCTCTTTGACAGTCATTTTGTACATTCACAAAACCATGAGTAAAGAATACTTACAGGCTGGGTGTGGTGGCTCAAGCCTGTAATCTCAGCACTTTGGGATGCCAAGGTGGCAGGATTACTTGAATTCAGAAGTTTGAGACCAGCCTGGGCAAATAGTGAGATCCTATACGTAGAAAAAAACTTTTTTTTTTTTTTGAGACAGAGTCTCACTCTGTTGCTCCGACTGGAGTGCAGTAGTGCGATCCTGGCTCACTGCAAGCTCTGCCTCCCGGGTTCACGCCATTCTCCTGCCTCAGCCTCCTGAGTAGCTGGGACTACAGGTGCCCACCACGATGCCTTAGTAGAGACGGGGGTTTCACAGTGTTAGCCAGGATGGTCTCGATCTCCTGACCTTGTGATCCGCCTGCCTCGGCCTCCCAAAGTGCTCGGATTACAGGCGTGAGCCACCAAGCCCGGCCTTTTCTTTTTTTTGCGACAAAGTCTCGCTCCTGTCCCCACGCTGGAATGCAATGGCGCGATCTTGGTTCACTGCAACCTCCGCCTCCCAGGTTCAAGCGATTCTCCTGTCTCGGCCTCCCAAGTAGCGGTGATTACAGGCACCTGCCACCACTCCCGGCTAATTTTTGTATTTTAGTAGAGAGTGTTTCACCATGTTGGCCAGGCTGGTCTCAAACTCCAGACCTCAGGTGATCCACCCGCTTCGGCCTCCCAAAGTGCTGGGATTACAGGTGTGAGCCACCACGCCCAGCCAAAACATTTTTTTTTTAATTAGCTGGGCATGGTGGCATGTGCCTGTAGTCCCAGCTACTCAGGAGGCTAAGGTAGGAGGATCGCTTGAGCCCAGGAGGTAGAGGCTGCAGTGAGCCATGATCACGCCACTACGCTCCAGCCGGGGTGACTCAGCAAGACACTGTTTCAAGAAAATGAATAATGGCTGGGCGTGGTGGCTCACACCTGTAATCCCAGCACTTTGGGAGGCCAGGTGGGCGGATCATGAGATCAGGAGATCGAGACCATCCTGGCTGACACGGTGAAACCCCGTCTCTACTAAAAATACAAATAATTAGCCGGGCGTTGTGAGGCACCTGTAGTTCCAGCTACTCAGGAGGCTGAGGCAGGAGAATGGCGTGAACCCGGGAGGCGGAGCTTGCAGTGAGCCGAGGTCGCACCACTGCCCTCCAGCCTGGGAGACAGAGCGAGACTCCGTCTAAAATAAAAAATAAAAAAAAGAAAATGAATAATCATGTTTAATAACTATAATACTTTTCAAAGCTTATGGGGTCTAACTGCCAAAATCATAAATTAAAAATTCACAGATTATTCCTGATTTTAATTCAGTTTGGCTCATAATTTGATAAGATGTTGATTTCAATTGATGAATTTCAATCTACTCAGAATTGCTGGCCAGGCGCGGTGGCTTACACCTGTAATGCCAGCACTTTGGGAGGCCGAGGCGGGCAGGTCACCTGAGGTCGGGAGTTTGAGATCAGCCTGGCCAACATAGTGAAACCCTGTCTCTACTAAAAATATAAAAATTAGCCGGGCATAGTGGTGGGCACCTGTAATCCCAGCTACTTGGGAAGCTGAAGTATGAGAATCGGTTGAACTCGAGAAGCAGAGGTTGCAGTGAGCCAAGATCGCGCCACTGCACTCTAGCTTGGGTGACAAGAACGAGACTGCGTTTAAAAAAAAAAAAATTGCTGACAGTAGAAATACTAAGATATTCTTTCTTTATGCACATATACCAGGCAATATAAACTCCCTTGTTGCCAAATTCAAACATTTCTCATACCTTATCTTGCTGACAGAAATCAGACACTTAACTTCCTTCTGCCTTAATGACCCCCTCTTGATCTCTATGATGTCTTTTGCAGCACCTGTTCAGGTACTCTGTGCTCTTCCTCTTGTATCCCCATCTTGCCAGTGGGGGGCACCACATTCCCACTCCTCTCAAGGTAGGACTGTTGGCCTTTTCCTCCACGTCTCACTCTTCCTTAACCACTTTACCCTCTCCCATCATCACCACTCCAGTGTCCAATCTCTAGTTCTTCCTCTCCTCAGCACTCCCATCAGAAGGGCCTCACTCACATGGAAAGGCATCTTAATGTATATCCCTTCCACTCCATCATCCTCAGGATGAGCTTCCTGACACCCTTATGCAACAGTAATAATAACACAATTCTTGCAGATCCCTTAACTCTTGCCAGGATCAGTTCCTACCTTGTTTAAAACCCATCACTGCTCTCCAGTATTGACAGGACAAACTTTATATGCCTTAGTAGAAGAGAGTCTTCAGGACCCATCACCTAATTCCTCCCCACAGCAATTCACTGAATGATTCCAGAACCCCCATATGTTTCTCTTAACTGTCAGCTACCAATAATGCCCTTCTTTGTAGCATACATTTAGAAATTAAAGAACATACTTCTATAGAACCCCTGTGTCAAAGCAGGAATCAAAAGAGAAATTAGAAAATGTTTTGAACTGAATAACAAAAATACTACATAATTTGTGAGATGCAGCTAATATAATGCCTACACAAAAATTTAAAACTATAAATGTATATATTAAAAAAGGTCCAAAAATCAATGACATAAAGATCTAACCTAAGACGCTAGAAAAATTTAGTCACTGCCGTGTATTACAGCTAAAAAAGGGAAGCTAGAAAAAGATGACTAAGTTAAAACGAAGTAAAAAGAAGAAAATAGTAACAATTAAAAAGAGAAAGAAATAAAATCCAAGTAACAGCAAAAATTAACGAAGTCTAAAAATGGATTCTTTAAAAATATCAACAAAGTTGATAAAACAGAACAATTAGGAAAAAAGAGAAAACAAATTATCCATAACAGAGGTAGAAGATGGACCACCCCCTACAATTCTTATAGACATTAAAGGGAAAATAAGAAAATGTTATGAATAACCTAATTCTAATAAAATTGACATCTTAAATGAAATTAACATGTTCTTTGAAGAATACTTACCAACAATGACACAAAATGAAAAAGAAAAACTGAGCAGCTCTTTATATAGTAAAGACATTGAAGTCATGATCGAAACCCTTCCCACCAAGTTCCAGGCCCAGGGATTTTACTGATGAATTCTATCAACACTAATTTTACATAAACACTTTTACAAACTAGAGAAGAAAGGGACATTTCTTCCAAACTCATTTTATGAGGTTAGCATAACCATGATAAAACATAACCAAGAAAAAAAACCCCAATATTCCACAGACATAGACACAAAAATCCTTAATTTAAAAATTTGCCATTGCACTGAAGCCTGGACAAGAGTGAAACTCCACAGGGGGAAAAAAAACACTAATAAATGAATTTATGAATTTACTAAGGTAAAAAAAATACAAAGTTGGCCTGGTACACTGGCTCACGCTTGTAATCCCAGCACTTTCAGAGGCTAAGGCAGGCAAATCACTTGAGCCCAGGAGTTCAAGACCAGCCAAGGCAACATGGCAAAACCCTGTCTCTACAAAAAGTACAAAAAATTAGCTGGGCATGGTGACATGAACCTGTTGTCCCATCTACCTGGGAGGCTGAGGTAGAAGGATCACTTGAACCTGGGAGGTTGAGGTTGCAGTGAACCATGATAGCTCTACTGCACTCCAGCCTGGGTGACAGGGCAAGACACTGTCACAAAATAAAAATTAAAAAAAAAAAAAAAAAGAAGAAGAAAGAAAATACAAAGTCAATATATACAAAAACCAAATGTTAGAATTCAAAGAAAGAGCCATAAAAGTATTTCTATATAGCAGCAAATTGAAAAATTAAGTGGGTGAATTTTAATAATTTATTTTATTTAACCTAATATATCTGAAATTGTATTATTTCAACATGTAACACATAAAAAAGCATTGATAATCTATTTTTATCCTTTGTTTCATTCTAAGTCCAGTCTGTATTTTAGACTTACGGCACATCTCAATTCAAACTGACTGTATTTCAAATGAGCAATGGCCACACATAGCTACCATACCGGGCAGCACAGCTACAGATTTTGAACACAACAATCAAAACCAATCAAAATGAAAATCCCAATCAAAATCACAAGCTTTTTAATAAAATTAATAGTTGATTGCAAAATCTGTAGAAATGTAAAGGATCCAGAATATCCAAAGCAATCTTGAAAGAAAAGAGCAAAGTTGAAAGACTTACACCATCTGACTTCAAGACTTACTATAAAGCTACATACGGTAATCAAGACAGTGGAGATACTGGACTTCATCAAAATTAAGCTTTTACTCAACAGACATCATTTAGAAAATGGAAAAGTAGGAAGCAGAACTAGATGGAGTAAAAAAAGGAAAAAAAGAAAATGGAATAGACAGACCTATAGATCAATAGAACAAAACAGAGTCTAAAAGGAAACTCATACATGTATGGTAAATTTTCAACAAAGGTGCCAATGTAATTCAATGGAGAAAAAAAGTCTTTTCAACAAAGGGTTCTGGAACAACTGAATAATTGTTTATACATAACAAACAAAACACAGAACACAGACCATTACTTCATACCACACAAAAATTAACTCAAAAGAGTTCACATATCTAAATGTAAAACCTAAAACTATAAAATTGCTAAAAGAAAGCACAGAAGAAAATTGTGCCTTAGTTTAGGCAAAGATTTCTAGATATGACACTAAAAGCACAATCCTTAAAAGAAAAATTTTTTAAAAAAAGAAAATAAAGATAAACTGGACTTCATCAAAATTAAGCTTTTACTCTTCAAAAGACACCATTTAGAAAATGGAAAAGTAGGAAGCAGAACTAGATGGAGTAAAAAAAAGATTAAAAAAAAAAGATACAGGTAACAGGATGGGAGAAAATATCTGCAAATCATACATCTGATAAAATAATTCAAACTATGTAAAGAATTCTCTCTTAGAACTCAGTAAGGCACAAAATGCAATTTTTAAAAACAGACAAAGTATTTGAACAGACATTTCACCACAAAAAATAAATGTATGAATAGCAAATAAGCACAAGGAAAGATCATTAATTACATTAGTGGTTAATGACACTAGTCATTAGGGAATGCAAATTAAAACCACAAGGTATTACACACTCACTAGAATGATTATAATCCAGAAGACCTAAAATACCAAGTGCTAACAAGGAAGCAGAGAAACTGGAACCCTTACATAATGCTAGTGGGAATGTAAAGTAGTAGAGCCACTTTGGAAAACAGTTTATTTCTTAAAATGTTAAACACGGCTGGGCACGATGGCTCACACCTGTAATCCCAGGCCAAGGCAGGCGGATCACGAGGTCAGGAGATAGAGACCATCCTGGCTAACACGGTGAAACCCCCGACTCTACTAAAAACACAAAAAACTAGCCGGGCGTCACGGCGGGCGCCTGTAGTCCCAGCTACTCAGGAGGCTGAGGCAGGAGAATGCCATGAACCCAGGAGGTGGAGCTTGCAGTGAGCCGAGATCGTGCCACTGCACTCCAGCCTAGGCAACAGAGCACGACTCCGTCTCAAAAATAAATAAATAAATAAATGTTAAACATACACTTACCATGTGACCCAGCAATCCCACTCCTAGTTATCTATACAAGAGAAATGAAAACACATGGCTATATTAAGCCCTGGCCATGAATGGTCACAGCAGCATACTGCGTAGTAGCCCAAAATTAGAAACAACCCAATGTCCCTCAACTTACAAATGAATGGGTAAACAAAATGTGGCATATCCATACAATGGAAAATCATTATTCAGCAATAAAAGAGAACACACTACTGATGCATGATACAATATGGATGAACCTCAACCATTATGCTAAGAGAAAGAACCAGGTAACAAAAGATTACATATTGTATAATTCAAATTGTATGAAATTTCTAGAAAAGGCAAAACTACTGAGACAGAAGATCAGTAGTCACTTGGGAACAGGGATCAACTATAAATGAACACGGGAATTTTTTAGGTGATGAAATGTTCTAAAACTGGGACTATGGTAATGACTACATAGTTGTATACATTTAATAAAACTCAAATAATGGTACACTTTAAAATGGATGAGTTCGGCCGGGCGCGGTGGCTCACATCTGTAATCCCAGCACTCCTGGGAGGCCGAGGTGGGCGGATCACCTGAGGTTGGGAGTTCCAGACCAGCCTGACCAACATGGAGAAACTCCATCTCTACTAAAAATATAAAATTAGCACTAAAAACACAAAATTAGCCGGGCGTGGTGGCACATGCCTGTGATCCCAGCTACTTCAGAGGCTGAGTCAGGAGAATCGCTTGAACCTGGGACGCAAAGGTTGCGGTGAGCCGAGATCGCGCCATTGCACTCCAGCCTGGGCAACAAGAGCAAAACTCCGTCTCAAAAAATAAAATAAAATAAAAAGGAGGCCGGGCGCAGTGGCTCACGCCGGTAATCCCAGCACTTTAGGAGGCCGAGGCGGGCGGATCACAAGGTCAGGAGATCGAGACCATCCTGGCTAACATGGTGAAACTCCATCTCTACTAAAAATATAAAAAAATTAGCCAGGCGTGGTGGTGGGCGCCTGTAGTCCCAGCTACTCAGGAGGCTGAGGCAGGAGAATGGCGTGAACCTGGGAGGCGGAGCTTGCAGTTAGCCGAGATCACACCACTGCACTCTAGCCTGGGTGACAGAGCAAGACTGTCTCAAAAAAATAAATAAACAAAATAAAAATAAAAATAAAATAAAAAGATAAAATGGATGAGTTTAATGGCATGTAAAACTTTAATAGAGCTGCTTCAAAAATGAGTTGACTGATGGACAGATAAATGATGAAGCAAATGCAGCAACAGATTAGCAATTATATAATCTAGATGGTATAGTATATGAATGTCCACTGTACAATTATTTAAAGCTCTTTCTTTTAAATTTTTCATAATAAAAGGGCGGAAAGTTTGTCAAATTTAATTCAACGGCAATCACTCACATAATCATACGTCACAATATACAAAGGGTTGACCCTTATATTACTGCATCAAACAGTATACTTTGACTTTTTATTTATAATCCTCAAAATAACAAATTCCACTTTACAGTTTTAACACAGTTTTCACTAAGGTTAACTGACTGTATACACTATAGAGTACAGTATAATAGTGCTAGTATAAAGTCATTTCCATATAGGCCTATAATGCTGATAACTTTACAATATTCTCTGGCTTTTTTTTTCCTTTTTTTTTTTTTTTTGAGACAGAGTTTTGCTTTTGTTGCCCAGGCTGGAGTGCAATGGCACGATCTTGGCTCACCACAACCTCCACCGCCCAGGTTCAAGCGATTCTCCTGCCTCAGCCTCCCGAGTAGCTGGGATTATAGGCATGCGCTACAACGCCCGGCTAATTTTGTATTTTTAGTAGAGATGAGGTTATCTCCATTTTGGTCAGGCTGGTCTCAAACTCCCGACCTCAGGTGATCCCCCCGCCTCGGCCTCCCAAAGAGCTGGGATTACAGGCGTGAGCCACTGTGCCTGGCCTTCTCTGGCTTTCTTGATCTCCCTGACCAAGGCTTCTGAGTATTTCACCGGATGTTCTGCTCCCATTCAGCCAGCTCCTTACCAACATCACTTTTCCACAGGCACAGCTTTTAGGCCTGCCTTCTCACTCCCTGGACTGTCTTTGGGCAATCACATTTGTGCCTGCCCCTTAGTATGAACATAAGCCCCAAAGATAAGAACTCTCTCATTTTACCGGGAGCTAGGGAAGGAAAGTGTATGAGCAAGGTAGAAAAGTGGGGGCAAGCATAAAGTTTATTGTGAAGAGTGAAGGGTACCCTCAAGTTTCTGGGTAGTCCAGAGAAGGCTTTCACAGAGTCAAAGATGGGGTCTGAGCAGAGACCAAGCGCAGCCCATGCTCCCACTTTCCCTGAGTCCTCCAAACCTGCACCACAATGGGTTAGACGCTACTGGGGAGCTTTCTTTCCAGCTTGAAATGAGCTCTCTCTCCTCTGTTCTCATTTACCCTACACATTGCTCTGCATTACCCGTAGCCCTCAATCCAATATGGCTTTGTTTTGCCATTGCATTTACAATGTCAATACTCTCAGATGGTTTCCAGATCTTTATTTCAGGAAGCATGTGCTACATGCATGTCAAAAAGGACTTTGTTTATGGTCATTTGTATTTTCCAAAGGTCATGAGCAAACACCTTCTGTCATCCTCTATAGTCTGTTTTTGACTGAAACTCTAAAATGCACAGACTATAGTGGATGACAGAAGGTGTTTGCTCATGACCTTTGGAAAATACTATCTGACACAGGCCCTCAAAACATGTTCAGTAGTTACCACTTGGTTACACTGGCCTAGAAACCTAGAGTAGATGGCTGCTTGGGAGTCAAGTTCTCCTTTCTGTTTTTTAAATGAATAACATAGTAAATGTGTCACACAGTTCTATGCCTGCTTCACAAGCAGGACTGAGGAATGGAGGATGAAGACCAGGGGGAAATTCAGGCTGTGGGCCAATAATGCTAAGATTTTCTCACAGAGATGTAATGAAGTGAATATGAATGCTTTAGTCGCTGTTACTGACGTGGTTAGCAGCATGCAAATCTACAATCTCAGCATTTTGTTCTGGAGGCACTTTCTTCCACAGTCTAAGGGTGTTAGAGACTAGAGAACTGAAATCAAACTGTCAGCTTAGAATGGAGACTACCTTATAAGATAAAACTTTGAATCTCTGTGTCCTCTGACCCGCTTGCTACAAGGAGACGGCTGCAGGGTTCAGGATCTTAAGTAAGGCAATTCCAATAGCAATTTGCTTGTGGGTTTAGACTAGCAATTCTGTGACTTGCTGCCCTACTTCTGTTTCAGCTTTATTCAGTGTAAGCAGATTGTGATATCATTTTTCAGATCACAAATTGCAAGTCCACCTGAAGTTTGTTAATAACAGCCACAAACTTATTTTCTGATTTCTACCAAGTCCCTTCCCCTCCACCGCATTCAAGCAAGTCTTCTATCAGAAGTTTAAATTAGTCATTGGAACAAACATTTGAGTCCCCTGACCACAAAGAACTTAAAATACCAGAGAGAGATCAATTCCTGCTACTGAAGGAAATGGTAAGCACATATGACATTTAGGACCCTTTCTAGCACACAACCAACATCTATCTTCAAAAAAAAGGTTTTGCGAGTTCCAGGAAATTTAACAGTTATTATTTGACACCCCAGAGCACTTGGATAGTACATGTTTATTACTCAAAATAGTGCACAGAACATACTAATTTTATATACGGATCAAGGCACATGCTAAAATAGCCCCTGCTCCTGACAACAGTTCCCCAAGGATATCCATGAACGTGATCAGTGGCTTCTTTATCTTTTTAGTCTCCTCTAGCTGGCTGAAGCTCTCCAGCCCTCAAGGACAAGTTAACAACATAGCTTGCAAATAGACTTTTCCCCCAGAAAAAAGAAATCCAGCAGCCCACCAAAACTGTCACCAGCCCTTCCCACACTTACCAGTGCCATAGGGAGGATGCAGCTGATGGCAGTGAGCATCAACGGCCTGAAAAAATACAGGTGGTAGTTTCAATTTTTATTTAGAATTCTTACTTGCCAACTGCCTGAAATCTTTTAAGGCTACATGAATGGGTCTTCATGCCTCAGCCTGCCACTTCGTGGTCCAATCACTTTTGTTAACAAACACTAGTGGTCACTCACTAAAAAGCAGAAATGAAGAAAGGTAGTGAACTGTGGGCCAGCTTCTGGGCCTGGGCTAGAATGGCTAGAATGGGACATGATATAGGAAAATCAGCCTAAAGAGATCAAGACAGATGGATTTGGGTCCGGGGGACAAGGGATGATGTGGAGGGAGGCAAGAAAGTACTAAAGGGACAAGAGGAAGAAAGAAGGTTAAAGCACAGAGACAAAGGAGTAAGTAAACACCAGCCTACGATGGGGCAAAATTAGCATCAGTAGTGGTGGTGGTAGTGGGGTCTCATAGGGCTTCTGACCCTAAACCAGGCTCACCCCTGAATCTAATTTAAGTGGTAGGATTTCATTTCTCCCATACTTCACACCTAAATATTCTCAGCCTCTAAAAGGCCCACTCTCTGGCACCTGATCATAACTTTGCCCATTCCACTTTTCTTTACAGGGACATGGAAGGAGGGTTGACTTGTAACTGAGGTACCCAAATGTTATATATGTTTTTAAGTCTGATTAATAAACACACATTTGAAGACTTCTCACCAGCCTAACCTTGATTCAGTTCTAATTGCTATGGACTCCAATCATTAAAATCAATACCAAAAAAACCAAAGACCTCACTCAATATAAGGTTATTTATACAAAATATAATAATGTAAAAATACTAACGTAATCATTCCTTGACCATAAGGGTATTTTTTTTTAATTATGAAAAATTTCAAACATCTACCAAAGTGAAGAGTATAATGAAACCCATTAACCAGCTGGTGGCCAGACCCACTATGTCTCCATTCCAGCCCTCCCCTCCTCCCTTCAGATTATTGTGAAGTAAATCCCAGCCAGCATATCTTTTAGGGTGCATTTAATGGAAACTTTTTGAGAAGGACTCAGTACAAAGAGCTGGTTACTGCCCCTCCTAGAACTCTTAACAGACTTCCAGGGGAATGCCACATAGGCAGATCATGTCCAGCAAACCCAACCAAAAGAAATGCAGATGGGAGCTGACATCAAATGAACTGCACAGAGTAGGACTAAAAGCTGTGTCCATTCCTGCAGCCACAGCCCATCCTGTCCAAAAGTTATTTGAAACAATGCTATGTCTCAGCTACTGCTACTGTAAGGAGGCAAAGACAGGGAATGCCAAATAACCAGCTAGGTAGTACCATCCAAGTACTACCAATAAGATGGTAGTACCATCTTCTCCAAAAGGAGGGTACTTCAGAGGCCAGCACATCTTAATGAAAAAGCCAGATTCCAACAGCATGTTTCAATGACAGAGCTACTACCTCATCGACTGCTTTCCTTAGCTACCCCTTTTTGCTAGAAACATATAACCCTATTTTTATAACCTTTCTGTTTATATAAAACTATATAAACAGGAAGAGAATGAAAGCCCATTGAGGGCAGAAATTTTTTGACGGATTCCTTCTCTGCCAAACCCAAGAACCTGGAACAATACCTGTGCTAGCATTAGGTCCCATACGCCAAGACCATTCTCTGTCTGTCTCCGGTGGTCCAGCCTTGTCACCACACCCACATCCACCACAAGAGCGTATGAAGGTGCCCAAGGTCTTCCAAGCCCTCAGGAATGCACAGGGATACAGGAGAGGTCAGACACAGCTTCTCTGAGACGGGTTAAAAAAAGTTGGAGGGCTTAGCAGTCTCTCGAGGGTTGCAAGAAGGGCGGAGATGCTGACAATAGGTTGGAGGAGGTTAAAATCAAGTATATGAGTTAGGGAGAGGAACAATAAGGAAATCAGGCTGGAGCCTGAAGAATCCACTTTAAATTTTTCAACAGAGCAAAATAAAGTGGTACTTTTAGTGGATGTATCAGAAAAACAAAAAGTAGAAGTAAAGGAGGGGGCAGATATTAAAGGCAGAGAGATCTTTAAGTTATTTGAAAAAGAAGAGGTTGGCGAGGCGCAGTGGCTCATGCCTGTAATCCCAGCACTTTGGGAGGCCGAGGCAGGTGGATCTCCTGAGGTCAGGAATTCAAGACCAGCTTGGCCAACATGGTGAAACCCCATAAATACAAAAATTAGGGCCAGGCACGGTGACTCACTCCTGTAATTCCAGCACTTTGGGAGGATGGGGCGGGCAGATCACCTGAGGTCAGGAGTTTGAGACCAGCCTGACCAACATGGAGAAACCTCATCTCTACTAAAAATACAAAATTAGCTGGGTGTGGTGGCACGTGCATGTAATCCCAGTTACTCGGGAGGCTGAGGCAGGAGAATGGCTTGAACCTGGGAGGCGGAGGTTGCAGCGAGCTGAGATCGTGCCATTGCACTCCAGCCTGGGCAACAAGAGCGAAACTCCATCTCAAAAAAAAAAAAAAAAAAAAAAATTAGCCGGGCATGGTGGCAGGCGCCTGTAATCCCACCTACTCAGGAGACTGAGGCAGGAGAATCACTTAAACCGGGGAGGCGGAGGTTGCACTCCAGCCTGGGCAACGGAGACTCCGTCTCCAAAAAAAAAAAAGTGAAAAGGAAAATAAGAGATCAAACTATCTTTTTCCATCTCTCCCAACATCTACCTGAAAGCTAAAATGACATCAGAAATTCAGGAAGTACTTGTTTACTGGGAAATAATTATTAAACCTATCCTAATGGCCAATGAACAAAGAAAATCAGTTGAGGCTTGGCTGGACGTAGTGGCTCATGCCAGTAATCCCAACACTTCAGGAGGCTGAAGCGGGCAGATCTCCTGAGGTCAGGAATTCAAGACCAGCCTGGCCAACATGGTGAAACCCTGTTTCTATTAAAAATACAAAAATTACCTGGGCGTGGTGGCGGGCACCTCTAATCCCAGCTATTTAGGAGGCTGAAGCAGGAGAATTGCTTGAACTCAGGAGGCAGAGGTTGCAGTGAGCTAAGATAACTTAACTGCACTCCAGCTTTGGTGACAGAGTAAGACTCCGCCTCAAAAAAAAAAAAAAAATTAGCCAGGTATGGTTGCGTGTGCCTGTAATCCCAGCTACTCGGGAGGCTGAGGCAGAAGAGTCACCTGAACTCGGGGGGCGGAGGGTGCAGTGTGCCAAGATCATGCCACTGCATTCTAGCCTGGGTGACAGAATGAGACTTCATCTCAAACAAAAAAAAAAGAAAAGAAAAATCGGGCGGTGGCTCACGCCTGTAATCTCAGCACTTTGGGAGGCCGAGGCAGGGTGGATCACGAGGTCAGGAGATCGAGACTATCCTGGCTAACCCCGTCTCTACTAAAAATACAAAAAATTAGCCGGGCGTGGTGGCAGGCACCTGTAGTCCCAGCTACTCGGGAAGCTGAGGCAGGAGAATGGCGTGAACCCGGGAGGTGGAGCTTGCAGTGAGCCGAGATTGCGCCACTGCACTCCAGCCTGGGCGACAGAGTGAGACTCCATCTCCAAAAAAAAAAAAAAAAGAAAAGAAAAGAAAAATCAATAGTTCATAAAACATAAAAGGCTCTTTGATGGAAAGGAACAACACTGCGACCTCATTCCTTTTTACCACTACCACCACCAGGTCTTCCTATCCAGGAGAAATCTTTTCCAGTCATTTGTCTAAGGTTCTTCTGGTTGTCACCAACATCACTGAGTATAACCCTAACTCTCTATGACATGTAACTTACTTAAATTGCTCCCTATCTCCCACTTTCAAGTCCCAACTTTTTGATATATAAAGCACTATTTTTAGTTCCTCCATCAGTTACTTTTGTAGCTTTAGGATGCTATTTGTAGGACCAGAATTGCATTTTCTTCACTGTGGTTCCAATGTCAATAACCCTTTGGGCCATTCAAAGGAGAATGTTCATACATCAGGCACAAATTTTTTTTTTTTTTTTTTGAGACGGAGTCTTGCTCTGTCACCCAGGCTGGAGTGCAGTGGCACGATCTCTGCTCACTGCAAGCTCTGCCTCCTGGGTTCACGCCATTCTCCTGCTTCAGCCTCCCGAGTAGCTGGGACTACAGCCACCTGCTACCACGCCCGGCTAATTTTTTTTTGTATTTTCAGTAGAGACGGGGTTTCACCATGTTAGCCAGGATAGTCTTGATCTCCTGACCTCGTGATCCGCCTGCCTCCGCCTCCCAAAGTGCTGGGATTACAGGTGTGAGCCACCGCGCCCAGCCTGCACAAATATATTTTTTGATTGCCACCAATGACTCATACTCCTGCCATGTATGTGGCTATATATATATATATATATATTTTTTTTTTTTTTTGAGACGGAGTCTCCCTTTATCACCCAGGCTGAAGTGCAGTGGTGCAATCTCAGCTCACTGGAACCTCTGCCTCCCAGGTTCAAGCAATTCTCCTGCCTCAGCCTCCCGAGTATCTAGGATTACAGGCACGCGCCACCATGCCTGACTAATTTTTGTATTTTTAGTAGAGATGTAGAGATGGGGTTTCACCATGTTGGCCAGGCTGGTGGAACTAATAAATGTCCATGAAATCTTCACAATCCATGTTCCTCTGCCATGGCTTCAGCCGGTCCCTCCATTTAGGGTCCCTGACTTCTCGCAACACTGACCTCAAGTGATCTGCCCGCCTGGGCCTCCCTAAGTGCTGGGATTACAGGAGTGAGCCACCGCATCCAGACTTGGCTCACTTGTGCGCTCTCTCTCTCTCTTTTTATCTATCTAATCTATCTATCTATCTTTTTAAAATCAATCTATCTATCTATCTTTTTTAAAATCTGGGCTCACCACAACCTCCACCTCCCGGGTTCAAGTGATTCTCCCACCTCAGCCTCCCGAGTAGCTGGGATTACAGATGTGTGCCACCACGCCCAGCTAATTTTTTTTCTTTTTTGAGACGGAGTCTCGCTCTGTTGCCCAGGCTGGAGTGCAGTGGCGCGATCTTGGCTCACTGCAAGCTCCGCCTCCCGGGTTCACGCCATTCTCCTGCCTCAGCCTCCCGAGTAGCTGGGACTACAGGCGCCCACCACCATGCCTGGCTAATTTTTTGTATTTTTAGTAGAGACAGGGTTTCACCATGTTGGCCAGGCTGGTCTCTAACACCTGCCTCGGCCTCCCAAAGTGCTGGGATTACAGGCATGAGCCACTGTGCCCAGCCTGGGGGTTTCTTTTTGAGGTAATGGAAATGTTCTGGAACAAGATGAAGATGATGGTTGCATAACAATGTGAATGTACTAAATGCCACTGAATTGTATACTTTAAATGGTTAGTTTTAGGTTATGTGATTATTACTTCAGTTTTTTTTTTTGTTTTTTTGTTTTTGTTTTTTTTTTTTTTTTTTTGAGATGGAGTCTTGCTCTGTCACCCAGGCTGGAGTGCAGTGGCACAATCTCGGCTCACTGCAAGCTCCTCCTCCCAGGTTCACGCCATTCTCCTGCCTCAGCCTCCCGAGTAGCTGGGACTACAGGCGCCCACCACCACACCCGGCTAATTTTTTTGTATTTTTAGTAGAGACAGGGTTTCACTGTGTTAGCCGGGATGGTCTCTATCTCCTGACCTCATGATCCACCCGCCTCGGCCTCCCAAAGTGCTGGGATTACAGGCGTGAGTCACCGCGCCCAGCTAATTATTACTTCAAATTTTTAAAGGGAAGAAGGGTCAGGAAAATGCATCCTAAGCTCTGTGTACATAAACAGAACCTGTCATTTTAGGGTGATCCATGAGAGACAGCTATTACTCCAGACTCAAGGGCCCCCAGATGATAAATGAGATCAGCCAAATCTCACACTCTAAGGGTCCTATTTCTCTGCAGTTTATCTCATTTCTTAAAAATAAAGGTTTTGGCCAGGCGCCCCCGTAATCCCAGCACTTTGGGAGGCCGAGGCAGGCAGGTCACTTGAAGTCTGGAGTTCAAGACCAGCCTGGCCAACATGGTGAAACCCCACCTCTACTTAAAATACAAAAATTAGCCAGGTGTGGTGGCAGGCGCCTGTAGTCCCAGCTACTCAGGAGGCTGAGGCAGGAGAATTGCTTGAACCTGGGAAGCAGAGGTTGCAGTGAGCTGAGATCACGCCACTGCACTCCAGCCTGGGGGACGAGCAACACTCTGTCTCAAAAAATTAAATAAATAAATGGGTTTCTTTTGTTTTTATGTAGTTGGTTTTTTTTTTTTTTTTTTTTTTTTTTGGTCTAAAGACCCAGTGGGGACAGGGATGACTAGTCTATATACAGCTGTTTTATTAATTCCCCCATTTGCAGCACACTTATCTCTTCCAACATTCATCAGTCAGATCAGAGTCCACGGTCTTTTCAAAATTTAGATAAACTGGCTTACATTTTGTAATGATGTCCCCAGACAACACCCCACTCCAACCCATTCTGTTTGTTACTATTAGTTTACAACATGCATGTGCCTTTACTTTCATTTTCATAGTATTTAAAAATGGAAGGGCACTCCCAAATTTACTTTAACCCCTTTAATAATCTCTCTCCTCCTGCTCTCTCTGGTCCTCCAGACAACTGTTGATTTACTTTCCTTTATGATGGATTAGTTTGCATTTTCTAGAATTTTATATGACTGACATATAAAGTTTTTATGTTTCTCCCCTTTGGGTTTCTTCATGTGGCATTTTTTTTTTGAGGTTTATCAATGATGCTTATATAAGTAGCTCATTCTTTCATACTGCTGAGAAGTATGCAGTTCTATGGGTATGCCACTGTTTGTTTAGTGAGCTGCTTCCAGTTTTTGGCCATTGCAAATAAAACTACCACAGACATCTGAATACCAAAACAAACAGAAGAAGCAGAGGTAGGGCAAAGGCATGTGCAGCCAACCATCTTGAAGTAGCAGTGTTAATAAATTTGTAAAAGAAAATTTGGTGTATTCTACTACAGTATCATAAAATTCAAAACTTTTAAACCACATTGTATTTATGACTAAAGATGCCATCAGTCATCTCTACATCATCAAAAAGGACAGCCTGGCCAACCTGGTGAAACCCCATTTCTCATCATCAAAAAGGACATAGAACCCATTTTTTTTTTTTTTTTTTTGAGACGGAGTCTGGCTCTGTCGCCCAGGCTGGAGTGCAGTGGCACAATCTCGGCTCACTGCAAGCTCCGCCTCCCAGGTTCACGCCATTCTCCTGCCTCAGCCTCCGGAGTAGCTGGGACTACAGGCGCCCGCCACTACGACCGGCTAATTTTTTGTATTTTTAGTAGAGACGGCGTTTCATTGTGTTGGCCAGGATGATCTTGATCTCCTGATCTCATGATCCACCCGCCCTGGCCTCCCAAAGTGCTGGGATTACACGTGTGAGCCACCGCGCCTGGCCAGGTTTATACCATCTTTATTTGGAGGTCAGCTGGCTTCATGAAAAAGTCCTTTGAAGAGAATGTCTTCTGTTTACAAATTGAAGCACACAGAAGTAGAGGTTTGGAGTCAAATTTTCAACTGTGCATTTATTGGCCTGGGCTTAGACATATTAAAAAGCAACACTTACTGAGAACATAACATAACCAGACATTTCTGCCAGGTGCTGTTAGGTAAAGAAAAAATATGGACCTCTATCTCAAAGAGTTTATATCCTAGTTTACAACTAATTGGCAAACACTGTAAGCACACACCAAGAAGAAGCACAGTGGTACAGAGGCAAGAGTGACAGACTCTGTCTGGGGATCAGGGAGGGATTCATGTAAACAAGGGGTAGAGGGTCAATCCTCTATTTCCGGGTTGGTGGATGGTGGTACCAACAATTAAGATAGAGAATCCAGGAAACCAAGCTTGATGGCATTAGAAAGATTTCTTGTAAAAAGAGGCAAGGTTATCTACAGACTCCTGGAAAGGATGGTGACAGAATTGAAGAGACTGTTAGCTTACCAGGAAAAGAAACTGCTAGTCAAAGAGAATAACTTTTCCAGATATAGACCACATTTTGTTCACAATTATAAGAACAGCTCTGTTTTCCTTTTAAAATCTCCAAACAAACCCCTTGCTCATCCTGCCTGTATTTTTCTCTATTTATGATCAATAACATGGTCATCACTGTGAAATCATTCATGTTTTTTTTTTTGAGACGGAGTCTCGCTGTGTTGCCCAGGCTGGAGTGCAGTGGTGCCATCTTGGCTCACCGCAAGCTCCACCTCCCGGGTTCACGCCATTCTCCTGCCTCAGCCTCCAGAGTAGCTGGGACTATAGGCGCCTGCCACCATGCCCGGCTAATTTTTTGTACTTTTAGTACAGACAGGGTTTCAACGTGTTAGCCAGATGGTCTCGATCTCCTGACCTCGTGATCCGCCCGCCTTGGCCTCTCAAAATGCTGGGATTACAGGCATGAGCCACAGCGCCCGGCCTGTTTTTGTTTTTTTGAGACAGAGTCTCGCTCTGTTGCCAAGGCTGGAGTGCAGTGGTGCAATCTTGGCTCACTGCAACCTCCGCTTCCCAGGTTCAAGCGATTCTCGTGCCTCAGCCTCCCAAGTAGCTGGAACTACAGGCATGCACCACCATGCCCAGCTAATTTTTGTATATTTAGTAGAGACAGGGTTTCACCATGTTAGCTAGCTGGTCTTGAACTCCTGACCTCAGGTGATCCGCCTGCCTTGGCCTCCCAAAGTACTGGGAATACAGGCATGAGCCACTGTGCCTGGTGGAAATCATTCATGTTTATAAAGATTTAAACTTTATAAAAGTTTAAAGTTTAGATAGAAAAGGAACTTCATGTTTGACAGTTCATGTCAGTTTAAGAAATAAAGTTAGAGGGCAGATACATTTCAGGAGGAGCAAAATACTCCTCATTCTGCACCTTTTTCAAATCTTTCCTACAATTCTTCCCTCTTTGGGGAAGACAAATCTAATCCTTCAAATTTTTCCTAGAGCAGCAAGGGCAAAGAAAAAAAAAAAGATAATTAGATTGGAGCAAGGCAAAATTAAAGTACGGAGGTGTCTCAATAACAAGAACCCCCAAAACAAGTAAACACTAAGTAGTGCTATTAACATAGGCATAAGACCAAACATTGCAGTCAACCACAAATACAGGTACAAACAAGCTATTATTTCCCTGTATCTTTTTCCCGGCTCCAATTCAAAGTTCATTTTGTGTTGTTTTTACTTTTCTTTTGGTGGGTCCCAGGAGAAGAGAACCAGAGGCTCTAGGGGAAGGTAAAATAATCCAAAGTATATGACCCAATATCATACGCACACTCAGACGCACCAGTCAGCAATACATTGCCCAGAACCATCCTCAATGTGTAGGCTCCTACCCTATGATTCAAGACACACAACCCTGAGAATGTGTTTTAAGGAACCAAGACAAATAACACTCCCATCCTTCCACTTTTGCCCCGCTTCTACCATGACCAAGCAAAATCGATTTGAACATTCATGTTCCAGGCACTTTATCTGCATTATCATCACATTTAATGTTGTGAAGGAGGTGTTATCATTATTTTACAGATGAGGAAACTCAAGCATAGAGATGCTGACAGACTTATCTGAGGTCATATTATATTAAATGGAAAAAATGGGACTGGAACCCAATCATCTGACCACTAGCCCAGACTCTGGACAAGGCCCAACAGACATAAAAGTCATATCCATAAAGACATTCACAACAATGTAACCAGTCCCCCAACAACTGTAATACATAGGTACTCACTTAAATGCCCAATGCAGAAAGCTTAAGCAAATTACAGTTCAAAAACAAGATGGCATGCTACACAGCCATTTAAAGTATTTATGAGGACAAAGTAAAAATGGGGAAATGTTTGAAATATACATGAAAAAAGCAGAATGCATAAAATACATATATCTACTGATTATTATAATGCAATGTCTACCAGGGCAGAGATTTTTGTCTGTTTTGTTTACAGTTATTTTTCCTGTTATGTGCCTGGCACAGGAACATAACAGGAGGCGTAGTAGGTTCTCAATAAATACCCAATATTGGTTGAATGAAATACTGAACAATAATGCTATGTATGAATATGGACAAGAGCTGAAGGATGATAAGCAAGCAAGAAAACTTATTTTAGGTTAATGAAAACATGAATGATATTATTTTCTTAAATACTGTAGTAACATCTTGACAAAAAAATTTATAAACTCAAGATTAAAATATAAATGTCAAAAAAAAACAAACACACACAAATACCGTATCACCCCTTGATTACACATGACTTCCATGTTTCCTGAGGTAGACAGAAAGCACAACAAAAAGACTAGAATGAAAGCTGGCCTTGAATCTGATGAAGAGCTTCTTTTCTGGAAGATGATGAGCATGTTTTGTATGGTATCAGGTACACAGCGATGACAATAACTTTTCTAAGCTGGCAAGACAAGGACATCTTTGCACCATTTGTATTTAGGCCATTCTCAATGTCACTCTGGACATTTCTCATCGCCTTTTAAAAATGAATTTACACATCAGTAAACACACCTCAGACTTCTGGACTAAAACACTGTGAAACATGTTAACAAACCTATTAACGGCCAGCTATTTGAAACGCAGGAATTTAACCTAAGTTCTACTTAGATAGAGGCATGCAAAGACAGCTCACATCAGATCACAAAAATAGAAATCAGAGGGCTGCTCAGCACACAAACACTCAGTGTAACCAGGCCCAGCTTGAAGATACTTTCCCATGAGTAGTAGCAACAATAATAACAACAACAACAACAAACCATTATTGGTCAATTAATGACTGTAAGTAAATAAAAATAGAATGATCTTAAAATTCAGCTATATCAGAATAAAAGAAAATTGATTTAATAATTAAAGTTTTCACCAGATACTTGTTATCTTTTAACTTGGCATTATATAAGTATTTAGTACCAATTAAGAAAATGGCTAAAATAATGTATTTTGTTGTTATGAACACCAATTGATCACGTTACAAGTGAAAAAGGCAAAAAAGCCAGGTTGTTTTGAACACAGGACTATAAAGACTTCGGCACTTAAGAGTCAGAAGCCCTGACAACTCATTACTATTCATCTACAGAGGGGAAAAATTATCCACAGCAGAATCTTAGAGAGATTTTCCAGTCACATTTTGCTAAAGAGCAAACACCAGATTTTTAAAAAAATTCACAAAAGAGTATGGCAGAATAGAGTGTTCTAGGAAATATTTTCATAGCTTTACTGCAGTTAATACAGCAATTCATAAAGCAAGAAGAAATGTAGTAAAAACATTTGTGATAATTGGCATATTTCTCCAATCCTATCTGGGGAACAGGCTTAAAAAGTGAGCAATAGGGACAGGCGCGGTGGCTCACACCTGTAATCCCAGCACGTTGGGAGGCTGAGGCGGGTGGATCATGAGGTCAGGAGATCGAGACCATCCTGGCAAACAAGGTGAAAGCCCGTCTCTACTAAAAATACAAAAAAATTTAGCCGGGTGTGGTGGCGGGCACCTGTAGTCCCAGCTACTTGGGAGGCTGAGGCAGGAGAATGGTATGAACCCGGTAGGCGGAGCTTGCAGTGAACCGAGATCGTGCCACTGCACTCCAGCCTGGGTGACACAGCGAGAGTCCGTCTCAACTAAAAAAAAAAAAAAAAAAAAAAGTGAGCAATATACTTCACTATGCCACACATGTGCTGAATAAGTTTTAAAAATCTATTTAAATACCTATTTAAAATCCTAGGCTCAGTGTGGTGGCTCACGCCTGTAACCCCAGCACTTTGGGAGGCTGAAGTGGGTGGATTGTCTGAACTCTGGAGTTTGAGACCAGCCTGGGTAACATGGCAAAACCCCGTCTCTACCAAAAACACACACACACACACACACACCCCCGGGCATGTGGTGCGCACCTGTGATCACACACACACACACACACACACACACACACACACACACACACACACACACACCCGGGCATGTGGTGCGCACCTGTGGTCCCAGCTATTTGGGAGGCTGAAGTAGGATTGTTTGAGCCTGGGAGTTGGAGGCTGCAGTTAGCCAACATCGTGCCACTGCACTCCAACCTGAGTGCCAGAGTGAGGCGCTGTCTCAAAAACAAAAAATCCTATTAAAAACCTATTCCTATAGTTTACAAAACCTATTCCTTTCCACCAACAGCAAAGATGCTTGAGGCTACAATCATAATATTCCTTTCTACCTATACATCTTTGACCCTCATTCCAGCCCAGAAGATAACCCTCCCACTCCCATGCCCATTGCCCTGTGGAGCCAGGACTTCTATAACCTGCATTGCCCTTCTACACCACCTTCAAGGTCCTCTGGCCTCAACACAAAGCTCAGGTAGCTCACTACACCTCCTGGACTAGATCTAGCTCAAAGTGGCCTATTTCTTTCCCCTCCTGAAGCAATGGGGTGGGTCCCTGAACAACATTCACTTCTCCTGCCCACACCCCTAACATGATGCTAAGATGAGGGCACTAGGAGAAAAAGACTCTTGACCCATCACAAACCAAAGCCAGCTCCACAGTCATGATCCTGCCTGGGCTTTGTCTGGGGCTCTGGCTGAGCCTCTTCCTGAGCAGCTTGTCAGCAAATATCTCAAGAGTTCCATGGAATGGTAATTAAAAGGACTCACTGAATAACTGAAAAAAATTATTGGCTAACTACTGCACATTTTGTAATAAAAATGCTTATGGTTACAAGAAGGACCTCTTTCATCTATAAAGACAAAATAATCTTTGTATAAGTCTCATATAAAAATACACTGTAGAAAAAGGTAACTTTGTTTTCTTTAAAGACTCATACATGATCACTAAAATTACTTATTCCCCAGAGATCCCCTCCTCCTACAACACAACACCTCACTTGGCAATCATTTCATCTCATTTGACTATTCCATTTGTGATTTGTGTAGGATAGTTCATTCTCAAATAATGCTTCTGTTTTGCCACTATTTGAATGCCAGCAGCTTCCCCACCACACTAACAGATAAGCATTTTCTCTGTTCTCTATCTTGAGCCCTTGATCTGATTTTCTGGGCACCTTCCTCTCTCAATAATGACTTTACTCATAGACTGGTCCCAGAACATATACAGGAAGTTACCCTCTGACATCAGGGCCCTCATTAAACTAAAAGCCCAGTGTCCCAGACAATTGTGATTTTTCTTTTTCTTTTTTAGACAGAGTCTTGCTCTGTCACCCAGGCTGGAGTACAGTGACACGATCTCAGCTCACTGCAAGCTCCGCCTCCTGGGTTCACGCCATTCTCCTGCCTCAGCCTCCTGAGTAGCTGGGACTACAGGTGCCCACCACCACGCCTGGCTAATTTTTTGTATTTTTAGTAAAGACAGGTTTTTCACTGTGTTAGCCAGGGCTCTCCTGACCTCGTGATCCACCTGCCTTGGCCTCCCAAAGTACTCGGATTACAGGCGTGAGCCACCGCACCCGGCTGAAAATTGTGATTTTTCTACTTAAGACACTTTACTCAGCTAACTCAGGAGGCTGAGGCAGGAGGATCACTTGAGGCCAGGAGTTTGAGATCAGCCTGGGCAACATAGTGAGATTCTGTATCTTAAAAAAAAATTTTTTTTGCAGCTTTTTGAGTCCACTTAAAAATTTTTTCTCTTTTTTTTTTTTGAGACAGAGTCTCACTCTGTTGCCCAGGCTGGAGTGCAGTGGTGCGATCTCATCTCACTGCAACCTCTGCCCGCGGGTTCACACCCATTCTCCTGCCTCAGCCTCCTGAGTAGCTGGGACCACAGGCATGTGTCACCACACCCGACTAATTTTTTGTTTGTATTTTTAGTAGAGATGGGGTTTCACCGTGTTAGCCAGGATGATCTTGATCTCCTGACCTCGTGATCCACCCGCCTCGGCCTCCCATAGTGCTGGGATTACAGGCGTGAGCCACTGCGCCTGGCCAAAATAAATTTTTGTTTAATTAGTTGCACGCACCTGTAGCCCCAGCTACTTGGGAGGCTGAGATGGGAGGATAGCTTGGAACCCAGGAGTTTGAGGGTACAGTGAGCTATGATCATGCTACTGCACTCCAGTTGTGAGACAGGGCAAGAGCTCATCTCTAAAAAAATTTTTTTTTAAATAATAATTTTTAAAAAGAGACTTCAAATCCCAAATGGCAGTAAAAGGCTTAATTTTATGCTATACTATAAATAATCCACATGCAACTGCCTGGACACAACAAAATGAGTACACAGACATGAGAATCAAGTGAAAAATTTAAGCCACTCCTCAAACTTGGATAGTTTTTACTCATAGACTAGAATTCGTAAGGCTATAATTTTCAATTACATACACACAACATTTTCTACAAGCCACAGAACTTAAATTACATTAAAAAATTAAATGTTTCAATATGCCACAGAATTGTGCAATCAGCACTACGACCAATGGGATATCAGTAGTGATCTGGGTGACTATCACTATCAATCACACTTTCAGAGACATGTGCAACAAGACAACCAGAGTAGCCGGAACACCATTGGGTAAACTAAGCACTTAAATTATTCCCTCTCATCCTCAAAAAATATTAATTACAAAAATAAAAACAGGCCAGGAGTGGTAGCTCATGCTTGTAGAGGAATTTGGGAGGCTGAGGTGGGAAGATGGCTTGAGGCCAGGAGTTTAAGACCTAGGCAACATAGCAAGACCCCATCTCTACCAAAAAAAAAATTTTTGTTGTTTTGAGATAAGGTCTTGCTCTGTAGCCCAAGCTGGAGTATAGTGGGGGCAATCTCAGCTCACTGCAACCTCCGCTCCCAGGCCCAAGTGATCCTCCCACCTCAGCCTCCTGAGTAGCTGGGACTACAGGAACATGCTAGCACGCTCAGCTAATTTTTGTATTTAAAATATAATTTTAAAAATATAAGTAAATAAAAACAATGCTAGCTTGTATCTTGCCTCAAAGAAAAAACTTTGTATATGATTCCTTCTCCTTTACTCTTAAGCAAGCTGCTTTTCTGTCCAGTCTCTTTGGTCAAGTTTCTGAATCACTTAAAACACCAGAGTCCCTTTAGGTACAGTCAACCCAACCAAAAGAGCCACAACCTTTTTTTGCCCAGCCCCAGAAAGTAAATGGTGTTAACATATTTCTCAGTGAAGTGCAGAAGGGAAAAAATAAACTCTCAACATCTAAATTTTTGTGGATTATTTTCCTCTTTGCTCCATTTTCTCTTTAACCCTTTCATACTGTTTCAACTCTCTTCCTTCTCTTATTTATTCCCTCATCTCTGCTACAAGTTCTTTTTGCTCTTACTCTTCTCAGTCTTAAAGGCCAGAACAATGCCCTTTCATTTCATTTCCAACAGGAAACAAAATGTATCAGGGACTAGGAAATCTAGCTCACACCCACAGCAGCAGCTGCTACTATCACCAACAATCAACAAAATCCACAAGTATCCAAGCAATTATTCAATACCTACTGTAGATGAAATAGTGTGACAAGAATGATGGAGGAGATAAGGTACAAGACAGTTATTGCTCTCCAAGAACTGACAATCTAGTTGGAGAGATCATGCCAAAATGTGTGAACAGGTAAAACATAAAGCAGTCAGAAGACTGCAGTACATAACCTAAAAAAATAAACGAGCTGTATTCTTTGGACACAGACCAAAGAAGGCATGGCCACTGTGCTCTAGGGTCTCTCAAGGAAACTCACTCAGAGAAAGCATGAGCTAGACTCTGAGGACTCCTAAGGGCAGTAAGAGATGAGGCGGCGAAGGGAAAGCTTTCCAGGAGGCTGACCATGTATAAGAAGGAAGAATGTAAAACAGTAAATTTTATGTTACATATATTTTACCACAATTAAAAAACAAAAAAAAAAAGGAAGGAAGGAAGGACGGACGGACGGACGGACAGGTGCTTGGGCCCCTCAGCTGTCTCTAGCAGGGCAGAAAAAGCCAGCACAGAGGCTTGACAATCTGAGAATTCTTGTGTATAGACAGGAACATCCTCATGAACTTGGTCAACTGACACTGTCCAGAGCATGGTTACACACTACATAATTCCTAATATTATTTTTTCTAACCTAACATTATGAACATATCCTTTTCTTATTTTAAATACCAACATTGTATATAACCTGACAGTATGACTAAAGCAAAAGAAAACTATTGATCAACAAGGGAGAGGTGTGCATGGTGAGGAAGAGAAACCCGATTATTGTTTTCTACCAGGGAAATGCCCTCTGGAGGCAGGGGTCCAGCAGCTTTGTTATAGCCATAGTGCAGAAATCCCAAACCCAGAGGATCCATAGGTCCTCATTCTTCAGAGTTTTCTGCTCAGCACAAGACAGGAAGTCTACAATCACTTCTAGAAATTAGTCACACAAAAAAAAAAACAACTTAGCTTTCAGCTTCCAGCCAGTTGCTAATAAAGACCTGAGTATCTAAATTCAAGGTATTAGCCTTTGCCAACCATCTGGGGAAAAAAAAAAAAATCCCTAAACTAGTAGATAAAGCAAATTTTATAGAAATCATACAAGGCACACCTTAGTTATTTCTGTTTAAGTTCCAATAAAATTTATTTGGTTGACATCATGCCAAGGTGCCCTTTTGACCTCCAATTTAATCAGAAACAAAATCCAAGTAACAATTCATGAAAAAAGATTAGTGAAAACACTAAAGAGAAATATTTCCAATTTCCCATAATGGCCAGTGTTAGAGAAGGAAACATGCTTGTTGGGAAACTGTCAAAATGATCATAAAAAATGTAAATAGGATAATAACTGGCCTAAGGTACAAGACATCCAAAGGTATGTTTTAGCTTATGTGTTAAATAAAATGCTTGCTGATGGGGTAATCAACTTTGTTCATTCTTTACAATTTCCATACTAACACCCCCTAAATCAATGAAATACAAGCATAAGAAAGAATTATTATTAAAATCAGTACATGAAACAAATGAGCTCATTAGCCCAAAGGCAATGACTATTCAGGGCAAACCAGAGGGATCTGTATACTCTCAAGACATTTATCAGTCACTCACAGTCGTACAGAAGATGGTGATTCTGATGCTTATTGTATCAACCTCATAAAATTCTGAAAACTCACTTCCTGAAACGTGCAAAGTTGTGCAATTCTGCTACTACACATTTCTGGTATGGTACATCTTTCTTGAATCTGTCCCACCCCTACTTTCTAATTCTTACTAATTTGGGAATCTGAGGACCTTAGACATGCATATATTAGAAAACAAAGTAAATGTAACAAAATGTCCAAATGATGTTGACATACACTTAAATTTGGTTTCAAGCTACAAGGCCATTCAATTAGTCTGGAGGAGACATTAATTAACAACAGCTCATCCTTAGATTTAACTGGGGGGGATTACACTGGAGTTTACAACACTGCTCACCTTTAGGACAGAAGCTAAGCTGGTCATGTGCTCATTGAGGGCACCCTCAGATTCCTTGTAGGTCAAGCAAGTGAACTGGTACTCCTCGGGATCAAAGGCATCAGCCCCCTGCTGCTCCACATCGCTGGCTACTCCCACGTAATAGTCCTCTATGTCCCCAGGGTCGTCTTCTTCTTCTTCTTCCTCTTCCTCACAATTTGGGTCATAGTCCTCTTCATTGCTGTCAGACCCCTGGCTATTCATGTCCACTGACATCTTAGCATCCAGCCAAGTTGCAGATCAGGAAAGCAGTTGCTTTTTCCCCCTCCCCCCAAAACTACCGCTTTCTCAAATGCATTAGTATTTTTGTCTTCTAAGGGAGGAAAAAAAAAATAAGTGTTACTTTTTCCCCATGACAAGTTGTAACAGAAACCATTCAAGAATCAAAATGGGACAGTCCTGGCCCTAATCTCACTACAGCCTATTCCAACTCTGGTATCACATGGGGAATCTTACTATCATCCCCCTGGCCCAGGCTTATAAAAGGGAAATCCTTCCCTGGAGAGACAGAAGCAGCTAATAAATGGTAACTTCACATGAAAGGCCTGGCATGACAGGGCAAGGCTGTCTGCTCTATGTCAGAAAGTCAAATTCCAATGAACTTGTTATTCTTGCCAAAGTCCTTAAGGGAGAAGCACATCCCCACAGCTGGCAGCCCAGAGGGGAGGCAACATAAAGGTTTAACTACCAAAGTTTAAAATTTTGCTTATCATGCCCCGTTAGTATTGATACAGACAGTACATAAATAGGAACACTTCCTGCTGTAATATGTAGAAAAAGAAAACCACTGTTTCACAGACATTACTTTTAGGTGTCTGAAAAATAGGTGCATAGTTGGTAAAGAAAAAAAAAACACACATAGGTGTTCAACATCCTCCTCTAGTCTGCAAAGTTGACTGATTTTTCAGGTTTAAAGAGTTCTACTGGCCGGGTGTGGTGACTCATGCCTGTAATCCCAGCACTGTGGGAGGCTAAGGTGGGTGGATCACTTGAGGTCAGGAGTTCAAGACCAGACTGGCCAACATGGCGAAACCCCATCTCTACTAAAAATACAAAATTAGCCAGGTGTGGTGATATGCACCTGTAATCCCAGCTACTCGGGACGCTGAGGCAGGAGAATCACTTTAACCCGGGAGGCAGAGTTTACAGTGAGCCAAGATTGCGCCACTGCACTCTAGCCTGGATGACAAGAGTGAAACTCCATTGGCCGGGTGCGGTGGCTCACGCCTGTAATCCCAGAATTTTGAGAGGCTGAGATGGGTGGGTCACCTGAGGTCAGGAGTTCGAGACCAGCCTGGCTAATATGGTGAAACCCTGTCTCTACTAAAAATACAAAAAAATTAAGCAGGCGTGGTGACAGGCACCTGTAATCCCAGCTACTTGGGAGGCTAAGACAGGAGAAACGCTTGAACCCAGGAGGCGGAGGTTATAGTGAGCTGAGATTGCGCCACTGCACTCCAGCCTGGGCAATAAAAGCGAAACTCCGTCACACACACACGTACACACATACACACACACACACACACACACACGAGGGAAACTCCATCTCAAAAAAGAAAAGCCCGCAAACAGCGAAATGTTACTTAATTACATATAAACGAAAAGAGAATACTAGTTGAGAAAGTGAAACAGTCACAAACCCTAACTTCAACTCACAGAAGATTGTGGCAAACACCCATTAACTTTTCTACACAACTACCATTTCAACTGATGAGCTGAAAGGAACAATATCAACTAGCGATTTAAATCTAAAACTAGGCCAGGTGCGGTGGCTCACGCCTGTAATCCCAGCACTTTGGGAAGCCAAGGCGGGTGGATCACGAGGTCAGGAGATCAAGAGCATCCTGGCCAACGTGGTGAAACCCCATCTCTACTAAAAATACAAAAATTAGCTATACGTGGTGGTGCGTGCGTGTAATCCCCAGCTACTCAGGTGGCTGAGGCAGGAGAATCACTTGAACGAGGGAGTCGGAGGTTGCAGTGAGCCGAGATCCCGCCACTGTACTGCAGCCTGGCAACAGAGTGAGACTCCATCTCAAAAAAAAAAAAAAAATCTAAAACTAATAGAACCTTAAAGTGTAAGAGCATTTGGATTTAACAGTACATAAACAATTTATATAAACAAATCTTGATTAAATACAAAAGCAAATATAAAGTCTACTTGAAGTAGGTAATCTGTCTGAAAAAAAACAACCAACCATAATCTAAAACAAAGACTGAGGGTGTGGCTCACAACTATAATCCCAGAACTTTGGAAGGCTGAGATGAGAGGATCCCTTGAGGCCAGGAGGTCAAGATCCACCTGAACAACCTAGTGAGACCATGTCTCTACAACACATTTAAAAAAAAAAAAAAAGAAATCAGCTGGGCGCGGTGGCTCATGCCTGTAATCCCAGCACTTTGGGAGGCCGAGGCAGGTGGATCACGAGGTCGGGAGATCGAGACCATCCTGGCTAACATGGTGAAACCCCGTCTCTACTAAAAATACAAAAAATTAGCCGGGCATAGTGGCAGGCGCCTGCAGTCCCAACTACTGGGGAGGCTGAGGCAGGAGAATGGTGTGAACCCGGGAGGCGGAGCTTGCAGTGAGCCGAGATCGCGCCACTGCACTCCAGGCTGGGCGACAGAGCGAGACTCCGTCTCAAAAAAAAAAAAAGAAAAAAAGAAAAAAAATCCCGGCACTTTGGGAGACCAAGGTGGCCAGATCACCTGAGGCCAGGAGATTGAGGCCAGCCTAGCCAACATGGCAAAATCCCATCTCTACTAAAAATACAAAAATTAGGCTGGGCGCAGTGGCTCACACCTGTAATCCCAGCACTTTGGGAGGCCGAGGCAGGCAGATCACGAGGTCAGGAGATCCAGACCATCCTGGCTAACACGTGAAACCCCATCTCTACTAACAATACAAAAATTAGCTAGGCATGATGGCATGCACCTGTAATCCCAGCTACTCAGGAGGCTGAGGCAGGAGAACTGCTTGAACTCGGGAGACGGAGGTTGCAGTGAGCAGAGATTGCACCACTGCACTCCAGCCTGGGCAACAGAGCGAGACTCAATCTGAAAAAATAAAAAAATAAAAAATAAAAAATAAATTAGCTTGGCAGGGTGGTGCACACTTGCAATCCCAGCTACTTGGGAGGCTGAGGCAGGAGAATCACTTGAACCAGGGAGGAGGTTGCAGTGAGCCAAGATCATGCCACTGCACTCCAACCTGGGCAAGAGTGAGACACTGTCACACACACAAAAAATAAACAAATAAATAAAATAAGACAGGCATAGCGGTCATGCGTCTGTAGTCCTGGCTACATCGAAGAACTGCTTGGGCCTGGAAGGTCAAGGCTGCAGTGAGATCGTGCCACTGCACTCCAGCCTAGGCAACAGAGAGATTCTGTCTCCAAAAATAATAATAATAATAATAATAATTCAGGTAAATAATCTTCTACTTAAAAAAAAAAGGCCCACGTACAGTGGCTCACATCTGTATCAGTGGCTCACGCCTGTATCATAATCCCCACACTTTGGGAGGCTGAGGCTGGAGGATCATTCAAAACCAGGAGTTCCAAACCAGCCTGGGTAACATAGTGACACTCACGTCTACCAAAAGGAAAAAGAATTTGTAACCAGTCTAAAAGACTATGGAGTACTGAGACATAGTATCACTCTGTCACCCAGTCTGAGATATAAAAACATGATCATGGCCCACTGCAGCTTCCAACTCCTGAGCTCAACAGATCCTCCTGCCTCAGCCTCCTGAGTAACTGGGACTACAGGCATATGCCACCCCCATACCTAATTTTATTTTTTGTATAAACAGGGTTTTACTATGTTGCTCAGGCTGGTTTCAAACTCCTGGCCTCAAGCGATCCTCCTGCGTTGGCCTTACAAAACGCTGGGATTATAGGCAAGAGCCACTGTGCCCAGCCTACAGTCACATTTTTATATAATAAAAATATTGGCGAGGCGCGGTGGCTCACACCTGTAATCCCAGCACTTTGGGAGGCCGAGGCGGGTGGATCACCTAAGGTCGGGGGTTCAAGGCCAGCCTGACCAACATGGAGAAACCCCGTCTCTACTAAAAACACAAAATTAGCTGGGCGTGGTGGCACATGCCTGTAATCCCAGCTACTCAGGAGGTTGAAGCAGGAGAATGGATTGAACCCCGGAGGCAAAGACTGCAGTGAGACAAGATTGCATCATTACACTCCAACCTGGGCAACAAGAGGGAAACTCTATCTTAAAAAAAAAAAAAAACACTCACTATATCTAAGTTGATATGTTAACTATAAATGCTCCCATTTCTAAAAATTAAAAAAAAAACCCTATTAATTGTGGGGCAATAAAAATAATGTTTGCAGTCTGACCTTTTTTTTTTTTTGAGACAGAGTCTCACTCTGTCACCCTGGCTGGAATGCAGTGGCACGATCTCAGCTCACTGCAACCTCTGCCTTCCGGGTTCAAGCAATTCTCCTGCCTCAGTCTCTCAGTAGCTGGGATTACAAGCACATGCCACAATGCCCAGCTAATTTTTTTTGTATTTTTAATAGAGATAAGGTTTCTTTTTTTTTTTTGAGACGGAGTCTCGCTCTGTCGCCCAGGCTGGAGTGCAGTGGCGGGATCTCGGCTCACTGCAAGCTCTGCCTCCCGGGTTCACGCCATTCTCCTGCCTCAGCCTCCCAAGTAGCTGGGACTACAGGCGCCCGCCACTACGCCCGGCTAATTTTTTGTATTTTCAGTAGAGACGGGGTTTCACCGTTTTAGCCGGGATGGTCTCGATCTCCTGACCTCGTGATCCGCCCACCTCAGCCTCCCAAAGTGCTGGGATTACAGATGCAAGCCACTGTGCCTGGCCAGCAGTTTGACTTTTAACAAACTCTTCTGTATGGTAGAGCCACATAATCACAACTAAACTTAACGATGGTGTTTTTTCTTTAGGAGAAAAAGTTAATCTTTAAATTAAAGATACCTGTAATTCTTGGAGATCTCTCAGGCAGATGTCACCCAAGTATTCTACATAATATGATTTCCATCTAAAATGAAAAGAATTATATTTATATTTTTAAAGCTGGTATACTGCTTTTGCAAGTTTATTTTTTTTTTAAAGCAAAGGTATTTTAAAGGACAAGTAACAAGGGACAGAGTAACTATTAAATTAATTATCTTCTTTTAAAGTGCCAACAAAAAAAATCCATGACATAATTATATTGACAAGAGTTACATGACCTTCTAAAAAAAGAAAGTATTCAGCTGGGTGTTGTGGCTCACGCCTGTAATCCCAGCACTTTGGGAGGCCAAGGCAGGTGGATCACCTGAGGTCAGGAGTTCGAGCACCTGTAATCCCAGCTACTCGGAAGGCTGAGGCAGGAGAATCACTCCAACCAGGGAGGCAGAGGTTGCAGTGAGGTGAGATCGCGCCACTGCACTTGAGCCTGGGTGACAAGAAAATTCGTCTCAAAAAAAAAAAAAAGAAAGTAATCTAAGTAAACAGGTAGCAATAATTTAATCTCAATTCTCTCTCTCAGTTTGAAAGACCACTTCTTTTTTTTGTTTGTTTGAGACAGGGCCTCCCTCTGTCACCCAGGTTGGAGTGCAGTGTTGCCATCTCAGCTCACTGTAACCTCCACCTCACCCAGCTGAAAGCCTGCTTCTTTACTCCAGTATTTCTGTCCTTCAGATTCTCAACTACCACAATTTCAATCCTAAATGTTATGTAGATGTTGACCAAGCAAATTGTAACTGACTTAAAATTTAACTTTTACTACAAAATCACCTCCACTGTGGTAATCTAACACAGAATAATGCTAATATTTCAGATCTCACTTTACTCATGCTGTCGTGGCTCATTTATGTCACATTACTCATAAATGTCGTGGTGGTGCATGCCTGTAGTCCCAGCTACTTGGGAGGCTGAGGTGGGAGGATTTCTTGAGCACAGGAGGTTGAGGCTGCAGTGAGCCAAGATCACGCCACTACACTCCAGTCTAGGCGACAGAGTGAGACCCTGTCTTCAAAAAAGAAAAAAAAAAAGAAAAATTCCAGGACCACGTGTGGTGGCTCATGCCAGTAATCCCAGCACTTTGGTTTGGGAGGCCAAGGTGGGTGGACGGCTTCAGCTCAGGAGTTCAAAACAAGCCTGGGCAACATGGTGAAACCTCACTGCTACAAAAAACACAAAAATTAGCCAGGAATGGTGGCGCATACCTGTAATCCCAGCTACTCGGGAGGCTACGGCAGGAGAATTGCTTGATCTGGGAGATGGAGGCTGCAGTGAACCGAGACTGCACCACTGCACTCCAGCCTGGGCAACACAGTGAGACTCCGTGTCAAAAAAAAAAAAAAAAAAAAAGAAATTGCCCACAGGCTTTTCACCAACCAAATATTTAGGTGGGGAAAACTCCAGGCTCCTCCAAAAAAAAAAGAGAGAGAACTCCATTTCATACTAAATGTTCTAGGTGCAGATTTAAATGAAAATTTAATTTTTAATTATCTCAAAGTTAAATACCCAAATTCTACTTGAAAAAGTGGGCCGGGCACGGTGGCTCACGCCTGTGATCCCAACACTTTGGGAGGCTAAGGTGGCAGATCACAAGGTCAAGAGTTCGAGACCAGCCTAATCAACATGATGAAATCCTGTCTCTACTAAAAATACAAAAATTAGCTGGGCGTGGTAGCATGCGCCTATAATCCCAGCTACTCAGGAGGCTGAGGCAGGAGAATCGCTTGAACCCAGGAGGCGGAGGTTGCAGTGAGCCGAGATCGCGCCACTGCACTCCAGCCTGAGAGACAGAGCGGGACTCAAAAATAAAAATAAATAAATGAAAGAAAGAAAAAGTGCTGATCTTGTTCCAAGGGGACAATATTTCTTTTCTTTTCTTTCTTTTTTTTTTTTTTTGAGAGTCTTGCTGGAGTGCAGTGGCGCGATCTCGGCTCACTGGATTACAGGCGCCCGCCACCATGCCTGGCTAATTTTTTGTATTTTTAGTAGAGATGGGGTTTCACCGTGTTAGCCAGGATGGTCTCGATCTCCTGACCTCGTGATCCGCCCGCCTCGGCCTCCCAAAGTGAGGAGGATTATTTGAGTCCAGGAGATTGCAGCGAGCCATGATCACGCCACTGCCCTCCAACCAGCCTGGGTGTAATCCCAGCTGTAATCCCAGCTACTCGGGAGGCTAAGGCAGAACTGCTTGATCTGGGAGATGGAGGCTGCAGTGAACCGAGACTGCACCACTGCACTCCAGCCTGGGCAACACAGTGAGACTCCGTGTCAAAAAAAAAAAAAAAAAAAGAAATTGCTCACAGGCTTCTCACCAACCAAATATTTAGGTGGGGAAAACTCCAGGCTCCTCCAAAAAAAAAAGAGAGAGAACTCCATTTCATACTAAATGTTCTAGGTGCACATTTAAATGAAAATTTAATTTTTAATCATCTCAAAGTTAAATATCCGAATTCTACTTGAAAAAGTGGGCCGGGCACTTTTTCAAAAAAAATTTTTTTAAAGGTCATGCACAGTGGCTCACGCCTGTAATCCCAGCACTTTAGGAGGTCAAACCGGGAGGATAGCTTGAGCCCAGCAGTTCAAGACCAGCTTAGGCAACCTATTAAGATCACGTATCCACAAAAAATTTTACAAATTAGCCAGGTGTGGTGGTACGTGCCTGTGGTCCCAGCTACTTAGGAGGCTAAGAAAGGAGGATCACTTGAGCCCAGAAAGTCGGGGCTGCAGTTAGCTGTGATCGCCGCCACTGCACTCCAGCCTGGTGACAGCAACTTTGTCCCGCCCACCAAAAAAAAAAAAAAAAAAAATTTCCTCCAGAGCCAAAGTCACATGTTCAGGGGACCTAACAACCAACCATCCTGGGCTTGCCCACCACGCACAGAACACGTAAGTTTTAGTGAGTCTGAAGACGTTTACTCCAGATATGATCACTAGCGCTGAATTCAGGTCATTTACTAACTACACCTCCGAAGAAAAACGACTTGGCACAAAACTAGAAATCAGCAATTTCGTTTCAAAATCCTACACTTTGTATCTGTCTTTTCTAATACGGTGACCACTAGCCACATGTGGTTATTTAAATTTAATTACACTTAAAAAGTAAGTAAAATTTAAAATTTAGTTTCTCAGGTGCACTAGCCTACAGGTCAAATGCTTAACGGCCACGTGTGGCTAGTAGCTACCATGCTGAACAGCAAAGGTAAAGAACATGTCGCTATGACAGAAAGTTCTATGGGACCAGGCAATGAACAGTACTAAGGAGAAGTCATCCAAGAACGCGGCTGCCCAACCAGCTTCTGGCGAGGCGGCGGCACAGCTCCGGGGCCGCACATCCCTAGGGGCGCCGCGGGCTCCGGGATATTCGCGCGGACGCGGAGCCCGCGAGCTGGGGATACCCTCCACAGGCGGGCGTTAAACCGCGCGGGCAGCGCTGCGAGAGCTCCCAAAGATGACTCGAGTGGTGAGCCCCGAGGCGGCGCGTTTCCCCGCCGCGCCAGACAGGGAGAGAGGGCCTAGATGTGCCGGCGCCGGTTGGTCAGAGGCGGTGGCCTCTGACCTTTCCGAGAGCTGAGAAGGCGGCGGGAGGAAAAAAGGCAGACACACGCTGGGCGCCCGGCCGCTGACGGCGGGTAATGCTCGGACAACGTGCCGGCGACGGGGAGCGCCCGGGCCTCCCGGGCGACGGCGAAGGCGGAGTCCCGGCCCGGCCAGGGAGGCGCGCGGAGAGGCCCCCCCAGCGGCCAGCCAAGGTAAACAAGGCCGTGACGTGCGCCGCGCACTTACCGGGAGCTGCGGCCTCGCGGCCGCTGAGCCCGAACAAGCCAGACCGGGTCAGGCCGGGCCAGAGGGACCGGATTGGGGCGAAGCGGCAGCGGAGGCGGCGGGCCGACGCCGGTCAAGCCCGCGCTGCTTCCTCCAGAAGAGTCGTCCCCACAGCTCCGGAAGTGCTTGGCGCCGTTGCGTCACTTCCGGATCGGGGTCGACCCACGGTCGCTCGGGTCGCGACAGGCTCCCGGCTAGAGGGCCTGTTTAGCGCCGCCTCCTTGAAACTTAGCGCTCTGACCCAGAGTCTGACCAGGGTACGGCAGGCGCCGACCGCGTCTGGAGCCACTATTCGCCTACCAGCGTCTCCCGTCGAGATGTTTTTAACCAGCGCGTTTCTCACCGGCTTCTCATTTCACTGTTTGTACTCCGGGATCGGGCACGGAGAAGACATCCTGGCGTCAGTGGAGCAGATAACCATTGTTTCTCGGCCGCTATCTGGTCAGAGGGGAGCTGGGCCGGGAAATTCTGCCTACACCCCGAGGCGGTCGCAGGGTGGCCCCAGAGCCGCAACCACACCAGGCTTTCGCTTCCCCTGCCGAGGCCTCGTTCGCCGCGCAGTTCTCCGACTTACGGTCACCGTGCAAGATTGCATCTTAACTGCCTTGCTTGCAGTTTCTTTTCACAGTATAGGAGTTGTCATCATGACTTCCAGTTACCTTCTGGGACCGGTTGTCAAATGATGTGGCTAGAGACGGAGGCTCACTCAGATTGTTGCTGCACCACAATGGAAATGCCAGTATGAAGCCGCTGATGTTAGGAAGGCTCCAGGTTGTGCAATTCCATAGACAACAAATCAAATCATTTCCAACCATACTGGAGTCGCGTATATACATATTCAAGACACCTGTGCAGGCCGGGCGCGGTGGCTCAAGCCTGTAATCCCAGCACTTTGGGAGGCCGAGGCGAGTGGATCACGAGGTCAGGAGATCGAGACCATCCTGGCTAACACGGTGAAACCCCGTCTGTACTAAAAGTACAAAAAAATTAGCCGGACGTGGTGGCGGGCGCCTGTAGTCCCAGCTACTCGGGAGGCTGAGGCAGGAGAATGGCGTGAACCCGGGAGGCGGAGCTTGCAGTGAGTCGAGATGGCGCCACTGCACTCCAGCCTGGGCGACAGAGCGAGACTCTGTCTCAAAATAAAATAAAATAAAATAAAAAATAAAACAAATAAAGACACCTGTGCTGGCTGGTCGCTGTGGCTCATGCCTGTAATCCCTGCACTTTGGGAAGCCGAGGTGGGAGGATCGCTTGAGCCCAAGAATTTGATGTAGTGAGACCCCCCTCCTTTCTACAAAAAAATTAAAAATTAGCTGGGCGAGGTGGCACACACCTGTGCATCCCAGCTACTCAGGGGGCTGAGGTGATATAGGATCGCTTGAGCCGAGGAGGTCGAGGCTGCAGAGTGCCAAGATCGCACCACTGCAGTCCAGCATCGGTGATAGAAGGAGACCCTGTCTCAAAACAACAATAACAAACCATACAATGTAGAAAGCCATTAAAAATCATGCCGCGTGGCCGGGCACCGTGGCTCACGCCTGTAATCCCAGCACGTTGGGAGGCCGGAGCCGGCAGATCACGAGGTCAGGAATTCGAGACTGGCCTGACCAGCATGGTGAAACCCTGTCTCTACTAAAAATTTACAAAATTTGCCGGGCGTGATGGTGGGCGCCTGTAGTCCCAGCTACTCGGGAGGCTGAGGCAGGAGAATTGCTTGAACTCGGCAGGCGGAGGTTGCAGCGAGCAGAGATCGCGCCACTGCACTCCAGCCTGGGGGACAGAGCGAGACTCTGTCTCAAACAACAACAACAACAAAAACCTTGTCGGGTGGACTGCTCTGCCTATGGAGTAGCAATTACTTTTTTTTTTTTTTTTTTGAGACGGAGTCTCGCTCTGTCGCCCAGGCTGGAGTGCAGTGAGAGAGCCGCTATCTCCGCTCACTTCAACCTCCGCTTCCTGGGTTCAAGTGATTCTCCTGCCTCAGTCTCCCGAGTAGCTGGGACTACAGGCGCGCACCACCGCGCCCAGCTAATTTTTTTTTTTTTTTTTTTTTTTTGACGGAGTCTCTCTCTGTTGCCCAGGCTGGAGTGCAGTGGCGCGATCTAGGCTCACTGCAAGCTCCGCCTCCCGGGTTCACGCCATTCTCCTGCCTCAGCTTCCCGAGTAGCTGGGACTACAGGCGCCCGCCACCACGCCTAATTTTTTTTGTATTTTTAGTAGAGACGGGGTTTCACCGTGTTAGCCAGGATGGTAATTTTTGTATTTTTAGTAGAGACAAGGTTTCATCATGTTGGCCAGGATGGTCTGGATCTCTTGACTCCTTGATCCGCCCACCTCGGCCTCCCAAAGTTCTGGGATTACAGGCGTGAGCCACTGCTCCTGGTCTCCTTTGTTTCTTTACTTCTCTAATAAACTTGCTTTCACTTTACCAAAAAAAATGAAATAAATCATACTGGGTGGCAGGGCATGGTGGCTCAAGCCTGTAATCCCAGCACTTTGGGAAGCCAAGGTGAGAGGATTGCTTGAGCCCAGGAGTTGGAGACCAGCCTGGGCAACATAGTGAGATTCCATGTCTACAAAAAAAAGAAAAAGTTTTGGCCAGGTGTGGTGGCTCACGCCTGTAATCCCAGCACTTTGGGAGGCTGAGGCAGGTGGATCACTTGAGCCTAGGAGTTCAAGACCAGCCTGAGCAACATGGTGAAACCCCGTCTCTACAAAAAATACAAGTTAGCTGGATGTGCTTATAGCTCCACCTACTTGGGAGGCTGAGGTGGGAGGATCACTTAAGACCCAGGATGTGGAGGCTGCAGTGAGCAAGAGATCGGGCTACTGCACTCCAGCCTGGGGGACAGAGCCAGAACCTGTCTTCAAAAAAAGAAAAAAAAATGCTGTACTAAGGCACCTATTGACAAGGAAAGGTTATTTGTGATATACTCAAGTGATAAGAATAGGATAGGGGCCGGGTGTGGTGGCTCACACCTGTAATCCCAGCACTTTGGGAGGTGGAGGCGGGCGGATCGCCTGAGGTCAGGAGTTCCAGACCGGCCTGACCAACATGGCAAAACCCTGTCTCTACTAAAAAATACAAAAATTAGCCAGGCATGGTGGTGCATGCCTGTAATTCCAGCTACTCGGGAGGCTGAGGCAGGGAGAATAACTTGAACCCGGGAGGCGGAGGTTGCAGCGAGCCGAGATTGCACCACTGCACTCCAGCCTGGGCAACACAGTAGCTCTGTCTCAAAAAAGAAAAAGTAAATAAAATATGAATGCATATAAAATATACAAAGTCTCTCATGGTTTCTTTGGAACAGGAATCCAGACAAGCCACAATGGGAAGGTTTATCTCAGCTCCACAGCTGAGGGGGCCTCAGCAAGAAGACTCAAAGACTGGGGAGTGGAATCATAGGCAAAGTTGTTTACTCATACTTCTGGTGGGTGATGTCAGCTGGGGGCCTAGCTGGGGCTGTCAGCCAGAACATACACATGCATGATCTCTCCATGTGGCCTGTGCTTCCTGGTAACATGGTGGCTGGATTTGAAGGGCAAAGGTCTTTTTTTTTTTTTTTTTGAGACAGAGTATCACTCTATCGCCCAGGCTGGAGTGCAGTGGCATGATCTCAACTCACTGCAACCTCCTGGGTTCAAGTGATTCTTGTGCCTCAGCCTCCATAGTAGCTGAGATGTCAGGATGACAGGCGTGCACACCATGTTCAGCTATTTTTTCTGTTTTTTTTTCTTTGAGATGGAATTTTGCTCTTGTTGCCCAGGCTGCAGTACAATGGTGCGATCTCGGCTCACCACAACCTCCGCCTCCCGGATTCAAGCAATTCTCCCCGCTCAGCCTCCCAGGTAGCTAGGATTACAGGCATGCACCACCATGCCTGGCTAATTTTGTATCTTTAGTAGAGACGGGGTTTCTCCATGTTGGCCAGGCTGGTCTTGAACTCCTGACCTCAAGCCATCTGCCTGCCTCGGTCTCCCGAAGTGCTGGGATTACAGATGTGAGCTGCCAGGCCCAGTCAATTTTTGTATTTTTAGTAGAAATGGGATTTCACTGCCAGGCGCGGTGGCTCACACTTGTAATCCCAGCACTTTGGGAGGCCGAGACGGGCAGATTGCCTGAGGTCGGCAGTTCGAAACCAGCTTGCCCAACATGGTGAAACCCCGTCTCTACTAAAAAATACAAAAATTAGCCGGGCTTGGTGGTGGGCACCTGTAATCCCAGCTACTTGGGAGGCTGAGGCAGGAGAATTGCTTGAACCTGGGAGGTGGAGGTTGCAGTGAGCCAAGATCGCGCCACTCGTGCCACTGCACTCCAGCCTGGGCGACAAAGTGAGACTCTGTCTCGAGAAAAAAAAAAAAAAAAGAAAGAAATGGGGTTTCACCATGTTGGCCAGGCTGGTCTAGAACCCCTGGTCTCTAGTGATTTGCCTGTCTCAGCTTCCCAAAATTCTGGGATAACAGGTGTGAGCCACTCTGGCCGGCCAAGGGCAAGGGTCTTAAGAGAGTGAGAGCCAAGTGGAAGCCATGTTGCCCTTTGTGGCCTAACCTTCAAAGTCACACGGCATTACATCTGCCACATTTTATTAGTCAAAGCAGTTACAAAGATCCTCTCAGGTTCAAGGGGAGGGAATGCAGCTCCACCGTCAATGGAGAAACACCAACACTGCATTATAAGCAAAGCATATAAAATGAGATACAGGTTGGTGTAGCCATTTTTGGAAAATATGTGTCACAAAGCACATATTGCATATATCAGTATATCTCTCATCTTATTCATCTTTGTTTTTATTGAATTTAATTATGCAACTAATGTAATGATAACATGAAGTTGTAAAAATGTAATACAAGAATACTGATAGCAGCTTGTGAATACTCCCGTTAATATACTCCACCTTTCTTTTCTCCTATTTGGGGTTGTTGCCACTGTCCAGAGTTTGGTGTGCATCCTTCTAGGACACTTTCTATGCATCTAAATACAGTACATGTCGGCCGGGTGCAGTGGCTCATGCCTGTAATCCCAGCACTTTGGGAGGCCGAGGCAGACGGATCATGAGGTCAGGAGTTCGAGAACAGCCTGACCAACATAGTGAAACCCTGTCTCTACTAAAAATACAAAAATTAGTCAGGCATGGTGGCACATGCCTGTAATCCCAGCTACTCAGGAGGCTGAGGCAAGAGAATTGCTTGAACTCGGGAGGCAGAGGTTGCAGTGAGCCGAGATCGCTCCACTGTACTCCAGCCTGGGCAACAGAACAAGACTCTGTCTCAAAAAAATAAAAATAAAAAATAAATAAATAAATTCAGTGTATGTCTATATTTATAGCTACCCACACACACATTTACACAAAGCTTTTCATTAGTAACCTTTTCATTAGTAGCAGGCTATTGCAAATATCATTCTGCTGCTTTTTTCACTTAGTAGAAGCTGCTATTATTATCCCCATTTCACAAACAAGTGATCAAACTAAAGTACTTTTTTTTTTTGAGACGGTGTCTAGCTCTATTGCCCAGGCTGGAGTGCAGTGGCACAATCTTGGCTGACTGCAACCTCCACCTACCGGGTTCCAGCGATTCTCCTGCCTCAGCCTCCCATGTAGCTGGGATTACAGGCACGCACCACCATGCCTGGCTAATTTTTGTATTTTTAGTAGAGACAAGGATTCACCATGTTGGTCAGGCTGGTCTCGAACTCCTGACCTAAAGTGATCCACCAACCTCTGCCTCCCAAAGTGCTGCAATTACAGGCATGAGCCACCATGCCCATCCAAGCTAAGATTCTAACCCCAGGCATCTGAATCCAGAGCCTACCCTTTTGACAGTGCTGTAACCCTTCTGAGTATATAACAGTATAAATGTATTATATTTGAGCAGTCTCCAATTGCAAGTCATCTGTTTCCAATTTTGTTTTGTTTTGAGATAGAGTCTTACTCTGTCACCCAGGCTGGAGTGCAGTGGCGCTATATCGGCTCACTGCAACTTCCGCCACCCAGGTTCAAGCAATTCTCCTGCCTCAGCCTACCGAGTAGCTGGGACTACAGGTGCATGCCACCATGCCTGGCTAATTTTTGTATTTTTAGTAGAGATGGCGTTTCAGCACATTGGGCAGGTTGGTCTCGAACTCCTGACCTTGTGATCCACCCGCCTCAGCCTCCCAGTGCTGGGATTACAGGCGTGAGCCACTGTGCCCGGCTATCTGTTTCCAATTTTTCACAATTATAAAGAGTGTTTCAGTGAACACCCTTGGATGTAGTCCTTTTTTTTCCCTTTTCTTTCTTTCTTTCTTTTTCTTTTTCTTTTTTTTTTTTTTGAGACAGAGTTTCGCTCTTGTTGCCCAGGCTGGAGTGCAATGGCATGATCTCAGCTCACCACAACCTCTGCCTCCCGGGTTCAAGCGATTCTCCTGTCTCAGCCTCCGGAGTAGCTGGGATCACAGGCATGCACCACCATGCCCAGCTAATTTTGTATTTTTAGTAAAGACAGGGTTTCTCCATGTTGGTCAGGCTGGTCTCGAACTCCCAACCTCAGGTGATCCACCCGCCTAGGCCTCACAAAGTGTTGTGATTACAAGTGTGAGCCACCGTGCCTGGCCCTCTTTTTTCTTTTGAGATGTAGTCTCTCTCTGTCACCCAGACTGGAGTGCAGTGGTGCAGTCACTGCAGCCTCAATCTCCTGGGCTCAAGTGATTCTCCTGCCTCAGCCTCCCAAGTAGCTGGGACTATTATAGGCATGCACCACCATGCCTGGAGAATTTTTTTTTAATAGATATGGGGTCCCATTATATTGCCCAGGCTGGTCTCAAACCGCTGGGCTCAAGCAATTCTCCTGCCTTGGCCCCACAAAGTGGTGGGATTATAGGTGTGAGCCACAGCCTGTAGTTCTTTTTGCATAGTTGTGAACACGTTTTTGATTTTATTTCTAGAAATGGAAATAGAGGAATTGCTCAGTCAACTCCTATGCTCATTTTACATTGTAATGGATACTGCCAAATCACATTTCTTTTTTTTTTTTTTTTTTTTTGAGATGGAGTCTCGCCCTGTCACCCAGGCTGGAGTGCAGTGGCGCGATCTCGGCTCACTGCAAGCTCCACCTCCTGGGTTCACACCATTCTCCTGCCTCAGCCTTCCGAGTAGCTGGGGCTACAGGCGCCTGCCACCATGCCTGACTAATTTTTTTGTATTTTTAGTAAAGACGGGGTTTCACCCTGCTAGCTAGGATGGTCTCCATCTCCTGACCTCGTGATCCGCCCACCTCAGCCTCCCAAAGTGCTGGCATTACAGGCGTGAGCCACCACGCCCAGCCCAAATCACATTTCTTAAATGCTTTGTTCTTTCAGACTGGTTAAAGGCCAGGCACCAAGTTGTTATAGATGGTAAGTAAAGAGGACCACAATATCTGTGGTCAAGGAGCTTTGTTCTAATAGGAGATGCAGAAATTAGTAGAATAATTCAACAATAAGTATCAAATTACCACTGTGAGTGCACTGGATGGAAATACAAGAAAAATAAAAATAAAAATTATCACCGTGAGCCGGACACGGTGGCTCATGCCTGTAATTCTAGCACTTTGGGAGGCTGAGGTGGGCGGATCACGAGGTCAGGAGATCAAGACCATCCCGGCTAATACCGTGAAAACCCGTCTCTACTACAAATAATAAAAAAAAAAAAATTAGCCCGGCGTGGTGGCAGGCGCCAGCTACTTGGGAGGCTGAGGCAGGAGAATGGCGTGAACCCGGGAGGCGGAGCTTGCAGTGAGCCGAGATCGCGCCACTGCATTCCAGCCTGGGCAACAGGGTGAGACTTCGTCTCAAAAAAAAAAAAAAAAAAAAAAAAATTATCACCGTGAGGAGTGCTGCATAGGAGAGTTGGTAGACTCAATCCTCAGCCTCTCTTCCATCTACGCTCCTTCCCCAGTGATCTCATTCAACCTCTTTGCCTTAGGACCTCCCGTATACTGATGACTTCCAGGTTTTCATTTCTAATCCTACCAAATTTCCTATACTTCACACTCAGTATATGCAGTTGTCCATTCAATACCTCCATTTGGATGTCATATCGGCACTCGAATTTAACATGTCTTAAATAAAACAAAATTCTCAAATTTACCTCCAAACCTGCCACTCCCCCAATATTTCCCAGCTCAATACCACTCTCTCTCCATTTACTCAGGCCAAAAATTCACAAATTTGGCCAGGCATGGTGGCTCACGCCTGTAATCCCAGCACTTTGGGAGGCCGAGGTGGGCAGATCACCTGAGGTCAGGAGTTCAAGACCAGCCTGGCCAAGATAGCAAAACCCTGTCTCTACTAAAAATACAAAAATTAACTGGGCATGGTGGTGGGCACCTGTAATCCCAGCTACTCGGGAGGCTGAGGCAGGAGAATTGCTTGAACCCAGGAGGTTGCAGTGAACCAAGATTGCACCACTGCACTCCAGCCTGGGCGACAGAGCAAGACTCTGTCTCAAAAAAAAAAGAAAGAAAGAAAAAACAAATCACAAGTTTTCCATGAGCTTTCCTCTTCCAAATTTCACATTCAGTCCACAAGCAATTCCCATGAGCTATACCTCTGAGATATGTCCTGACTTTAGCACTTACCACTACCTGCAGCTCTATTCCAAGCCACCCTCAATGTGTCTTTGGATGTGAGCAGTAGTCCCTTAACTAGTCGCCCTGCTTTAAAATATTTTTTACTTTTGTAGAGACAGGATCTCACTCTGTCACCCATGTTGGAGTGCAGTACATTTTATTATTTATTTACTTATTTATTTATTTTTATTTTTCGAGGCAGAGTTTTGCTCTTGCCGCCCAGGCTGGAGTGCAATGGTACAATCTCGACTCACTGCAACCTCCACCTCCCAGGTTCAGGCGATTCTCCTGCCTCATTCTCCCGAGTAGCTGGGACTACAGGCATGCACCACCATGCCTGGCTAATTTTGTATTTTTAGTAGAGATGGTGTTTCGCCATGTTTGCCAGGCTGGTCTCAAACTCCTGACCTCAGGTAATCTTCCCACCTTGGCCTCCTAAAGTGCTGGGATTCCAGGCGTGAGCGACCGTGCCCGGCCCAGTACATTTTATTTTTATTCTTTTTTTAAAAAAGATTTATTTTTTTCAAGATAGAAGGTGGGATTTTTCTTTTTTTTTTTTTTTTTTGAGACGGAGTCTCGCCCTGTTGCCCAGGCTGGAGTTCAATGGCATGATCTTGGCTCACCGCAACCTCTGCCTCACAGATTCAAGCGATTCTCCTGCCTTAGCCTCCTAAATTGCTGGGATTACAGGCGCCTGCCACCACGCCCGGCTAATTTTTGTTATTTTTAGTAGACATGGGTTTTCACCATGTTGGCCAGGCTGGTCTGGAACTCCTGACCTCAGGTGATCCACCCACCTCAGCCTCCCAAAGTGCTGGGATTATGGGTGTGAGCCACCTCAGGAGATCAAGACCAGCCTGGCCAACCTGGCAAAACCCCGTCTCTACTAAAAATACAAAATTAACGGGCGTGGTGGCACATGCCTGTAATCCCAGCTACTCGGGAGGCTGAGGCAGGAGAATCGCTTGAACCTGGGATGCAGAGGTTGCGGTGAGCCAAGATTACACTATTGCACTTCAGCCTAGGCAACAAGAGCGAAACTCTGTCTCAAAAAATATATATATTTTTAAAGTACAAAACATATCATTTTTCTTTTCAACATCCTCTAAAGCTCTATCACAAGCTTTGGCCTTACGGACCAACAAAGCGTAGTCTAGAGCCAGACAGCTAGGATTAGAAACCCTTGACCGGGTACAGTGGCTCATGCCTGTAATTCCAGCACTTCAGGAAGCTGAGGTGGGATGATTGCTTGAGTCCAGGAGTTCGAGACCACCCTGGGCAACATAGGGATACCCTGTCTCAAAAATAATTAATTAATCAAAATTGAGGCTTGGGAGAGTGGGTCACTCCTGTAATCCCAGCACTTTGGGATGCCAAGACAGGAGGATCACTTGAGCTCAGGAGTTCAAGACTAGCCTTGGCAACATAGGGAAACCCCATCTCTACAAAAAATACAAAAAGTAACCTCGGCCGGGACGGTGGCTCATGCCTATAATCCTAGCACCTTGGGAGGACAAGGCAGGTGGATCACCTGAAGTCAGGAGTTTGAGACAAGCCTGGCCAACATGGTGAAACCCTGTCTCTACTAAAAATACAAAAATTAGCCAGGCGTGGTGTCGGGTATTTGTAATCCCACCTACTCAGGAGGCTGAGGCAGGAGAATCGCTTGAACCTGGGAGGCAGAGGTTGCAGTGAGCTGAGATTGTGCCACTGCACTCCAGCCTGGGTGACAAGAGCAAAACTCCATCTCAAAAAAAAAAAAAAAAATTAACCAGGCATGGTGGTGCACACCTGTAGTCCCAGCTACTAGTGGGGCTGAGATGGGAGAATGGCTTCAGCTCAGGAAGTGGAGGTTGCAGTGAGCTGAGATTGTGCCACTGCACTCCAGCCTAGGTGACAGAGCAAGACCCTGTCTCAAAAAAATAAAACTAAAATTAAAATAATACTTTAAAGAGAATCCCAACTCCACATCTTCCTGTCCATGTGACCTTGGGCAGGGAACCTTAACCTCTCTGTGACTTAGTTTGCTCATTTGTGAAATTAGGAGAATAATAGCAGCCTCTACTGAGTGAAAAAAGCAAACTGGTATTTACAATATAGCCTTTTATCAATGAAAACAGTTTGTGTAAGTGTGTGTGTAGGTGTGTATAGCTGTATATATAAATATGTATGTTAACTCATTGAAAGGGCCCTGAAAGATATGTACAAAATGCTAATATTTTATTTATTGATTTATTTAATTTTTTTCTGAGGCCTAGCCTAGGAGACAAGCCTAGGTAACAGAGCAAGACCCTGTCTCAAAAGACCCTAGGTGATGCTCTGTCACCTAGGCTGGAGTGCAGTGGTGCTATCTTGGCTCACTGCAACCCCTGCCTCCTGGGTTAAAGCAATACTACCTCAGCTGGGCACAGTGGCTCACGCCTGTAATCCCAGCACTTTGGGAGGTTGAGGCGGAAAGATCACCTGAGGTAAGGAGTTCAAGACCAGTCTGGCCAACATAGTGAAACCCCATCTTTACCAAAAAATACAAAAATTAGCCAGGCGTGGTGGCACGTGCCTGGAGTCCTGGTTACTTGGGGGAGCTGAGACAGAAGAATCACTTGAACCTGGGAGGCGGAGGTTGCAGTGAGCCAAGATCCTGCTACTGCATTCCAGCCTGGGGGAAAGAGTGAGCCTCTTTCTAAAAAAAAAAAAAAAAAAAAAAAAAGCAATCCTGCCTCAGTCTCCCATGGATTTGTTATCTGGGCTCTTCGTTCTGTTTTGAAGGTCTGTTTGCCTATTCCCAGTCCAATACTACAATGTTTTAATTTCAGCTTCATGGTTTCTTTTTTAAAAATTGTTTTCTATTTTATTTATTTATTTATTTTATTTTTGAGATGGAATCTTACTCTGTCACCCAGGCTGAAGTGCAGTGGCACGATCTCAGCTCACTGCAATCTCTACCACCTGGGTTCAAGCAATTCTCCTGTCTCAGCCTCCCAAGTAGTTGGGAATACAGGCACCCGCCACCATGCCAGGCTAATTTTTATATTTTTAGTAGAGACAGGGTTTCACCATGTTGGCCAGGCTGGCCTCACACACCCAACCTCAAGTGATCCGCCTGCCTCGGCCTCCCAAGGTGCTGGAATTACAGGCATGAGCCACCGTACCCGGCCAATTTTTTATTTAGAGATGCAGTCTCGCTCCGTCACCCAGGCTGGAGTGCTCTGGTGTGATCTCGGCTCACTGTAACCTCCACCTCCCGAGTTCAAGCAATTCTCCTGCTTCAGTCTCCCGAGTAGCTGGGACTACAGGCGGGTGCCACCATGTCCCGCTACTTTTTGTATTTTTAGTAGAGATGGGTTTTCGCCATGTTGCCAGGCTGGTCTCGAATTCCTTACCTCAGGTGATCCACACGCCTCGGCCTCCTAAAGTGCTGGGATTACAGGTGTGAGCCACCATGACTGGCCGGTTTCTTTTTGCTGTATGGTAGAACAAGATGCCTTCGTTGATTTTTTTTCTTTCAATCAGCTTTCTCAGGTTGAAGCCCTTATTGGTCTTTTTCAAAAATTTCTGGCCAGGCGCAGTGGCTCACGCCTATAATCCCAGCACTTTGGGAGGCCGTAGGTGGGCAGATTCACGAGGTCAGGAGATCGAGACCATCCTGGCTAACATGGTGAAACCCCGTCTCTACTAAAAATACAAAAATTAGTTGCCACTGCACTCCAGCCTGGCGACAGAGCAAGACTCCGTCTCAGAAAAAAAAAAAATTTCTTAGACAATCTCATACAAAAAAAAAAAAATTAGCCAGGCGTGGTGGCGGGCACCTGTAGTCCCAGCAACTTGGGAGGCTGAGGCAGCAGAATGGCGTGAACTCGGGAGGCAGAGTTTGCAGGGAGCTGAGATCGTGCCACTGCACTCCAGCCTGGGCGTCAGAGTGAGACCCCATCTCAAAAAAAAAAAAAAACCCTTAGATTCAGTTTGATGTTTTGTTTTGTTTTTTGTATTTTGTTTTGGCAATGGAGTCTCACTCTGTTACCCAGGCTGGAGTGCAGTGGCACAAACACGACTCACTACAACCTCAACATCCTGGGCTCAAGGGATCCTCCCACCTCAGCCTCATGAGTATCTGGGACCACAGACATGCATAACCATGCCAGGTTAATTTTTTTTTTTTTTTTGAGACGGAGTCTCGCTCTGTCGCCCAGGCTGGAGTGCAGTGGCGCGATCTCGGCTCACTGCAAGCTCCGCTTCCCGGGTTCACGCCATTCTCCTGCCTCAGCCTCCCGAGTAGCTGGGACTACAGGCGCCCGCTACCACGCCCAGCTAATTTTTTGTATTTTTAGTAGAGACGGGGTTTCACCGTGTTAGCCAGGATGGTCTCGATCTCCTGACCTCGTGATCCACCCGCCTCGGCCTCCCAAAGTGCTGGGATTACAGGCGTGAGCCACCGCGCCCGGCCAATTTTTTTTTTTTTCCTTTTGAGATGGGGTTTGGCTCTTGTCTCCCAGGCTGGAGTGTAATGGTGCGATCCTGGCTCACTGCAACCTCCGCCTCCCATTTTCAAAGGATTCTCCTGCCTCAGCCTCCAGAGCAGCTGGGATTACAGGCATCCGCCACCACGCACAGCTAATTTTTGTATTTTTTAGTAGAGACAAGGTTCCACCATGTTAGCCAGGCTTTTCTTGAACTCCTGACCTCAGGCGATCCGCCCGCCTCAGCCTCCCAAAGTGCTGGGATTACAGGCGTGAGCCACCTCTCCCAGCCAATTTTTTTTTTTTTTTTTTTTTTGTAGAGACGAGGTCTCACTATGTTGTCCAGGCTGGTCTCGAACTCCTAGTCTCAGGCTATCCTCCCGCCTTGGCCTCCCAATGTGCTGGGATTACAGGGGATGAGCCACCACACCTGGCCATGTTTCTTTTTTTTATTGTTTTTTATTTTTGTAGAGACAGGATCTCACACTCCCATCCAGTCTAGAGGACAGTGACATTTTATTTTTTATCCTTTTTGTTTTTTAAAAATTAATGTTTTCTGGGCTTGGCGCGGTGGCTCACGCCTGTAATCCCAGCACTTTGGGAGGCTGAGGCAGGCAGATCACAAGGTCAGGAGTTCAAGAGCAGCCTGGCCAACATGGTGAAACCCTGTCTCTACTAAAAATACAAAAATTAGCCTGGCGTAGTGGCACCCGTCTGTAATCCCAGCTACTCGCCAGACTGAGGCAGGAGAATTGCTTGAACCCGGCAGGCGGAGGTTGCGGTGAGCCGAGATCTGGCCATTGCACTCCAGCCTGGGAAAAAGGAGCAAGACGTCGTCTCAAAAAAAAAAAAATTTAATGTGTTTTTCAAATAAGAAAGTGGAGGAGGCTGGGCACAGTGGCTCACGCCTGTAATCCCAGCACTTTGGGAGGCTGAGGTGGGCGGATCAGGAGGTCAAGAGTTGGAGACCAGCCTGGCCGACATGATGAAACCCGTCTCTACTACAAATACAAAAAGTAGCTGGGCGTGGTGGCGAACGCCTGTAATCCCAGCTACTTGGGAGGCTGAGGCAGGAGAATCCTGTGAACCCGGGAGGCAGAGGTTGCAGTGAGCCCAGATGTCGCCATTGCACTCCAGCCTGGGTGACAGGGCGAGAGTCTGTCTCAAAAAAAAAAAAAAAAAAAAGAAAAGAAAAAGAAAAAGAAAGTGAAAGCTTGGCCAGGTGCAGTGGCTCATGCCTGTAATCCCAGCACTCTGGGAGGCAGACATGGGTAGATCATGAGGTCAGGAGATCGAGACCATCCTGGCTAACATGGTGAAACCTTGTCTCTATTAAAAATACAAAAAATTAGCTGGGCGTGGTGGCAGGCACCTGTAGTCCCAGCTACTCAGGAGGCTGAGGCAGAAGAATTGCTTGAACCCGGGAGGTGGAGGTTGCAGTGAGCCGCGATCGCGCCACTGCACTCCAGCCTGGGCTACAGAGCAAGACTGTCTCAAAAAATAAAAATAAAGAAGAAAGTGGAGGCTGGGCACGGTGGCTCATGCCTGTAATCCTAGCACTTTGGAAGGCTGAGGCAGTTGGATCACTTGAGGCCAGGAGTTTGAGACCAGCCTGGCCAAGATAGTGAAACCCTATTTCTACAAAATACAAAAATTAGCCGGATTTGGTGGTGCATGCCTGTAGTCCCAGCTACTCAGGAGGCTGAGGCAGGAGAATCGCTTGAACCCAGGAACTGGAGGTTGCAGTGAGCCAAGATCACACCACTGCACTCAGCCTGGGTGTTGGAGTGAGATTCTAAGGAAAAAAAAAGTTGCCAGGTGCGGTGGCTCACGCAGAGGTTGCAGTGAGCCGAGATCACGCCACTGCACTCCAGCCTGGGCAACAGAGCCAGACTCCGTCTCAAAAAAAAAAAAAAAAAAAAAGCCAATTTTTTTTTTTTTTAAAGATGTGGGGGGGTCTTGCCATGTTTCCCAGACTGGTCTTTAACTTGAGAATTGCTCAAGCAATTCTCCTATCTTAGGATCCCAAAGTGCTGGAATTACAGGCCTGAGCCACCATGCCCTTCCCACATATAGCAAACTTTAACATCAATGATCGTAAAGATAACTACAGGTTTCAGATTTCACAAATTTATTTGCTTGCCATGTTTTCTTTCTTGGTTTTGCTTTTTGCTTTTTAATTTTTATGTGTTTTTTTTTTCACCTTGGCCTCCCAATGAGCTGGGATTACAGGTGTGAGTGACCATGCCCAGCCATGTATAGCAAACTTCCTACTTTTTTTGTTTTGTTTTGTTTTGTTTTTGAGACGGAGTCTTGCTCTGTCCCCCAGGCTGGAGTGCAGTGGCACGATCTGGGCTCACTGCAAGCTCCGCCTCCCGGGTTCACACCATTCTCCCACCTCAGCCTCCCGAGTAGCTGAGACTACAGACGCCCACCACCATGCCCGGCTAATTTTGTTTTTGTATTTTTAGTAGAGACGGGGTTTCACCATGTTAGCCAGGATGTTCTCGATCTCCTGACCTTGTGATCCGCCCACCTTGGCCTCCCAAAGTGCTGGGATTACAGGCATGAGCCAACTTCCCACGTGTCTGTTTGCATAGTTGAGTGATACTGTTTCATCCTCCTGCTTGGATGCTAGTTTGGCTGAGTATGAGGATCAATTTTTTTTTTTTTTTTTTGAGACAGAATCTCTCTCTGTCACCCAGGCGGGAGTACAGTGGCAAGATCTTGGCCCACTGCAACCTCTGCCTCCTGGGTTCAAGCAATTCTCATACCTCACCTCCCAAGTAGCTGGGACTACAGGTGCCTGCCATCACACCTGACTAATTTTTATATCTTTTTTTTTTTTTTTCAGAGATGGAGTCTTGATGTTGTTGCCTGGGCTGGAGTGCAATGGCACGATCTTGGCTCACTGCAACCTCCACCTCCCGGGTTGTAGAAATTCTCCTGCCTCAGCCTCCCGAGTAGCTAAGATAACAGGTGCCTACCACCACGCTCAGCTAATTTTTGTATTTTTAACAGAGATGGGGTTTCACCATGATGGCCAGGCTGGTCTTGAACGCCTGACCTCAGGTGATCCACCCGCCTCAGCCTCCCAAAGTGCTGGGATTACAGATGTGAGCCACTGCACCTGGCCAACCCTGTCTCTACTAAAAATACAAAAATCAGCCAGGTGTGGTGGCGGGTGCCTGTAATCCCAGCTACTCATGAGGCTGAGGCAAGAGAATCGCTTGTACCCTGGAGGTGGAGGTTGCAGTGAACCAATATCACACCATTGCATTCCAGCCTGGGCCACAGAGCAAGACTCCGCCTCAAAAAAAAAAAGTATATATATATAATGTGTTCTGATTCTTTTTTTCTTTTTGAGACAGAGTCTCACTCTGTCAGCGATCCCTGCTCACTGCAATTTCTGCCTCCTGGGTTCAAGCAATTCTCCTGCCTCAGTCTCCCTTGTAGCCAAGATTACAGGCACCCACGACCACACCAGATAATTTTTTTTGTATTTTTAGTAGAGATGGGGTTTCACCATGTTGGTCAGGCTGGTCTTGAACTCCCGACCTCAAATGATCTGCCTCTCTCGACCTCACAAATTTCTGGGATTATAGGCATGAGCCATGGTGCCTGGCCCTGATGATGATGATGATGATTATTGAGACAGAGTCTTGCTCTGTGGCCAGGCTGGAGTGCAGTGGTGCCATCTCAGCTCACTGCCACCTCCCACTCCCTGGTTCAAGTGATTCTGTTGCCTCAGCCTCCCTAGTATTGGGATTACAGGCACATGCCACCATGCCCAGCTAATTTTTGTATTTTTAGTAGAGATGGGGTTTCATTATGTTGGCCAGGATGGTCTTGATCTCCCGACCTCACGATCCACTCACCTTGGCCTCCCAAAGTGCTGGGATTACAGGTGTGAGCCACTGCGCCTGGCCCCTCATTCGAATGAGAATGCTTGATTGCCTATTTTTTCCTGTGTGAAGGCATTTATGAATCCCTTTCTAAAAATTTGCTCCAATGCATATAGTTGTTTTTTTGTGGTTTTTTTTTTTTTGAGACGGAGTTTTGCTCTGTCACCCAGGGTGGAGTGCAATGGCGTGGTCTCGGCTCACTGCAACTTCTGCCTCCTGGGTTCAAACGATTCTCCTGCCTCAGCCTCCTGAGCAGTTGGGATTATAGGTACATGCCAGCACGCCTAGCTAATTTTTGTATTTTTAGTAGAGAGAGCATTTCACCATGGTGGCCAGGCTGGTCTCGAACTTTGACCTCATGATCCGCCTGCCTGGGCTTCCCAAAATGTTGGGATTACAGGTGTGAGCCACTGTGCCCGGCCCATAATTCTTTTTTTTTCTTTTCTTTTTTTTTTTTTTTTGAGACGGAGTCTCACTCTGTTGCCCAGGCTGGAGTGCAGTGGCGCGATCTCGGCTCCCTACAAGCTCCACCTCCTGGGTTCTTGCCATTCTCCTGCCTCAGCCTCCTGAATAGCTGGGACTACAGGCTACTGCCACCACGCCCGGCTAAGTTTTTGTATTTTTAGTAGAGATGGGGTTTCACCGTGTTAGCCAGGATAGTCTCGATCTCCTGACCTCATGATCCGCCCACCTCGGCCTCCCAAAGTGCTGGGATTACAGGCGTGAACCACTGCGCCCAGCCCCGGCCCCATAATCTTAAATCTTCTTTGACACCCTTTATATCCTTTTTATATCCTTTTTATTTATTTATTTATTTTAATTTATTTTATTTTTTTTTGAGAAAGAGTCTCACTCTGTTGCCAGGCTGGAGTGCAGTGGCGTGATCTTGGCTAACTGCAAAATCCACCTCCCGGGTTCACGCGATTCTCCTGCCTTAGCCTCCTGAGTAGGTGGGACTGCAAGCACTGTGCCATCACACCTGGCTAATTTTTTGTGTTTTTAGTAGAGAAGGGGTTTCACTGTGTTACCCAGGATGGTCTCGATCTCCTGACCTCATGATCTGTATGCCTCGGTCTCCCAAAGTGCTGGGATTACAGGCGTGAACCACTGTGCCTAGCTGCTTTATATCCTATTAATTGACAACTTAAAATTTTTTTTTCTTTAGACTATATCCAGAATCTGGCCACCTCTTTTTTTTTTTTTTTTTTTTTTTTGAGACGGAGTCTTGCTCAGTCACCCAGGCTGGAGTGCAGTGGCACGATCTCAGCTCACTGCAACCTCCGCCTCCCAGGTTCACGCCATTCTCCTGCCTCAGCCTCCCGAGTAGCTGGAACTACAGATGCCCGCCACGATGCCCGCCATGATGCCCGGCTAATTTTTTTGTTTGTATTTTTAGTAGAGACGGGGTTTCACCATGTTAGCCAGGATGGTCTCGATTTCCTGACCTTGAGATCCACCCGCCTCGGCCTCCCAAAGTGCTGGGATTACAGGCGTGAGCCACCACGCCCGGCCGAATCTGACCACTTCTTACTACCTCCTCTGTTATGCCCTGGCGCAAGTCAACATCTCTGGCCATGGCTTTTAGCCTCCTTAAGGCTCCTTGTTTCTTCTTGCCCCCTGGAGTCTATTTTCACCCAGCAATCAAAGGGGGATCCTGATAACGATGTCAGACTATGTCGCTCCCCACTCAGTACCCTGCAATGACTTCTACGTCCTTCAGAGGAGAGACAGTGGCAAGATCTCGGTTCACTGCAAGCTCCGCCTCCTGGGCTCAAGCGATTCTCCTGCCTTAGACTCTCGAGTAGCTGGGATCACAGGCATAGGCGTCTGCCATTACGGCTGGCAAGTTTTTGTATTTTTAGTAGAGACGGGGTTTGACCATGTTGGCCAGGCTGGTCTTGAACTCCTGACCTCAGGTGATCCACCTGCCTTGGCCTTCCAAAGTGCTGGGATTATAGGCATGAGCCACTGCGTCGGGCCTTTAACTTTTTTTTTTTTTTTTTTTTTTTTTTTTTGTAGAGACAGTGTTTCGCTCTTTTTGCCCAGGCTGGAGTGCAATGGCACGATCTGGGCTCACCGCAATCTCTGCCTCCCAAGTTCAAGTGATTCTCCTGCTTCAGCCTCCCAAGTAGCTGGGATTACAGGCATGCGCCACCATGCCCCGCTAATTTTGTATTTTTAGTAGAGACGGGGTTTCTCCATGTTGGTCAGGCTGGTCTCAAACTCCTGACCTCAGTTGATATGCCTGCCTTGGCCTCCCAAAGTGCTGGGATTACAGGTGTGAGCCACTGGGCCCGGCCTAACTTTTTTTTTTTAGAGACAAGAGTCTCGCTATATAAGTCAGGCTGGTCTCAAACTCCTGGGTTTAAGCAATCCTCTCGCCTTGGCCTCCCAAAGAGCTGGGATTACAGACATGAGCCATAACACCAGGCCCAAACCTGTCTTCTAGTGCCTCCAAAACCTCTGTCGCCTCATCAGCTACTACCCTCCCTCTTCCTGTGGTTTCTCAAACATGTCAGGCACAGACCATCTCAAGGCTTTTGCATTTTCTTTTTCTTCTGGGTGGAAGGTTCCTCACCCTTGACCCTGTTATGTGTGAACAGAACTCCCTCTCTCATCTTCTCAGGTCTTGAATCCTGTCACCTTTTCAGTTAAACCCTCCCTTATTCAACGAACTAAAATTGCAAATCACTTGTCCCACACACCCTCTAACTCTCTTCCTGGATTTTTCTCCGTAGTACTTATTACTACTTGATACACTATGCATTTTTTAGTTATTTATCTTTGTTATGGTCTGTAAATTCCAGGAGGACAGGGACCTGTGTGTTGTACTACCAGGGGTGCCTCCAGCACCTAGAAGGACGCCTGGCATATGGCAGGGCGCAATTGATCTCTCTGGAGTGAGTGGATGAATGGGAGCTCAGAGGAAACATGGAAGTCTGGGAAGGCTTCCTGGAGGAATAGGCCCGCTGGCCCACACTCCCAAACCCCGCCCATGCGGCTTTGCGCTCTGCCACGCCCATCGAAGCGGGGCCGAGGCCGGAAGCAGCCCCGGGCGGAAGCCCTACCGTGCCAACTGGGCCCTCCTCCCGACCTGCCCCGGGCTCGTGCCCCGCCCACCCAAAAGTGGGTGAAAGGTCGGCGGCGCCGGCACTGCAGCTGGGGCTGAGAAGCCAGGACGGCCCGAGAACTGACAGACGGAGTGACAGACGGACTGACCATGGCCGACCAGCCAAAACCCATCAGCCCGCTCAAGAACCTGCTGGCCGGCGGCTTTGGCGGCGTGTGCCTGGTGTTCGTCGGTCACCCTCTGGACACGGTCAAGGTGCGGGAGGCTGGGTCGCAGGCTTTGGGGAGGAGGCCCGGGCGGGGCGCGGAAAGCATGGTCCCCCGCGAGGCGCGGACGCTGGGCAGAAGAGGGGCATGTGTGAGCTTCCGTGAGAAGTCTAGGGAATCTCTCTTTCAGGGGTGGGCAGGAAGCTGTACCTTGCGCCCCAAAGAGCCAGGCGGCGGCGCAAAGTGAGCAGCCTCTAACTGCCTGTCAAGAGCTCTGATGTAAAGTTCCCTGTCCCGCAGTCTCTTCTGACCCTGCGCCACTTCTTTAGGGATGGGAAGGAATAAACGTCTCTCCATAGTTTTGGTTTCAGCCAACACTAATATTATCGTTAAGGTTGAAACAGGTCCCCTGTAAAGCCTGCCCCAGGAAGACAACTAAAGACAGAGCGGTACGGTTGTTCTGGAGGTGTCCTTTGATACATTCCCCTGGGGCAAGAGTACCCATCTCTTTCGCACCTTTCCCGGCCCGGGGAGATACTTGACACTCTTCGGCCTGTCACCCAACGGTGGCCTGCTCAGCCTCCTGGGCAGAGGCATCCCTGTGAGAAGCAATGATGACCTCAGTGACCGAGCCCCTTCCACGGAAAGCAAGGTGATCAGCTTTGCACAAGGCCAGCCTCATTCTCACAACTCCCAGATGAGGAAGCTATGGTCAGACTGAGGCTTGGGAGGGAGGACGTTCATCAGGAATTGTTCTCTGGTCTTCCTCATATCATATCTCAACTATTCCCCTTGCAACACCTTCATTAATGCTTTGCTTGGGGACCAAAGTCCATCCCCCATGGCTTAGCACTCGAAGCTGCATCCAGTTTTCTCACTTTTTTTCTAGACGTAGACGTGAAGGAAATTGACAAGTCATTGCCAGGGTGGGCCTGTGGGGAGCAGACATGAGTTTTAAAAGATTGGAAGCCCATGTGAGGGGGTTTGTTAGGATGTTGGGTCAGATTTCTTCCACAGCGAAATAGTTTTGTGGGCACTTCCTCTTGGCCAGCTTGGGCAGCAAGCTCTTTGCTGCCTTTCATCCAAGAGAGGAGCTGCCCTGAAGTAGAGCTCATACTGGGGTCATTCTATAGGAAGACCAGGGTTAAAGTAGCTGGACTGGCTAGGTCATTGTGCAACATGAAATCAAATGTTTATTTAGCTGGTGGTAAATGCCATGTGTTAGTGCTTCCCAGACTGTGGTCATTCCAAGCGGCACTGTCTACTGAGGGACGATTGTCTGGCCTTTCTTCCTGCTCTTGGTCCATATAGGCAGATATCTTATTAGTTCTAGGCCTCTGGGGCCGCCCTTAAAAAAAAAAAAAAAAAAAATATATATATATATATATATATTCACACACACACAAATATTGCTCCTACCTCCATATCACCTTTGTCCTTGATGTCACTCCCAAGAAGGACTGGATGACCTCTGCACTGAAGTGCAAATAACTGAAATGCTCACTGGCATATTTAGCAACCAGAAAGCCTCTTTTTAGCTTAAACCAAAACCACAAATTGCTGACTGCTGTGTTTTTGGCCTTAGTGAGCTGGGTGGGCTCCAATCAAAGCCTGACCTTAAGGTACTTTCAGAGTTCCAAGGTTAAAAAAAAAAAAAAAAAAGGAGAAGAAGAAAAAAAAGAAGTCCAAGATAGTGTAACTGAGCTGTGGGCTGTGTGTCCTGACAAGGCAAAAGCTGCAGCGCTTCAGAGTGGGTCATGAAAAGGCTCTATGGAAGGTGGTGCGTTAGAACAGGCATTCAAGTGCTGGGTGAGTTCAGACTGAAGGAGTAGGGAGACCCAGACAGTCTGATGGGAAGGCAGGAGTGAAGGTGAGTGTGGCTTGCAAGTGGGGATCATATTATAAAATAAGACAACCTAGGCCGGTCACGGTGGGCTCATGCCTGTTAATCCCAGCACTTTGGGAGGCTGAGGCAGGTGGATCACCTGAGGTCAGGAGTTCGAGACCAGCCTGGCCAACATGGTGAAATCCCATCTCTACTAAAAATACAAAAAAAAAAAATTGGCTGCATGTGGTGGCAGGTGCCTGTAATCCCAGCTAATTGGGAGGCTGAGGCAGGAGAATCGCTTGAACCCACAGGGCGGAGGTTGCAGTGAGCTGAGATTGTGCCATTGCACTCCAGCCTGGGTGACAGAGTGAGACTCCTTCCCAAAAACAAAACAAAACAAAACAAAACAAAACAAAACAAAACAAAAACCACCTGCAAAGGACTTTAATGTTCTTGCTGGTTTGGATGGCTGATATCCTGTTGAGACAGGTATGAGGTATGAAGTGTATATAAAATCACAAAAAGGCAGCCTTGGCAACATGGCAAGACCTCATGTCTATAAAAAATACAAAAATTAGCTGGGCATGGTGGTGCACATCTGTAATCCCAGCTACTCAGGCGGCTGAGGCTGGAGGATCGGTTGAACCTAGGAGTTTGAGGCTGCAGTGAGCCTTTGCACTCCATTCTGGGCAACAGAATGAGACACTGTCTCAAAAGAAAAAAAAAATCACAACAAGGTATTAGTCAGAATTTTTTTTTTTTTTTTTTTTGAGACAAGACTCTCCCTCTGTCACCCAGGCTGGAGTACAGTGGCAGGATCTTGGCTCATGGCAACTTCCATCTCCCGAGTTCAAGCAATTCTTTTGCCTCAGCCTCCTGAGTAGCTGGGATTATAGGTGCCCACCACCATGCCTGGCTAATTTTTGTATTTTTAGTAGAGATGGGGTTTCTCCATGTTGGGCAGGCTGGTCTCAAACTCGTGGCCTCAAGTGATCCTCCGGCCTTGGCCTCCTGAAGTGCTGGGATTATAGGTGTGAGCCACTGTACCTGGTCTAGTCAGAAGCTTTGATCCATTTCTCTCTCTCTACTAACTAGGGGAGGTTATGCCTGACTATGGGAGATCTGAAGGACAATATGAGGGATTTTGGATGTAAAGGTATGGTGGCCTCTGGGCATTTCTATTGTGTCCCATAAACCCCTCAGACTTACGTGTCACCTCTGTTGCCCAGAGAGGGACTTCCTTGGTTTGATATGGAAGGCCCTGACAAATACAAGAATAATAAATTCTAAAGAAATTATTAAAAAAATGGTAAAAATGATGATATAGAAGGACCTGACAAATACAAGAATAAGAGATTCCAAAGAAATAAAGAAACAACATGGTAAAAATGATGTTTTGGAAAGGTTAGTATAATAGCAACCTTGAGAAGGATTTGGAAGCAGAACAGTGAGCAGGAAAAACATCCAGGAAGGGCTGGGCGCGGTGGCTCACGCCTGTAATCCCACTTTGGGAGTCTGAGGCGGGCAGATCACCTGAGGTTGGGAGTTCAAGAGCAGGTGACCAACATGGAGAAGCTCCGTCTCTACTAAAAATACAAAATTAGGCCAGGCATGGTGGCTCACGCCTATAATCCCAGCACTTTGGGAGGCTGAGGCGGGCAGATCACCTGAGATTGGACGTTCGAGACCAACCTGAGCAACGTGGAGAAATCCCATCTCTACTAAAAACACAAAATTAGCTGGGCTTGGTGGTGCATACCTGTAATCCCAGCTACTTGGGAGGCTGAGGCAGGAGAATCGCTTGAACCCAGGAGGCAGAGGTTGCGGTGAGCCCAGATCGCACCATTGCTGTGCAGCCTGGGCGACGAGTGAAACTACATCTCAAAAAATAAATAAATAAATAAAAATAAATATACAAATGCAAAATTATCCGGGAGTGGTGGCACATGCCTGTAATCCCAGCTACTTGAGAGGCTGAGGCAGGAGAATCGCTTGAACCTGGGAGGCAGAGGTTGCGGTGAGCCAAGATCATGCCATTGCTCTCCAGTCTGGGCAATGAGTGAAACTCTGTCTCAAAACAAAACAAAACAAAACAAAATTCAGGAAAAAGACTGCAGAAGTAACTGGATATATCAGTTATCTATTGTGGTTTACCAGTTTCCTCCAATGAGGCAGGAGGATCACTTGAGCCCAGGAGTTTAAGGCTGCAGTTAGCCAAGATGGCACCACTGCATGCCAGCTTAGGTGACAGAGCAAGACCTTGTCTCAAAAAAACCCAAAAAACCAAACCAACTTACCCCAAAACTTAATGGCTTAAAACAACAATAAACATTTATCAGGGCCGGGCCGGTGGCTCATGCTTGTAATCCCGGCACTTTGGGAGGCCGAGGCGGGTGGATCACCTGAGGTCAGAAGTTCGAGACCAGTCTGGCCAACACAGCGAAACCCTGTCTCTACTAAAAAAAAAAAAAAAAATGCAAAAGTTACCTGGGTGTGGTGGCACGCACCTGTAATCCCAGCTACGCGGGAGGCTGAGACAGGAGAATCACTTGAACCCAGGAGGCTTGTGGTGAACTGAGATTGAGCCACTGCACTCCAGCCTGGGTGACAGAGCAAGACTCTGCCTCAAAAAAAAAAAAAAAGACAATCCAATTAAAAATCGGCAAAGACTCCAGCCTGTAAGACCCTGTCGAGAGAGAGAGAGAGAGAGAGAGAGAGAGAGAGAGAATCTTCTTCTTTTTTTTTTTTTTTTGAGAAGGAGTCTCACTCTTGCCCAGGCTGAAGTGCAAAGGTGCGATTTTGACTCACCACAACCTCTGCCTCCCGGGTTCAAGCAATTCTCCTGCCTCAGCCTCCCAAGTAGCTGGGATTACAGGTGCGTGCCACCACACCTGGCTAATTTTTGTATTTTTAGTGGAGACAGGGTTTTGCCATGTTGGCCATGCTGGTCTTGAACTCCTGACCTCAGGTTATTGACCCACCTCAGCCTCCCAAAATGCTGGGATTACAGGTGTGAGCCACCGCGCCTGGCCTCCTTTTTTTTTTTTTTTTTTTTTTTCTTTTTTAAAGAGACTGGGTCTTGGCTGGCCATGGTGGCTCATATCTGTAATCGTAGCACTTTGGGAGGCTAAGGCAGGCAGATTGTATGAGTCCAGGAGTTCCAGATCAGCCTGGGCAACATGGTGAAAACCCATCTCTACAAAAAAACCAAAATTAGCCGAGCATGGCATGCACCTGAGGTCCCAGCTACTTGGGAGGCTGAGGTGGGAGGATCACCTGAGCCTGGGAGGCGAAAGTGGCAGTGAGCCAAGATCATACCACTGCACTCCAGCATGGGCGAGACAGTGAGACCCTGTCTCAATAAATAAATAAAAAGAGACCAGGTCTTGCTCTTTTACCCAAGCTGAAGTGTAGTGGCACCATCACAGTTTTCTGTAATCTTGAACTCCTGGCCTCAAGTGATCCTTCCACCTCTGCCTCCCAAAGTTCTGGGATTACAGATGTGAGCCACCACACCCAGCCATGGACCTAAATAGGCATTTCTCTGAAGATGGGCTAATAAGCATGTGAGAAGTTGTTCAGTGTCATTATCCATCATGGAAATGCAAATCAAAATCACAATGACATACCACCTCATACCCAATATGATGGCTTAAAAAAAAAAGTTAGATATAGAGCAATATAGTGAGATTCTGTCTCTACAAAAACAATAAAAATTAGCCTGGCATTGTGGTGTGCACCTGTAGTCCCAGCTGCTTGGGGGGCTGAGGTGGGAGGATTGCATGAGCCCAGGAGGTCAAGGTTGTAGTGAGCTATTGACCACACCGCCGCACTCCAGCCTGAGTGACAGAGTGAAACCTTGTCTCCAAAAAAAAAAAGTATATATATATAAAGATAATAAGTATTGAAGATATGGAGAAATTGGGACCCTCCTAGACTGCTTATGGGAATATAAAATGGTGCAGCCACTTTGCAAAACAGTCTGGCAGTTCCTCAAAAGGTTTAAACAGAGTTGACATATAAGTTAGAAATTATGCCAGTGGATAAATACCTGTGATGGTTAATTTTATGTGTCACCTTGACTAGGCCACAGAGTACCTAGGTATTTGGTCACACATTATTCTGAGTGTGCTTGTGAGGGTGGTTTTGGATATTAACATTTGAATCTGTGGACTGATTAAAGCTAATTGTCCTCCCTAATGTGAGTGGACCTCATCCAGTTGAAGGCCTAAATAGATCAAAAGGCTGACTGACACTTCCTGCAAGTAAGAGGGAACTCCTGCCTGAATACTTGAGGTGGGACATTAGTCTTTTCCCGCCTTCAGACTTGAACTGAATCATTGGTTCTTTTTGGGTCTCAAACTTGCCGACTACAGATCTTGGGACTTCTCAACCTTTATAATTGTATGAGCCAATTGCTTATAATAAATCTCTTGATATATATCTCCTGTTGGTTCTGTTTCTCTGGAGAATTCTGACCAATACAATACCGAAGAGAACTGAAAACATATATCCACACAAAAAACTTGTACACAAATGTTTATAGCAGCATTATTCATAATAATCAAAAAGTAGGAAAAACACAAATGTCTATGAACTGATGAATAGGCAGGCATACAAAATGTGATTTATTCATACGATGGGATATTATTTGCCAATAAAAGGAATGAAGTACTAATGAAATGAAAGAGAAGTTTGAATCCAGCAGGTTAAGTGAATGCCAAAGACATGTACAAGGGTACAGCCTTCCCTGTTCAGTTTGGCAGACAGTTGGGCCATTGCTGCTGACAGGCAGTTCTGATTCTGGTAGGTGACTGCATTTTAACTTCTGTTTTCAGGTCCGACTGCAGACACAGCCACCGAGTTTGCCTGGACAACCTCCCATGTACTCTGGGACCTTTGACTGTTTCCGGAAGACTCTTTTTAGAGAGGTTGGTATATGGTGCTGGGCATTCCTCTTACTCAGAACACATTCACGGGGTTGATTTGTTACCCCCAAGGAGAGTAGGTTAACTGTGTGGTTCTGCTGGACAGCTAGCTCACAGCTGCCGCTCCTTCACCACGCCACCCTGTGCCCCCCTGTTGTCATCTGCTTTGGAGTCTCTGATAGTTCTAGCTACTGTTTTATACAGATGACTAAGGCTAATAAAATGGTTCTCTCTTTTGGAAGATGGAATTTAGACGACGGAGAACTAGTGAGTAATAATTGAGATGTGAAATGGAAGAAAATGTACATCTGAGCTGGGTGTGGTGGCTCACGCCTCTAATCCTAGCGCTTTGGGGGCCAAGGCAGGTGGATCACTTGAGGTCAGGAGTTTAAGACCAGCCTGGGCAACATGTAGAGAGTGTCATCTCTACAAAAAATGCAAAAATTAGAGGGGCATGGTAGCGCATGTACATCTGTAGTCCCAGCCACTCAGGAGACTGAGGTGGGAGGATCACTCCACCAGGAGGTAGAGTTTGCAGTGAGCCAAGATTGCACCACTGCACTCCAACCTGGGTGACAGAGTGAGACCCTGCCTGAAAAACAAAAAAAGGCCAATCATGGTGGCTTACGCCTATAATCCCAGCACTTTGGGAGGCCAAGGTGGGTGGATTGCCGGAGTTCAGGAGTTCAAGACCACCCTGGCCAACATCATGAAACCCCGTCTCTACTAAAAATACAAAAATTGGCTGTGCACGGTGGCATGCGCCTGTAGTCCCAGCTACTTGGGAGGCTGAGGCACGAGAATCGCTTGAACCCAGGACGGGGAGGTTGCAGTGTAGGGTCCAGCCCTACGGGGCTTAGCGGATGTTTTCCCCATGTGTGGAGATGAGAGATCATAAGAAATAAAGACACAAGACAGAGATAAAGAGAAAACAGCTGGGCCGGGGGGACCACTACCAAGACATGGAGACTGGTAGTGGCCTTGCATGGCTGGGCGCGCTGATATTTATTGAATACAAGACAAGGGGGTGGCTGGGCGCGCTGGCTCACGCCTGTGATCCCAGCACTTTGGGAGGCTGAGGCGGGTGGATCACGAGGTCAGGAGATCGAGACCATCCTGGCTAACACGGTGAAACCCCATCTCTACTAAAAATACAAAAAATTAGCCGGACGTCGTGGCGGGCACCTGTAGTCCCAGCTACTCGGGAGGCTGAGGCAGGAGAATGGTGTGAACCCAGGAGGCGGAGCTTGCAGTGAGCTGAGATCACACCACTGCACTCCAGCATGGGCGACAAAGCGAGACTCTATCTCAAAAAAAAAAAAAAAAAAAAAGACAAGGGGGCAGGGTAAGGAGGGTGAGTTATCCAAGTGATTGATAAGGTCAGGCAAATCACGTGATCATGGGATAGGGAGCCCTTCTGTTTTAGGTAGCCGAAGCAGAGAGGGAAGGCAGCATACATCAGCATTTTCCTCTATGCACTTATAAGAAAGATCAGGCCGGGCGCGGTGGCTCATGCCTGTAATCCCAGCACTTTGGGAGGCTGAGGCAGGTGGATCACAGGGTCAGGAGATCAAGACCATCCTAGCTAACACGGTGAAACCCCGTCTCTACTAAAAAAAATACAAAAAATTAGCTGGGCATGGAGGTGGGCGCCTGTAGTCCCAGCTACTCAGGAGGCTGAGGCAGGAGAATGGCGTGAACCCAGGAGGCGGAGCTTGCAGTGAGCCGAGATCCTGCCACTGCACTCCAGCCTGGGTGACAGAGCGAGATCAAAGAGGAACCAGGAGTATGGGAGGAACATGAAAGTGGACAAGGAGCGTGATCACTGAAGCACAGCGTCACAGGGAGGGGTTTAGGCCTCTGGAAAACTGGGCAGGCCTGGATAATATCCAGCCTCCCACAAGAAGCTGGTGGAGTAGAGTGTTCCCTGACTCCTCCAAGGAAAGGAGACTCCCTTTCATGGTCTGCTAAGTAACGGGTGCCTTCCCAGGCACTGGCGTTACTGCTTGACCAAGGAGCCCTCAAGCGGCCCTTATGCGGGCGTGACAGAGGGCTCACCTCTTGCCTTCTTGGTCACTTCTCACAATGTCCCTTCAGCACCGGACCCTATACCTGCCGGTTATTTCTTGTTTATATTAGTAATACAACAAAGAGTAATATTAAAAGCTAATGATTAATAATGTTTATACTAATGATTGATAATGTCCATGATCATCTCTATATCTAATTTGTATTATAACTATTCTATTTTCTTTATTATAGTGAAACAGTTTGTGCCTTCAGTCTGTTGCCTCGGCACCTAGGTAATCCTTTGCCCACACTGCAGTGAGCTGAGACTGCACCATTGCACTCCAGCCTGGGCAACAAGAGTGAAACTCTGTCTCAAAAAAAGAAAAAGAAAAAAGAAAATGTACACCTGCATCTGGATCAGTCAGTTTGATAGGGATCCATGTCAGAAGCGCATATGAATAAAGTCTGAAGGAAAAGTCAGCCAGTCCTAGAAACACTGAGAGAAGCTATCAGTCTCCAGTTCCCCTAGACAGGGACATTAAATTGGTTTGGAGTTATTATTATTATTATATATATATATTTTGAGACATGGTCTCACTCTGTTGCCCAGGCTTGACTACAGTGGCATGAACTTGGCTCACTGCAACCTCTGCCTCCCAGGCTCAAGAGATTCTCCTGCCTAAGCTTCCCGAGTAGCTGAGATTACAGGCATGTGCCATCATGCCTGGCTAATTGCACTCCAGCCTGGGCAAAAAGAATAAAACTCTGTCTCAAAATAAGAATAATATTAATAATAATAATAAATAACTTCATTAACACAGGTCTTAAAGACCTCATTGAGATCTTTTCCTTTGCTTCCTAAAATATAACTTTTTTTTTTTTGAGACGGAGTTTTGCTCTTGTTGTCCAGTCTGGAGTGCAATGGCACAATCTTGGCTCACCGCAATCTCTTGAACCATCTCCTTGGTTCAAGTGATTCTCCTGCCTCAGCTTCCTGAGTAGCTGGGATTATAGGCATGCACCACCATGCCTGGCTAATTTTGTATATTTAGTAGAGACAGGGTTTCACCATGTTAACCAGGATGGTCTCGATCTCCTGACCTCATGATCCACCCGCCTCAGCCTCCCGAAGTGCTGGGATTACAGGCATGAGCCACCACGCCTGGCCCTAAAATATAACTTTCATATAAACACTCTATTATAGTCTCTAAATTTATAGCCTTGATTAAATATACAGAAACTAAGTAGTAGTCATCCAGATAAAAAGGGAGTGATAGTAAGTGATGGACTCAGCCTTGGCGAAGTTGTTCCCAGGATTCCTGTAGGACTTGGGTGCAGAAGGAAGATCTTTTTAAACTATTTATTTATTTATTTATTTATTTATTTATTTATTTATTTATTTTGAGACAAGAGTCTTGTTCAGTTGCCCAGGCTGGAGTGCAGTGGCGCAATCTCGGTCACTGCAAACTCTGCCTCCCGGGTTCAAGTGATTCTCCTGCCTCAGCCTCCCGAGTAGCTGGGATTGCAGGCACCTGCCACCATGCCCGGCTAATTTTTGTGTTTTTAGTAGAAATGGGGTTTTACCATGTTGGCCAAGCTGGTCTCAAACTCCTGACTTTGTGATCTGCCCGCCTCAGCCTCCCAAAGTGCTGGGATTACAGGCATGAGCCACTGCATCTGGCTTAGGAAGATCTTGAGGCAGTGCCTGCCCAACCGTCCTTGAGTGAGGTGGTGCTACCCTTCTTTTTTTTTTTTTTTTTTTTTTCGAGATGGAGTCTTGTTCTGCCACTCAGACTGGAGTGCAGTGGTCCGATCTTGGCTCACTGCAACCTCCACCTCCTGGGTTCAAGTGATTCTCCTGCCTCAGCCTCCCAAGTAGCTGGGATTACAGGCACCTGCCACAATGCCCAGCTCATTTTTATAATTTTAGTACAGATGGGTTTTGCCATGTTGGCCAGCTGGTTTTAATCTCCTGAGCTCAGGTGATCTGCCTGCCTCAGCCTCCCAAAGCGCTGGAATTACAGATATGAGCCACCACGCCTGGCCTGCCCTTTCTTCTTCTTCTTTTTTTTTATGGAGTCTCATTCTGTCACCCAGGTTGGAGTGCAGTGGCACGATCTCAGCCCACTGCAACCTCCGCCTCCCGGGTTCAAGCAATTCTCCCTGCCTCAGCCTCCCGAGTAGCTGGGACTACAAGCGTCTGCCACCATGCCCGACTAATTTTTGTATTTTTAGTAGAGATGGGGTTTCACCATATTGGCCAGGCCGGTCTTGAACTCCTGACTTCGTGATCTGCCCTCCTTGGCCTCCCAAAGTGCTGGAATTACAGGCGTGAGCCATGGCACCTGGCCTTGTTCTTTCTTCTTTAAGCTCCTCCTCCTTACATCTCTAGTGCCCAGGGTAGAGTCTGAGCAGTGTCTGATGGAGGTTCTAGGCTTCAGGTCCACTTAGAGTCCTCTGCCCTTACAGAAGGAAGGTAGGCTTACCTGCCTCTTGGTCATTAGACGTTATTGAACACCTGCCTAGGGGTGGGCAATGTGCTGGGTCCTGGAGTTGTGGTGAGAATGTCTTGTATAAACCCAAGTCTTTGAAGAGTTGAATAGGCTTCCTTAGTCCATATTTGTGCATGTCCTGGTTTTTCCTGTGCCAGATTTGAGCTTTCTGCTTTCTGGAGCTGCCAGGCAGGGGTCTGTAGGTTGTGAAACATGGAACTGGGTTGGCCATTCTAGTGGAAGGAAGACTAGACAAGTTGTTCAGGAGGAATGGGCTTGACCTCTCAGGACCTGGTCATCCTTTTAGCTCATGTAGGGAGCTGTGGGAATGGCTTTGAATGGACTTTGTCATATGCTACTTTTGCAGATCCTCCTCAGATCTCTGTCCTTTTCCCATTTACTGCCTCTGTACTTTGTTCTTGGAGTCCACCTGCAGCCTGCAGCAGTTTAGGCTTTTGCAGGAATTAGGAGGAATGCTGACAGGTACAGTTGTGCCACTTTGATTCTGAAAAGAAAGTTTGGATACCCAGGGTCTGCAGTGAGGCAGGTTCTTCAGCCTGGGTCTGTGGAGCCCTGCCAGTGTGCAGCCTCACCCTGATTCTCCTGCTACTCTCTATAAGGAGAAACTTTAAAATTTTTTTGTATTTGTTTTAAAAAAATGGTTTTGAGATGGGGTCTTGCTATTTTACCCAGGCTGGTCTTGAACTCCTGGGCTCAAGTGATCCTCCCGTCTCAGCCTCCTGCGTACCTGAGATTATAGGCCCTGATACAGGCACTTCATTTGTTACTGAGAAGCTTATGACAAAGTAACAAAGTGATATTTATCTCTTTCCTTCATTCTCCAGAGGCAACTACTTTCAATTTTTTCAGTTGTTTATGCTGTTTCCACCTATCTACATAATATACATTTACTATTATATTTTATTTATTTATTTTTATTATTATTATTTTTTGTTTGAGACGGAGTTTTACTCTTGTTGCCCAGGCTGGAGTGCAATGGCGCGATCTCGGCTCACTGCAACCTCCGCCTCCCGGTTCAAGCGATCCTCCTGCCTCAGCCTCCTGAGTAGCTGGGATTACAGGCATGTGCCACCACGCCTGGCTAATTTTGTATTTTTAGTAGAAACAGGGTTTCTCCATGTTGGTCAGGCTGGTCTCGAACTCCCGACCTCAGGTGATCCGCCCGCCTTGGCCTCTGAAAGTGCTGGGATTACAGGCATGAGCCACCGCACCCGGCCATTACTATTATATTTTATACATTTTTATATTTTTTAGCTACCTATTTGTGGTACATTATTTTATATTTTAGCTCTTAGTCTCCCTATCCCCTCCTTCTGCCCTGCCCATCCATATGATTTTATCACCCTTTGTGGTTTAATCCAATTCACCATTTTCATGATTACAACTTTATATATATTTTTTCTCTTAAGTAAGTATGAAGTATGATGTGCATTCCATTCCTTGTGTAACTTCTTGTTTCCCTTGGGATTGGGTTAATAATTGTGTTAAATCTTTTGTTTTGTTTGTCTTTGAATCACTGTCTCTGTCATTCTGTACCCTAAATGCTCTGTAGTGTACCTTTCTGTTTGGTTTGCTACACACTGCCTAAGGAGTTATTTTCTGTTGTTCTAGTGTGTATTGTTTTGTTCTGTTTTTGTTTTAGTTTAGTTTTGTTTTTTTGAGATGGAATTTTGCTGTGTTGCCAGGCTGGAGTACAGTGGCACAATCTCGGCTCACTGCAACCTTTGCCTCCCAGGTTCAAGCGATTCTCATGCCTCAGCTCCTGAGTAGCTGGGATTACAGGCATGCACCACCACACCCAGCTAATTTTTGTATTTTTAGTAGAGGCGGGGTTTCACCATGTTGGCCATGATGGTCTTGATCTCCTACCTTGTGATCCGCCTGCCTTGGCCTCCCAAAGTGCTGGAATTACAGGCATGAGCTACTGCACCCAGCCTTGTTCTGTTTTTCTTGGAAACATCGCTTTTGGAGTCCTCTACTGCCCTGTGGACTGACTGCTTCCCAGGTCCACTGCACCCTGTGCCATCCTAGAAACGCATTTCATCTCTCTTGGACTGGCCCCCTGGTCTCCCAGGTCCTGAATCTTCCTCGTTTACCACCTTGTTTGGCAGGGTATTTATGTATGTATTTGTCTGTCTGTCTAATTATTTATTGGTTACCACATAATTCACTTTCTTTTTTTTTTTCTAGAGATGGGGTCTCACTCTGTCACCCAGGGTAGAGTACAGTGGCAAGGTCATAGCTCACTGCAGCCTTGAACTCCTTGGCTCAAGTTATTCTCCCAACTCAGCCTCCTGACTGCCTAGGACTACAGGCACACACCACCACGTCTGGCTAACTTTTATTTTTTATTTGTTTTTGTAGAGACAGGGTCTTGCTATGCTGCCCAGGCTCATCTTCCCTTTCATTACTAAACTGTGCTAGTGAAAATTGCTGTGCAGTTCTAACAAAAGTCCCATCTTAATACCTGGAAAATATAAAACATTTTCTTAATCACTTGTAATCTTACCCCAAAGAAGGTAGATCACGTTGTGTATCCTGTTTTGTAGCTTTTTTTTTTTTTTTTACTTAATAATCTCTTCTCATGTTATAATGTGATTTCTTGGCCATGTGACTCCATTTATGGAGTTTATAATTTGTCTTCTATTTGGCAGCTTTTGTTTTTTTCCCCAAAATTTTGGTACCTTATAAGTGCCTGAGGTTATTCTTTTTACACCTCTGAGTATTTCCCTAGAATAAATTCCTTGCAATAAATTTTCCACACAAAATATTTCCAGGTGAAAGGGTATGCTACATATTGGCAGATTGCTGGCCGGGTGCAGTGGCTTATGCCTATAATCCCAGCACTTTAATAGGCCAAGGCAGGAGGATCACTTGAGCCCAGGAGTTCGAGACCAGCTTGGGCAACATGGCAAAACCCTGTCTCTACAAAAAATACAAAAATTAGGTGGGCATGGTGGCGCACGCCTGTAGTCCCAGCTACTTGGGAGGCTGAGATGGGAGGATCACTTGAGCCCAGGGGATCAAGGCTGTGATGAGTTGTGATCGCACCACTGCACCCCAGCCTGGGCGACAGAGTGAGACCCTGTCTGAAAAAAAAAGCCCCCAAAACAAAAACAGATTGCCTTTGAGAATGGAAACTGCCTTCAGTTTCTCCAGCATAATAGGAAAATTATTTCTGATAAATGTGGGAGATTTTCTTCCATTTAAAGTTCTCCTTGCTTCAAGAAGAGGTGAAGGAAGCCACAGTTTGGAGGACACACTGCTTTCCTCTTTCAGTGATTTAAAAGGTGGTGGTGTCTGTAAACAGCTTCTGCTTCTGTGATTCCTTGCAGGGCATCACGGGGCTATATCGGGGAATGGCTGCCCCTATCATCGGGGTCACTCCCATGTTTGCCGTGTGCTTCTTTGGGTTTGGTTTGGGGAAGAAACTACAACAGAAACACCCAGAAGATGTGCTCAGGTGAGTACTTACAGGTCAGGAGCACTTGCTGTTCTGCCTGGTAGCGTGACATGGGTTAAAATAAAGAAACTTGGGCAGGGCGCGGTGGCTCATACCTGTAATCCTAGCACTTTGGGAGACTGAGGCGGGTGGATCACCTGAGGTCAGGAGGTCGAGTCCAGCTTGGCCAACATGGCAAAACCCTGTCTCTACTAAAAATACAAAAAAATTAGCTGGGTGTTGTGGCAGGCGCCTGTAGTCCCAGCTACTTGGAAGGCCGAGGCAGGAGAATCGCTTGAACTTGGGAGGCAAGAGGTTGCAGTGAGCCGAGATGGCACCACTGCACTCCAACCTGAGCAACGGAGCAAGACTCCATCTCAAAAAAAAAAAAAAAAAAAAGGACCTTGGTGGGTCTTCCTGGGCCCCTAGGCCTGACTCCTGGGAGTTTTTTTTTTCTTTCTTTTTTGAGACAGAGTTTTGCTCTTTTTGCCCAGGCTGGAGTGCAATGGCACAATCTCGGCTCACTGCAACCTCCGCCTCCCAGGTACAAGCAATTCTCCTGTCTTAGCCTCCCAAGTAGCTCGGATTACAGGCATGCACCACCACACCTGGCTAATTTTTTTGTGTGTTTAGTAGAGAGGGGGTTTCACCACATTAGGCTGGTCACGATCTCCTGACCCCAGGTGATCCACCCGCCTCGGCCTCCCAAAGTGCTGGGATTTCAGGCGTGTGCCACTGTGCCTGGCCCAACTCCTGGGAGTTATACATGAAGGAGTACTTGAGTTTTTAATTTTTTTAATTTTAAATTTTTTTTTGTTTGTTCGAGACTGAGTCTTGCTCTGTCGCCCAGGCTGGAGTGCAGTGGCGCAATCTCGGCTCACTGTAAGCTCCACATCCCAGGTTCACACCATTCTCCTGCCTCAGCCTTCCAACTAGCTGGGACTATAGGCACCCGCCACCACGCCCGGCTAATTTTTTTTTTTTTTGTATTTTTAGTAGAGACGGGGTTTCGCCGTGTTAGCCAGGATGGTCTCGATCTCCTGACCTCGTGATCCGCCCCCTTTGGCCCCCCAAAGTGCTGGGATTACAGGCATAAGCCACTGTGCCCAGCCCAAGTACTTGAGTTTTTGAGATGGGGTCTTTCTTTGTCACCCAGGCTGGAATGCAGTGGTGCAATCACGACTCACTGTAACCTTGAACTCCTGGGCTCAAGTGATTCTTCTGCCTCAGCCCCCCAAGTAGCTGGGACTACAGGCACACACCATCACTCTGGGCTAATTTTTAAATTTTTTTTAGCAATGGTCGGTGTGTGTGTGTCGGGGCGGCGGGGGGTGCTCTCATTATCTTGCCCAGGCTGGTCTTGAACTCCTGGAGCCAAGCAATTCTCTTGCCTTGGCCTCCCACAGTGCTAGGATTACAGGTGTAAGCCACCACACCTGACCAGTTTTTCGTATTTCTTTTATAAGGTAGTATCAATTACTGGAGAGATTTGTAATACCAACCCCAGGAGGCTGTTGAGAGGTCTGAATGCTTAAATATATGTGACATGTCATAGGCAGCACCTGGTGCTGCCCTAAAGACAAGAACAGCCTTGCTTTCTATCACCTGATTGAGAGAAGAGAAGGTTCCAACTTTTGTTGTGCTTCATTTTTACAGCATGCTAATATGACTATAAAGATTTCAGGTATTAGTTTCTCTGTTAAAGTGGAATAAGTTAATGTGTTTTCCTTTAATAAACTTTAAGAAGTTGGATTTGGGTATGAAGAGTCACCTGAGACAGAATTATAGTTCAGAATTTACAAAGTAGTTAATGAAAACAGAGGCTTCTCAGGAGGCAGGGAAATTCTGAGTGGAAATATTGGGTGAAAAGGTATCCACAATCTGAGCTGTGCAGGATGCCAGCCCCTGGGAGGGGCTATAGGCAGTACAGGAGCCACAGAGGCTGGCCTGCCCTCAGATCCAGGAGCTCAAGGGAGGAAGCCCAGGGCGCCATGCGGTTGTATTCTGTCACCACTTCAGGCCACAGCAGGCTGAGTGAGGGTCTAGGATGTAGATGGAGGTGCTTGTAGAGTGAAACTCTATTTCTGGGATCCTTATGACTCTCTGAATGTCCCTAGATTCTATAAATAGCTGCAAGTGTCCTGAAATGTGGATGGGGTTGTTTTGGAGCTGCATTTGCCCATTGATAGTCCTTGTGTCCCACAGACACATGCCCTCTTTGAGCGCCTGGTCTTTTAGCATGTGTGCCAGCTCACGGATGTATCAGGGCCATGCATGACCCCCGTGGGGTCACTTCTGGTACTTTGGACTATGGGCTGTGTTCCTGTACAGTCACATCAGCACTCAGAAAAACAGTCTTCCTGACTGAACAAAGTTAAGACACTCAGGACCCCACTCCCACAATCCTGTCAGCCCTGCTGTGTTCACCTCCCTGGAATGGTGTTTGGGGGTGATATGGAAAGGAGTGTTACCAGGGCCTTGGGGTGGAAGTCCAGGAGAGTCTAGCTCTCAAAGATGCCTCCCTGGGATGGAGATGGGGGTGGGGAGTGGGAGAATAGGCCAGGCAGCCATTGAGTGTCCACATGACACCCTGTGCACACACAGAGATCCTATTCAGAGACAGTCTCCAGTCCCAAGAGATGAGGTTTGCTGAGCCTAGGGTTGGGCATTATGGGGAAAATGGAACATGTTGGTCTCATAGGGAGAATTTAGTTGCTGAGAGGACTCCTCAGGGATAGCCATGTGAACTGGGACTGTGAAGATGGCCGTGTTGGAAAGCAAGTCTCTTGACTGTTTGACAGTCAGCTTGGCTGTGTGCCTGAGGTAGATGCATGAGCCCTGCCTGGGGTGAATGCAGGGAGAAATCGCGCTGTTGAAACTGGTGCCCTGCCTGGAGTGAACTCTTTACAGTGGATGTCCCTCTAGCCCCATTTGGCATCTGTTCATAAGCTCCTTGTTGGATGGGACTGACCTGAAGGCTCAGTTGTTGGAGGCTTGGGGTCAAGAGTGCACCGAAGCTTAGGACAGTAGGTGAAGTTTTTCAGTAACATTTGCTAAGTTGTGGAACTCTGTTGAAATGCTAAATGTAACTTTGTGCCCCATTGCCTCCAAACCGTGCTGGTATTGCTAATCCCAGAAAGAAAAGGAGGTAGCCAGGCACAGTGGCTCACACCTGTAATTCCAGCACTTTGGGAGGCCAAGGCAGGAGGATCACTTGAGCCCAGGAGTTTGAGACCAACCTGGGCAACATGGCGAAACTCTGTCTCTACAAAAATGCAAAAATTAGCCCGGCTTGCCTGTAGTCCCAGCTACTCAGGAGGTTGAGGTGGGAAGGTCACTTGAGCCCAGGAGATGGAGGTTGCAGTGAGCTGAGATTGCACCACTGCACTCCAGCCTGGGCAACAGAGCAAGACCCTGTTTCAAAAAAAAAAAAAAAAAAAAAAGCCGGGCACAGTGGCTCATGCTGTAACCCTAGCACTCTGGGAGGCCGAAGTGGGTGGATCACTTGAGGTCAGGAGTTCGAGACCATCTTAGCTAACATAGTGAAACTCCGTCTCTACTAAAAATACAAAAATTAGCTGGGTGTGGTGGCAGGTTCCTGTAATCCCAGCTACTCGGGAGCTGAGGCAGGAGAATCATTTGAACCCAGGAGGTGGAGGTTGCACCGAGATCGCTTCACTGCACTCCAGCCTGGGGACAGAGTGAGACCGTGTCTCAAAACAAACACAAACAAACAAAAAGACGAAAGAAAAGAAAAGAAAGGGAGATGCCAGAGGTGGCACAGACAGCTGTGGGTGATAGATGGTAGGAGCCTCAGACTGCTCTTTATACTCAGGGTTGTTCATTCTGTGGGGGCCAGAGTGAAGACCCATACCTCTTGACACTGGGGGACTATTTCCCTGTACAGGGTCCACAGGACCTGTCATGCCTGCCTGGGTATCATCCCTGTCTGGTCCTTTCTCAGCGTCTTACAGCACGTTGCATGCAGTTGCCTTGGCTATCCCTTAGCCTTTAGAGGTGGCCACAGCCATCCTCCTTGGCCTTGAAGCTGTCCTGCTTGAATCTTGGCTTAGAGTGTTCTCAGGCCCTTGGTAATCCAGGGGAAGTGAGACTGGAGGGGAACTACTGGGGGAGATTAAAGTCCAGATCCTGGGTTAGAGACTTCCCCCACAAAAACCCCAGCATGTTAACTAGGGAGAATTGAGGCTCAGAGAGGCCTGGAAACTTGTCCATAGTCACTGTGCCTGGCAGGCGCATGGATGGAAGCCATGTTTTACTATATAAAACTTCTCTTACAGGTGAGGGATTCTGAGCGTGTACCACATGGGGTGGGCCTTGTGGCCAGACTCCCATTGCTCTTGCCACTGAGACCCTTGCTCTGGGAAATTTGACATTAAAATATACCTAGAACTGAGTTTTTGTGCGAAATCTGATTCATTTGTGGCTAGGCTTCTACCCAGTCCAAGTACTTATTTTTTTTCTTACAAAACTGTCCTCTTTGCTGGGATTGGCCTCTGTCCTCGGTGGTTAGTCACAGGTGCTTGCTTCTGCTTTTTGTTTTCAATGCAGCTATCCCCAGCTTTTTGCAGCTGGGATGTTATCTGGCGTATTCACCACAGGAATCATGACTCCTGGAGAACGGATCAAGTGCTTATTACAGGTAAGGTTGTGATTGGAGGGGAAATAGCTTTTTCCTTTCAGTTTATAATTTCGTGTGCATGTTTATGTCCTTTCACCCTTAATAAAGGCTTCAGGACTGGGTGCAGTGGCTCACACCTGTAATCCTAGCACTTTGGGAGACCAAGGTGTGAGGATTGCCTGAGCCCATGAGTTAAAGACCAGCCTGGGGGCCAGGTGCAGTGGTTTACGCCTGTAATCCCAGCACTTTGGGAGCCGAGGAGGATGGATCACTTGAGGTCAGGAGTTTGAGACCAGCCTGGCCAACATGGTGAAACCCCGTCTCTACTAAAAATACAAAAATTAGCCAGGTATAGTGGTGGGCACCTGTAATCCCAGCTACTTGGGAGGCTGAGGCAGGAGAATCACTTGAACCCGGGAGACAGGTTGCAGTGAGCTGTGTCACGCCACTGCACTGCAGCCTGGGCATGAGAGCAAGACTCTGTCTCAAAAAAACAAAACCAAAACAAAACAAAACCAAAAACCAGCCTGGGCAACATAGTGGGATCCCATCTCTACAAATTTTTTTTTTTTTTTTTTTGAGATGGGGTCTTGCTGTGTTTCGCAGGCTGGAGTGCAGTGGCACGATCTTGGCTAACTGCAACCTCCACCTCCCGGATTCAAGTGATTCTCCTGCCTCAGCCTCCTGAGTAGACGAGATTGCAGGCGCCTGCCACCATGCCAGGCTAATTTTTATATTTTTAGTAGAGACAGGGCTTTGCCATGTTGGTCAGGCTGGTCTTGAACTCCTGACCTCCAGTGATCCACCTGCCTCGGCCTCTGAAAGTGTTGGGATAACAGGTGTGAGCCACCACGCCCAGCCCCAAAAATTTTTTAAAATTAGCTGGACTTGGTGGTGTGCATCTGTGGTCCCAGCTACTCAGGAGGCTAAGGTGGGAGGATCACTTGAGCCTGGATTGTTGAGGCTGCACTGAGCCATGATTGTGCCACTGCACTTCAGTCTGGGTGACAGAGTGAGACCCTGTCTCAAATAAACGTAAAGTCTTCACATCCGGTGTACAAAACAATTTATATATATACATATATATATATATATATATATATATTTTTTTTTTTTGTGGAGATGGAGTCTCGCTCTGTCGCCAGGCTGGAGTACAGTGGCATGATCTTGGCTCACTGCAACCTCTGCCTCCCGGGTTCAAGCGATTCTCCTGCCTCAGCCTCCTGAGTAGCTGGGACCACAGGCATGTGCCACCACGCCCACCTAATTTTTGTATTTTTAGTAGAGATGGGGTTTCAACATGTTGGCCAGGATGGTCTCTATCTCTTAACCTTGTGATCTGCCCGCCTCAGCCTCCCAAAGTTCTGGGATTACAGGCGTAAGCCACCGCGCCTGGACTATTTCAAGGTTTTCAGAAACAAAAGCAATCGTAGTAGAATCAAGAACTAGTACATTATAACAAACCAACAAAAATGTCACAAGTGTAACGCGTCAGCCTGGGCCTACCCACCCTTATTAGCAACCATTTCAGGAACTCTGAAAGGTGAGTCATGTCTTAACAAATTTAGAACGGAGGCTGCTTCTGCCTGAGATGTCATGTCTTTCTTTTTTTTCTTTCTCTTTTCTTTTCTTTCTTTATTTCTTTTTTTTTGAGACAGAGTCTTGCTCTGTTGCCAGGCTGGAATGCAGTGGCATGATCTCAGATTATTGCAACCTCCGCCTCCTGGGTTCCAGCTATTCCCCTGCCTCAGCCTCCTGAATAGCTGAGACTACAGGTGTGCGCCACCACGCCCAGCTAATTTTTTGTATTTTAGTAGAGACGGGGTTTCACCATGTTGGCCAGGATGGTTTCGATCTCCTGACCTTGTGACCCACCCACCTCGGCCTCCCAAAGTGCTGGGATTACAGGAGTGAGCCACCGTGCCCAACCCTCTTTTCTTTTTTTCCTGTATTTTTGGAGATAGAATTTCGCTCTTGTTGCCCAGGCTGGAGTGCAGTGGCGCCATTGCACTCCTTGGCTCACCGCAACCTCCGCCTCTTGGGTTCAAGCAATTCTTCTGCCTTAGCCTCCTGAATCGCTGGGATTACAGGCATGCGCCACCATGCTCTGCTAATTTTGTATTTTTAGTAGAGATGGGGTTTCTCCATATTGGTCAGGCTGGTCTCGAATTCCTGACCTCAGGTGATCCGCCTGACTCAGCCTCCCAAAGTGTTGGGATTACAGGAGTGAGCCACTGTGCCTGGCCTGTGAGCCACCGTGCCTGGCCTCTTTTCTATTTTTTTGAGACAGGGTCTCACTCTGTTGCCTAGACTGGAGTGCAGTGGTATGATTTCGGCTCACTGCAACCTCTGCCTCCTGGCTTCAAGCGATTCTCCTGCCTCAGCCTCCCTAGTAGGTGGGACTACAGGCGCCCACCACCACGCCTGGCTAATTTTTGTATTTTTAATGGAGACAGGATTTTGCCATGTTGATCAGGGTGGTCTTGAGCTCCTGACCTGAGGTGATCCACCCACCATGGCCTCCCAAAGTGCTGGGGATACAGGCATGATCCACTGTGCTCAGCCATGTGTTTCTAACATTTGTCCAGAATCTCAGAGCCCTTAGAGTGTAATCATTTCTATAATTTTTTTTAAATTTTAAAAATATTATATGAGACCAAATGCAGTGGCTCATGCCTGTAATCCCAGCACTTTGGGAGGTCGAGGCGGGTGGATCACTAAGGTCAGGAGTTCGAGACCAGCCTGACCAACATGGTGAAACCCCGTCTCTACTAAAAATACAAAAATTAGCCAGGAGTGGTGGTGCATGCTTGTAATCCCAGCTACTCGGGAGGCTGAGGCAGGAGAATCACTTGAATCCAGGAGGTGGAGTTTTCAGTGAGCCAAGATTGTGCTATTGCACTCCAGCCTGAGCAACAAGAGTGAAACTCCATCTCAAAAACAAAAAGAAAAACAAAACAAAACAGAAAAACAATGTTATATGAATGGAATTGTACAGTATGTAAAGTCTTTGGATTGGCTTTTTTTTTTTTTTTTGAGATGGAGTCTTGCTCTTGTTGCTCAGGCTGGAGATCAGTGGCACGATCTCAGCTCACTGCCACCTCTTCCCCCTGGGTTCAAGTGATTCTCCTGCCTCAGCCTCCCCAGTAGCTGAGATTACAGCGCTTGCCACCACGTCTGACTAATTTTTGTATTTTTAGTAGAGATGGGCTTGCACCATGTTGGCCAGGCTGGTCTCAAACTCCTGACCTCAGGTGATCCACCCACCTCGGCATCCCAGAGTGCTGGGATTATAGGCGTGAGCCACTGTGCCTGGCCTGGATTGGCTTTAAAATTTTTTTTATTTATTTCTTTATTTTTGAGACAGGGTCTGGCTGTCTGTCACCCAGTCTCTGTAGTGCAGTGGCTGGATTCAGCACACTGCAATCTCTGCCTCCTGAGATGAAGCCATTCTTACCTCAGGCTCCTGAGTATCTGAGACTACAGGTGTGCATCACCATGCCCTGCTAGTTTTGTTTATTTTTTTAGAGATGGGGTTTTACCACGTTGCCCAGGCTGGCCTTGAAACTCCTGAGCTCAAGCGATCTGTCTGCCTTGGCCTCCCAACGTGCTGGGATTACAGGCATGAGCCATCATGCCCAGCATGGACTGGATTTTAAACTCAGCATTGGCCAGGCACAGTGGCTCACACCTGTAATCCCAGCAGTTTGTGAGGCCAAGGCAGGTTGATCACCTGAGGTCAGCAGTTTGAGACCTGCTTGGCCTATATGGAGAAACCCCGTCTCTACCAAAAATACAAAAATTAGCCAGGTATGGTTGTGCACGCCTGTAATCCCAGCTACTCGGGAGGCTGAGGCACGAGAATTGCTTGAACCTGGGAGGCAGAGGCTGCAGTGAGCCAAGATCGTGCCACTGCACTCTAGCCTGGGTGACAAAGCGAAAAACTAAATCAAAAAATAAATTAAAAAATAAATAAATAGGCTGGGTGCGGTGGCTCACGCCAGTAATCCCAGCACTTTAGGAGGCCGAGGGGGTGGATCACGAGGTCAGGAGTTCAAGACCAGCCTGGCCAAGATGGTGAAATCCTGTCTCTACGAAAAATACAAAAATTAGCCAGGTGTGGTAGCAGGCGTCTGTAATCCCAGCTACTTGGGAGCCTGAGGCAGAGAATTGCTTGAACCCGGGAGGTGAAGGTTGCAGTGAGCCGAGATTGCACCACTGCACTCCAGCCTGGGCAACAGAGCAAGACTCTGTCTCAAAAATAAATAAATTAATTAAATAAATAAACTCAGTATAATTTTTTTTTTTTTTTTTTCTGAGACAGAGTCTCGTTCAGTTGCCCAGGCTGGAGTGCAGTGGCACGATCTTGGTTCACTGCAACCTCCGCCTCCTGGTTTCAAGAGATCCTCCTGCCTCAGCCTCCCGTGGGATTACAGGCATGCACCCGCAAGCCTGGCTAATTTTTGTATTTTTAGTAGAGATGGGGGCTGTGGTGGTGGTGGGGGGGTCTCACCATGTTGGCCAGCCTGGTCTTGAACTCCTGACCTTAAGTGATCCTCCTGCCTCTGCCTCCCAAAATGCTGAGATTACAGGTGTGAGCCACCATGCCCAGCCCTCAGCATAATTTTCTAGAGATTCATTCGTATTATCACATATATGAATACTGCATTCATTTTTATTGCTGAATAGTAGTCATGGTATGGATTATCATAATTTAACTATTCTTCCACCTAACAGCATCTGTGTTGTTTTTAGTTTGAGGTTTTTAGGAATAAAGATGCCATAAACATTTGTACACAGAGGCTTTTGTCAGAAAGTAAGTCTTCATTTCTCCATTTCTCTGGGATAAATGCCTAGGAATGCAATTGTTGAGTTTTACTGTAGTTGTATCTCTAGTTTAGTTTTTTTTTTTTTGGACAAGGTCTCACAGTGTTGCCTAGACTGGAGTGCAGTGGTGTGATCATAGCACAATGTAACCTTGATCTCCTGGGCTCAAGTGATCCTCCTGCCTCAGCCTCCCAAGTAGCTGGGATGACAGGTGTGTTCCTCCATGCCAGGTTAATTTTTTATTTTTATTTATTTATTTAGAGATGGAGTCTTGCTCTGTCGCCCAAGTTGGAGTACAGTGGCACAATCTCAGTTTACCACAACCTCCTCCTCCTGGGTTCAAGCGATTCTCCTGCCTCAGCCTCCCAGGTAGCTGGGATTACAGGCATGCGCCATCATGCCTGGCTAATTTTTGTATTTTTAGTAGAGACAAGGTTTTGCCATGTTGGCCAGGCTGGTCTTGAACTCCTGACCTCAGGTGATTCACCCGCCTCCTCGGCCTCCCAAAGTGCTGGGATTATAGGAATGAGCCATCATGCTCGCCCTAAGTCTAAGAATTCTTTTTTTTTTTTTTTTTTTTTTTGAGATGGAGTCTTGCTCTGTCGCCCAGGCTGGAGTGCAGTAGCGCAATCTCAGCTCGCTGCAAGCTCCGCCTCCCGGGTTCACGCCATTCTCCTGCCTCAGCCTCCCGAGTAGCTGGGACTACAGGCGCCTGCCACCGTGCCCGGCTAATTTTTTGTATTTTTTTAGTAGAGACGGGGTTTCACCGTGATCTCGATCTCCTGACCTCGTGATCCGCCCACCTCCGCCTCCCAAAGTGCTGGGATTATAGGCGTGAGCCACTGCGCCTGGCCAGTCTGAGAATTCTTTACTTAAACCTAGATCCTGAAGATTTTCTTGTTTTTTTTTTTACAAGTTTTATTTTATTTTATTTGTTTTTTTTAAGGCATTATCTCACTCCGTTGCCCAGGCTGGAGTGCGGTGGTGCGATCTCTCCTCACTGCAGCCTCTGCCTCCTGGGTTCATGCCATTCTCCTGCTTCAGCCACCCAGGTAGCTGGGACTACTGGCACACACCACCACGCCCAGCTCATTTTTGTATTTGCAGTAGAGACGGGGTTTCACCATGTTGGGCAGGATGGTCTCGATCTCCTGACCTCGTGATCCCCCCTCCTTGGCCTCCCAAAGTGCTGGGATTATAGGCATAAGCCACTGCGCCCAGCCGCCAGTCCGGTCTTGAACTGGCCTCAAGCGATCCACCTGCCTTGGCCTCCCAAAGTGGTAGGACTACAGGCGTGAGCCACCACGCCTGGCATATTTTATTTTTTTGAGACGGAGTCTTGCTCTGTTGCCCAGGCTGGAGGGCAGTGGCGTGATCTTGGCCCATTACAACCCCTGCCTCCCAGATTCAAGCGATTCTCCTGCCTCAGCCTCCCCAGTAGCTGGGATTATAGGCACACACCACCACACCCAGCTAGTTTTTGTATTTTTAGTAGAGACAGGGTTTTACCATGTTGGCCAGGCTGGTCTCCAACTCCTGACCTCAGGTGATTTGCCCATCTCGGCCTCCCAAAGTGCTGGGATTATAGACATGAGCCACCGTACCCGGGCCTTCTATAGGTTTTATTTATCATTTTATGTTTTACATTCAAGCCTGTGACCTCATTTGAGTCAATTTGTTTTTGTTTTTGAGACAAGGTGTTACTCTATTGCCCAGGCTGAAGTGCAGTGGTAAAATCATGGCTCTCTGCAGCCTCAGCATCCTGGGCTCAAACAGTTCTTCTGCCTCAGCCTCCTGAGTAGCTGGGATTACAGGCATGTGCCACCAAAAACAGCTAATTAAACACCTTTTTTTTTTTTTTTTTGTAAGGATGGGGTCTTGCCATGTTGCTCAGGCTAACTTCGAACTCCTGGGCTCAAGCATTCCTCCTGCCTTGGCCTCCCAAAGTGCTGGGATTACAGGTGTGAGCAACCACGCCTGACCAATTTTTGTATAATATATGAGTAGTAGGACAGAGTTCTTTTTTTTTTCTTTTACCTTTGACCTCCGCTTATATCATTTATTGAAAAGACTGTCTTCATTCCACTGAACTGTGTTTGCACCTTTTAAAAAATCAACTGGGGGCCGGGCATGGTGGCTCATACCTGTAATCCCAGCACCTTGGGAGGCCAGGATGGGTGGATCACTTGAGGTCAGGAATTTGAGATCAGCCTGGCCAACATGGTAAAACCCTGGCTTTACTAAAAATACAAAATTATCCAGGCATGGTGGCGTGCACCTGTAATCCCAGTTACTCGGGAGGTTGAGGCAGGAGAATTGCATGAACCTGAGAGGTGGAGGTTGCAGTGAGCCAAGATTGTGCCACTGCACTCCAGCCTGGGCAACAGAGCAATACTGTCTTAAAAAAAAAAAATCATTGGGCAGGCCAGGCAGAGTGGCTCACACCTGTGATCCCAGGACTTTGAGAGGCCAAGGGTGGTGGATTGCTTGAGCCCATGAGGCTGAGACCAGCTTGTGTGGCACGGCAAAACCCCATCTCTAAAAAAAAAAAAAAAAAAAAAAAAAAAAATTAGCTGGGCATGGTGGTATGCACCTGTAGTCCCAGCTACTTGCGGGTGGTGAGGTGTGAGGATCAGCCCAGGAAGTTAAGGCTGCAGTGAGTGAGGATTGTGCCACTGCACTAAACCCTGGGTGACGGAGTGAGACCCCGTCTCAAAAAAACGAATCAATTGGACATATTTGTGTGATTTGTTTCTCTCTCTCTCTTTTTTTTTTTTTTTTTTGAGATGGAGTTTCGCTCTTTGTTGCCCAGGCTGGAGTGCAATGGTGCGATCTTGGCTCACCACAACCTCTGCCTCCCGGGTTCAAGCGATTCTCCTGCCTCAGTCTCCTGAGTAGCTGGGATTACAGGCACGCGCCACCATGCCCGGCTAATTTTGTATTCTTAGAAGAGATGGGGTTTCTCCACATTGGTCAGGCTGGTCTCGAACTCCCTACTTCAGGTGATCCGCCCACCTCAGCCTCCCAAAGTGCTGGGATTACAGGCGTGAGTCACTGCGCCCAGCCTTGTTTCTCTATTCTACTCCATTTATCTATATGTCTATCTCTTCACCAACACCACACAGTCTTGATAACTATAGCTGTGTATAATAAACCTTGAAATTCAACAGACTTATTCCTCCCACTTGATTCTCTTTTTTTTTTTTTTAAATTGTTCCAGCCTCCTAGAACAATTTTCTACTCCTTTGTCTTTCCACGTAAATTGTAGGATAATTTAGAAAATTTAGAAAAATCTTGGTGAGATTTTGATAGGAATTATGTTAAACGTACAGATCAATTCGGGCAGAATTGACACCTTTATTATTTTGAATCCTCCAATCCAGGAAGAATGGTATATCTTTCCATTTATTTAAAAATCCAATTTCTGGCCGGGCATGGTGGCTCACGCTTGTAATCCCAGCATTTTGAGAAGCTGAGGCAGGTGGATCACATGAGGCCAGGAGTTTGAGACCAGCCTGGCCAATATGGCAAAACCCCGTGTCTAATAAAAATACAAAAATTAGCCGTGCATGGTGGTGCAGGCCTGTAATCCCAGCTACTCTGGTGGCTGAGGCACAAGAATCACTTAACCCGGGAGGTGGAGGTTGCAGTGAGCTGAGATCACGCCACTGCACTACTGCACTCCGGCCTGGATTATAGAGTAAGACCCTGTCTCAAAAAAAAAAAAAAAAAAAAAATCTGATTCCTGGCCAAGCTTGGTGGCCTATCATCCTAGCGCTTTGGGAGGCCAAGGCAGGTGGATCGCTTGGGCTCAGGTGTTTGAGACCAGCCTGGGCAATATAGCGAAACCCCATCTCTTAAAAAAAAAAAATTAGCTGGGCATGGTGTTGCGTGCCTGTAGTCCCAGCTACGTGGTGGGCTAGGGCAGGAAGACAGCTTGAACCCAGGAGATGACAAAGTCGAGATACTGTCTCAAAAAAAAAAAAAAAAAAAGAAAAAGAAAAATTTGATTTCTTTCATCAGCATTGTGTAGTTTTCAGGTTTTCTTACATTTACACCTAAGTGTTTCTTTTTCTGTTTGCCTTGTAAAATGGTGTTGTAAATGATATTATAATTTTATTTGGTTGTCCACATGTTCATTGCTTGTTTGGGAAACACGATTGATTTTTGTATAATCTTGTATTCTACAACCTTTCTGAACTTCCTTACTGCAACCTCCGCCTCCTGGGTTCAAGCAACTCTCCTGCCTCATCCTCCCGCGTAGCTGGGACTACAGGTTCATGCCATCACCCTTGGCTAATTTTTGTATTTTTTGGTAGAGATTGGGTTTCACCATGTTGGCCAGGCTGGTCTCAAATTCCTGACCTCAAGTGATCCGTCTGCCTCGGCCTCCCAAAGTGCTGGGATTATAGGCGAGAGCCACCATGCCAAGCCTATTTCCTTTTTTTTAAGACAATGCCTGGACTAAAGTGCAGAGACATGCATCACAGCTAACTGTAGCTTGATCTCCCAGGCTCAAGCGATCCTCTCACCTAGCCCCTGGGTAGCTGGGCCTACAGACATGTATCACCACACCTGGCTAATTTTTTAGTTTTTTGTAGAGACAGGCTCTTCCTTTGTTACCCAGGCTGGTCTCAAACTCCTGGGATCAAGCAATCTGCCTACCTTGGCCTCCCCAAGTGCTAGAATTACAGGTATGAGCCACCATGCCTGGCTTCTTTTCTTCTTTCTCTTTTTTCTAGAGACAGAGTCTCACCCTGCTGCATGGCTGGAGTGTAGTGGTCTGATAACGGCTTACTGCATCCTGAAACTCTGGGGTTCAAATGATCTTCCTGCCTCAGCCTCCTATTAGCTGGGACTACAGGTGTCACCCGGCCTGGCTAACTTTTTGTAGAAATGGGGTCTTGCTTAATTGCCCTCGCTGATCTCCAACTCCTGGGATCAAGTGATCCTCCCACCTTGACCTCCCAGAACGCTAGGATTATAGCCATGAGCCACTGTACCTGGCCTATTTAAAAAAAAGGTTTTTCGGCCGGGCACAGTGGCTCATGCCTGTAATCCCACTTTGGGAGGCTGAGGTGGGCATATCACCTGAGGTTGGTCACCTCAATCTCCTGACCTCGTGATCCAGCTGCCTTCGCCTCCCAAAGTGCTGGGAGTACAGGTGTGAGCCACCGTGCCCAGCCAAAAAATTTTTTTCAAGCATGTTCATAATTGCTCATTGAAGGATTTTTATCATGGCTGCTTTAAAATCTTTGTCAGATAATTCTAATGTCTCTGACATCTTGGTGTTGGCAAATATTGCTAGTCTTTTTTTCTTTCAGTTTGAGGTCTTCCTTGTTTTGAATATGACAAGTGATTTTTCAATTGCAACCTGGATATTTACATATTGAGTTGAGGGTTTTTCTGATACTGCTCCAGCAGGAAGGGAAGGATGCAGCCTCATTACAGCTAGGTGGAGGTAGAAATCAAGGTTCCTATTTGGCCTCTGTTGACACCTGACGATGGGGTGCTCATTTTTATTGCTAAGTAAGTGTGGGAGTTCCAGTGTGTCCACTAGCACTCTAGGGTGGCAAGGTGCTGGTACCAGCTGTCAGGGATGCAAGTCCTAATTCCTTTTTTTAAAATTTAATTTATTTTTAAACAGAAGGGTGCAGGGCTGCACAAGGCCTTGGCTGCAGCCCTTCCCCTAATTTCTTACTTGGCTTTCTCTGACTCCACGCTGGTAACATGTTGGGTACTTCATTACAACTCCATAAAGGTGAAAGTCTATGCTTCCCACTAAGTCTTTGCTGGTGTGGGTGGGGGCCACAGCTTTTTAAATGGTGTTTGGCTGGAGTAGAGGACCTTTCCTGGTCCTTTTTGTAGAGAATGCATGCTTTTGTTGGGGCTTCTTTTTGGTTTGTACCTTTTGATATTTTTGGATTGTCAGCTTTTTCAGCTGACATATGCAGGGTAAAAGGAAAACCCAAGGAACTCACCACTATCTCATTCCTCAGGTCCCAAGGTTTCTCTGCTGCCGTTGGTCCAAACTTTCAGACCCTTCATATGTTTATTTTAAATATAACATCCAGAGTTTTTTGGTTGTAGTTAGCAGGAGGAATAGGGAAAAGTACATCTACTCCATCTTCCCAGAAGTAGAAGTCTATCTATTGATTTTGACCTAGGGAATGTTTGTGTTCAGTGGCTTTGTCCATCGCTCTTTTCCCTTATGGCTTCTTCCATTTTGTCTATGCCTGAAGTCCTTTTCTACTCCTACATCAGACATTCACTTAGTCCTACTCTTTTCTTACACCCTCCTACTCTGCTGTGTGACCGCTTCGTACCTCTCCTCTTCTCAACCCCCCACCTTCTCAGTGGATGAGCTGGTTTCTGACTTCACTGAGAAAATGGAAACCATCAGAAGAGGATTTCACCAGATGCCTTCTGCTACCTCCATGTACCTACCTGCTGCCGCCCTGCTTGTTTCTTTTCTTTTCTTTTTTTTTTTAGATGGAGTTTTTGCTCTTGTTGCCTAGGCTGGAGTGCAGTGGCGCCATCTCGGCTCACCGCAACCTCCGCCTCCCAGGTTCAAGTAATTCTCCTGCCGCAGCCTCCCGAGTAGCCGGGATTACAGGCATGCACCTCCACGCCTGGCTAATTTTTGTATTTTTAGTAGAGACGGGGTTTCTCCATGTTGGTCAGGCTGGTCTCGAACTCCTGACCTCAGGTGGTCCGCCTGCCTCGGTCTCCCAAAGTGTTGGGATTACAGGCATGAGCCACCATGCCCGGCCACCCTGCTTGTTTCTACCAAGGATGGCCTGTGCTTCCGCTTGATCCCAGGCCTCTTTGTGCACTGGATCCCATCTCCTCTTGCCCAGCCACAGACATTATTTGTTTTTGTTTTTTTTTTTTCCCTCAGCCACTGACATCAGTTTTTGCTCTCCACTTGATCATTCTCATCAGGAATAAAGGCATAAACATGCTTGCATTTTTCATCTTAAAAATACAAACTTTGGGCTGGGTGCGGTGGCTCACGCCTGTAATCCCAGGACTTTGGGAGGCCATGGTGAGTGGATCACCTGAGGTTAGGAGTTCAAGACCAGCCAGACCAATATGGAGAAACCCCATCTCTACTAAAAATACAAAAAAAAAAAAAAATTACCCAGGCATGGTGGCGCATCCTGTAATCCCAGCTACTTGGGAGGCTGAGGCAGGAGAATCACTTGAATCCGGGAGGCAGAGGTTGTGGTGAACCGAGATCTCGCCACTGCACTCCAGCCTGGGCAACAAGAGCGAAACTCCATCTCAAAAAAGAAAACAAAAACAAACTTTGGGCACAGTGGCTCACACCTATAATCTCAGCACTTTTGGAAGCTGAGGTATATGGATCACCCAAGCCCAGGAGTTTGAGACCAGCCTGGGCAACATGGCAAAACCCCATCTCTACAAAAAAATACAAAAATTAGCCATTCATGGGCCAGGCGCGGTGGCTCACACCTGTAATCCCAGCACTTTGGGTGGCCGAGGCGGGTGAATCATCTGAGGTCAGGAGTTCAAGACCAGCCTGGCCAAAATGATGAAACCCCATCTCTACTAAAAATACAAGAAATTAGCCAGGCATGGTGGCAGGTGCCTGTAATCCCAGCTACTCGGGAGTCTGAGACAGGAGAATTGCTTGAACCTGGGAGGCAGAGGTTGCCGTGAGTCGAGATCGCGCCATTGCACTCCAGTCTGGGCTAGAAGATTACAACTCCGTCTCAAAAAAAGAAAAAAAAAATAGGTGTGGTGGCATGCACCTGTAGCCCTAGCTATTCAGGAGTCTGAGGTGGGAGGATCGTTTGAGCACAGGAAGTTGAGCCTGCAGTGAGCAGAGATCATCGGGAACCTGTCTCAAAAAAACTTCTGTCCAGTCTTTTCCACACCAATTTCTATGCTTCATGACTTTGCTCCCTCTTACACAAAAACTCTTTGAAAAAGTTGTTTCTTGTTTTTGTTTTTGTTTTTTGTTTTTTTTTTGAGATGGAGTCTTGTTCTGTCACCCAGGCTGGAATGCAGTGGCATAATCTCGGCTCACTGCAACCTCTGCTTCCCAGGTTCCAGCAATTCTCCTGCCTCAGCCTCCCGAGTAGCTGGGAATACAGGTGCACACCACCACGCCCTGCTAATTTTTGTACTTTTAGTAGAGATGGGGTTTTGCCTTGTTGGCCAGGCTGGTCTTGAACTCTTGACCTAAGGTGATCCACCCACCTTGGCCTCCCAAAGTGCTGGGATTACAGACGTGAGCTGCCACACCAGCCTGTTTCTGGTTTTTTTATACCTGCCATTTCCAGTTCCTCTCCTCTAATTGTTAAACCTGCTCCAATCTGGCTTTTGCCTCACAACTGCAAATAAAGTGGTTTTATCAAGGTCACTAGTGACTTTTTTTTTTCCTTTTTTTGAGACAGAGTCTCGCTCTGTCGCCAGGCTGGAGTGCAGTGGCATGATCTCAGCTCACTGCAACCTCCGACTCCCTGGTTCAAGCAATTTTCCTGCCTCAGCCTCCCGAGTAGCTGGGATTACAGGCACACGCTACCAGGCCCAGCTAATTTTTTTTTTGTATTTTTAGTAGAGACGGGGTTTCACCATGTTGGCCAGGATGGTCTCCATCTCCTGACCTCGTGATCCACCTGCCTCGGCCTCCCAAAGTGCTGGGATTACAGGCGTGAGCCACCATGCCCAGCTGGTCACTAGTGACTTTTACACTTCAGTGGTTAGTTCTCAGTACTTATCTTTCTTTTCTTTTCTTTTTTTTTTTTTTGTTTGAGACAGAGTCTCGCTTTGTCTCCCAGGCTGGAGTGCGGTGGCGCGATATCAGCTCACTGCAACCCAGGCCTCCTGGGTTCAAGTGATTCTTGTGCCTCAGCCTCCCAAGTAGCTGGGACTACAGGCACACACCCAGCTAATTTTGGGGGACTTTTTTTTTTTTTTTTTTTTTAGAAACAGGGTTTCACCATGTTGACCAGGCTGGTCTGGAACTCTGGCCTCAAGTGATCTGGCCACTTCAGCCTCCCAGAGTGCTGAGATTACAGGAGTAAGTCACCGCACCCAGCCTTGTCTCATGACTTTTAGACACCATTTTTATGCTGATGACTCAAATTTATATCTCTGTGGGCGCTGTGGCTCACGCCTGTAATCCCAGCACTTTGGGTGGCCGAGGCGGATGGATCACGAGGTCAAGAGATCGAGACCATCCTGGCCAACATGGTGAAACCCCATCTCTACTAAAAATACAAAAATTAGCTAGGTGTGGTGGCACGTGCCTGTAGTCCCAGCTACTTGGGAGGCTGAGGCAGGAGAATCACTTGAACCCAGGAGGCGGAGGTTGCAGTGAGCTGAGATTGCACTACTGCACCCCAGCCTGGTGACAGAGCAAGACTCCGTCTCAAAAAAAAAAAATTATATCTCCAACTCAGACTTTTCCTGAACTCCAGACTAGTTTATCCAACATTTCTATGTGGATGCTAATAGGTGCCTCAAAGTCATCATGTACAAAACTGAGCTCCTGGTCTTCCCTGTACCTCCTCTACTCTCAGCATTTTCCAGTTCAGTTGGTAACAATAGCATCCTTGTAATTATTCAGGATTATAGCCCAGGAGTCCTCTTAAATTCCTCTTTTTCTCCCACGGTTTAGATTCCATCTGTTGAGCAATTAGGCTGGCTTTCAACATTATCCCAAATCCATCCCTTCACACCATCTCCATTGTGGCCATACTACTTCAGGCCACCTTCATCGCTGTCCTGGATGACAGTGAGGGCCTCCTTACTTGTTTCCCTTCTTATAGTCTGTACATACATAACAATGATAGGATTCTGTAAATATGTTATTCCTATGCCCAATCCTCCACGGCCCCCCAGGTCACTGTGAATTGGCTCCAGCATTCTCAGATAACATGACCTTCCTTCTGTTCCTCAGACATACCAGGTACATATGTCTGGATACTTTGGGGAAGTTATACCAAAAAAAAAAAAAACCATTGATACTCAATTGACATTATCTTACATTTATTATTTTTAGAAAAATAGAAATCTTTCTTATTGAAAACTTTTCCCAACTAGAATTAGGACTCTTTTTATTGACCTCTTATTTTGTAATCCTCAGATATTTTAGAGTTTTATTTATACAAAGCCTATTGCTTAATTCACATATTTGTTGCTTTTTTTTTTTTTTTTTTTTTTTTTTTTTGAGACAGAGTCTTACTCTGTCACCCAGGCTGGAGTGCAGTGGTGCAATCTCGGCTCACTACAACTTCCGCCTCCCAGGTTCAAGTCATTTTCCTGCCTCAGCCTCCTGAGTAGCTGGGATTACAGGCATCTGCCACCACGCCCAGCTAAGTTTTGTATTTTTAGTAGAGATGGGGGCTCTCACCATGTTGGCCAGGCTGGTCTCGAACTCCTGGCCTCAGGTGATCTGCCTGCCTTGGCCTCCCAAAGTGCTGGGATTACAGGCGTGAGCCACCGTGCCCGGCTTTTATTGCTATTTTGAATGGGATCCATTTCTTGTATTGATTGATTGATTGAGATAGAGTTGTGCTCTGTCTCCCAGGCTGGTGTGCAGTGGCACGATCTCGGCTCACTGCAAACTCCACCTCCTGGGTTCAAGCGATTCTCCTGCCTCAGCCTCCTGAGTAGCTGAGATTACAGGCATGTACCACCACGCCTGGCTAATTTTTGTATTTTTAGTAGAGACAGGGTTTCACCATGTTGGTCAGGCTGGTCTCAAACTCCTGACCTCATGATCTGCCCGCCTCAGCCTCCCAAAGTGCTGGGATTACAGGTGTGAGCCACCGTGCCCGGCCTTTTCTATTATTTTTTAACTGGTTAATCCTGATATGTAAGAAAGCTATTTGGTTTATGTATTTGTAAGTGTTTCTCTTTGGAACTGTTAAAGCTGAACTCCCTTTCCAGCTTTAATTATTGTTTGGTTGATGCTCTTGTGTGTTCTGACTCCTCTTGGTCCTGAACAAGCGGGATCCCTGTGTGGATCCTGCATGGAGCTGTCTTTCAGATCTTTCCTGGGATTACCCCTGCCTACCCCCAGGTTCTTGGCTCTCAGGGGCGGGGTAGGAGCCTCTCTTTGGCCCTCCTCTGGCTCTGCATAGGAGCCCTCTCTGAACAGGACCCCTGTCTGGGAACTTAGAGCTTTGAGTGAAATTTTCTGTTCACCTTTTCTTAACCAACTCTCATGACCAGGTAGGCTTGGAATGCAGTTGGTCTTCAGGGGATATTTGTTGAAGGAATAAATGAATGACTAAAGTATTTGTCGCTTCCTTTTTAGACCTTCCAAATAGCTTTATTGTGTTTGACAGATTTCCTCAACTTATTTTTTATTTTTAAATTTTGAGACAGTCTCACTCTGCTGCCCAGGCTGGAGTGCAGTGTGGTACGATATGTTTTCTAACTGCAACCTCTGCCTCCCAAGTTCAGGCGATTCTCCTGCCTCAGCCTCCTGAGCAGCTGACTACAGGCGCCCACCACCATGCCCAGCTAATTTTTGTATTTTTCGTAGAGACAGGGTTTCACCGTGTTGACCAGGCTGGTTTCAAACTCCTGACCTCAGGCGACCTGCCTGCCTCGGCCTCCCAAAGTGCTGGGATTATAGGCATGAGCCACTGCACCCGGCCTCCTCAACTTGTTTTTCAAATTTTCTGTTGGTTTTATTTCTAGTCAATGTGAATGTTTTCTGATATTTTCACCTAGCCTTATTTCATAGTACCTGCCCCAAGATCACACATTCCAGATACTTATCAATTTGACAGTGAAGTCTTTTATTGCTGTAACACATAATGGCCATACTTACTTTGTAGTCTCCTGTAACCTGCTGGGTCTGTGACTCTGATGTTTCTGACTTAATGATCCTCTCCTCCCTCCCAGATTCAGGCTTCTTCAGGAGAAAGCAAGTACACTGGTACCTTGGACTGTGCAAAGAAGCTGTACCAGGAGTTTGGGATCCGAGGCATCTACAAAGGGACTGTGCTTACCCTTATGCGAGGTAACCTTTCAGGCCTCCACTTGAGGTCACCTGGGGAGGTCACCTGAGGTGGGTCTGCTGCAGAAGGTCTTGCCTGGATTGCCAGATTAGCCTTGGCACCATGCATGTCACATCTCTGACAATACTGGCAGTAAGCATCTCCCCCTGGCCAGCATGGACGTAGATTAGGATGAGGGGACCTTCCATCTTTCCCAGGTGTCTGCAGGGGTAGAAGTCATGGCATCACAGTTGGAGGGGAGTGGCAAGTAGATAGAAATCATCTCTGGAGGGAGGAGTGGGAAGAAAGTGTGACTTGGGGACAGTGGTGATCTCCCTGGTTTTGAGAAGTATGTCCTGTTATAGTGGCAGTAGGAAAGGCAGAGACAGTCTCACTCTTGTCCTGAGCTGGCAGCTTAGAGGAAGGCCAGATACAACAACTGTGCTTATAACTGTGGGCATGTCACTTGCCCACATGGACTTTCACACTGAGAGAAAACCTTATTTATTTTTTTACTTATTTTTATTTTATTTTTTGAGATGGAGTTTCACTCCTGTTGCCCAGGCTGGAGTGCAATGGCACAGTCTTGGCTTACTGCAACCTCTGCCTCCCAGGTTCAAGCAATTCTCCTCCCTCAGCCTCCCAAGTAGCTGGGATTACAAGCACATGCCACCATGTCTGGCTATTTTTTTGTATTTTTAGTAGAGATGGGGTTTCACCATGTTGGCCGGGCTGGTCTCAAACTCCTGACCTCAGGTGATGCACCTGCCTCGGCCTCCCAAGGTGCCGGGATTACTGGTGTGAGCCACCGCACCCGGCCTTATTATTATTATTTTTTGAGACAGAGTCTTGCTCTGTCACCCAGGCTGGAATGCAGTGGTGCATTCTCAGCTCACTGCAACCTCCACTTCCTGGGTTCAAGTGACTCTCCTGCCTCAGCCTCCTGAGTAGCTGGGGTTACAGGTGTGTGCCACCATGCCTGGCTAATTTTTGTACTTTTAGCAGAGATAGGGTTTCACTATGTTGGCCAGGCTGGTCTCGAACTCCTGACCTCAGATGATCCACCTGCCTTGGTCTCCCAAAGTGCTAGGATTATAGGCGTGAGCCACTAAGCCCAGCTGAGGGAACTTTAATGAAATTATATCATGTGTGTTTGTACTCACTTACACCAGTGCTTGGCCCAGAGCAGCATCCCATAGCTGCAAAGTGATTGTTGCAAATAGGATGTGGCTGCTAAGGAACTTCTCAAGAATCCCTGAAGGGTCTAGTGCCAAGCTTGGCTTTTCTACATTCAAGAAATCTGTGGGGGCCGGGTATGGTGGCTCACACTTGTAATCTCAGCACTTTGGGAGGCTGAGTTGAGAGGATCACTTGAGCCCAGGAGTTTGAGACCAGCCTGGGTAAAATAGTGATACCCTGTCTCTATTAAAATAATAATAGCTGGGCGTGGTGGCTCACCCCTGTAATCCCAGCACTTTGGGAGGCCGAGGCGGGCGGATCACGAGGTCAGGAGTTCAAGACCAGCCTGACCAATATGGTGAAACCCCATCTCTACTAAAAATACAAAAATTAGCCGGGCGTGGTGGCGCATGCATCCCAGCTACTCAGGAGGCTGAGGCAGGAGAATTGCTTGAACCCAGGAGGCAGAGGTTGCAGTGAGCCGAGATTGCACCATTGCACTCCAGCCTGGGCGAGAGAGCGAGACTCCGTCTCAAAAAAAAAAAAAAAAAGTAAAGTAATAATAATAATAATACTATATTCTTTTTCTTTTTTTTTTGAGACAGAGTCTTGCTCTGTTGCCCAGCCAGGAGTGCATTAGTGTGATCTTGGCTTACTGCAACCTCCACCTTCTGGGTTCGAGTGATTCCTGTGCCTCAGCCTCCTGAATAGCTGGGATTACAGGCATGTGCCACCAGGCCGGGCTAATTTTTGTATTTTTTGTATTATTATTATTTTTTTTTGAGATGGAGTCTTGCTCTGTCACCAGGCTGGAGTGCAGTGACTCGATCTCAGCTTACTGCAACCTCCACCTCCTGGATTCAAGCGATTCTCCTGCCTCAGTCTCCTGAGTAGCTGGGACTACAGGCATGCACCACCATGCCCGGCTAATTTTTGGTAGAGACAGGGTTTCACCATGTTGGCCAGGATAGTCTCAATCTCTTGACCTCGTGATCCGCCCACCTCGGACTCCCAAAGTGCTGGGATTACAGGTGTGAGCCACCACGCTTGGCCATTTTTGTATTTTTGTATTTTTTTTTTTTTTTGAGATGGAGTCTCACTCTGTCAGCCAGGCTGGAGTGCAGTGGCGCAGTCTCAGCTCACTGCAACCTCCACCTCCCGGGTTCAAGCCATTCTCTTGCCTCAGCCTCCTGAGTAGCTGGGATTACAGGTGCCCGCCACCACGCCTGGCTAATTTTTATATTTTTAGTAGAGACGGGGTTTCACCATGTTGGTCAGGCTGGTCTCAAACTCCTGACCTTGTGATCCGCCCGCCTCGGCCTCCCGAAGTGCTGGGATTAAAGGCATGAGCCACTATGCCCGGCCCATTTTTATATTTTTAGTAGAGACGAGGCTTTCGCCATATTGGCCAGACTGGTCTCGAATTCCTGGCCTCAGGTGATGTGCCTGCCTCAGCCTCCCAAAGTGCTCGGATTACAGTTATGAGCTACCATGCCTGGCATTTTTTTCTTTTTAATGCTTTTTTAGTCTACATAAATTACTACCATACGCTAATGTTTAGAAAGCAAATAAATTGAACCAAATCTGGTCACCCAATTAAAAAACAATTTTACTAATAATTCAGGCCAAGCGCGGACCTCCTGGCCTCAAGCAATCCCCCTGCCTCAATCTCCTAAATTGCTGAGATTACAGGTGTGTACCACCATGCCTGGCGAAGAGTTTATGTACTTTAATTCACCTTTTTCTTGCCACTAACAGATGTCCCAGCTAGTGGAATGTATTTCATGACATATGAATGGCTGAAAAATATCTTCACTCCGGAGGGAAAGAGGTGAGGAAAACATAACTTGGAAGCCACTTTCCCCAGTCATGGGTGCGTTGCCCTCTCCTGTGGGTGAATCTGAAAGCAGAAGTAGTTGTTGTTCCTGGCTCCATGTCTGCTTTCCTCTTGTGGCTGCTGAGGTCCAGCTAGCTCTTCTTACTCTGTGCCTCAGCCAGTGGAGCAAATATTTGAAACAGGTGCATGAAACCTTCTCCAAGGAGTGCCAGCAGCACTGGCCTTATACCTCCTCCCTCCAACCAGTTTCTGCCTGTCTGTAACTGCCCTGTCTGCCACAGGCAGGATAGTCTGAATGCCACTCTCACAGCCTTTGTCTAACTGGGGCTGTGGTTGGTGTTATACAGGGTCAGTGAGCTCAGTGCCCCTCGGATCTTGGTGGCTGGGGGCATTGCAGGGATCTTCAACTGGGCTGTGGCAATCCCCCCAGATGTGCTCAAGTCTCGATTCCAGACTGGTGAGTGGAAGGTAGTGGGGTGGACAGGGGGAGAGTGGGTCCCCAGCACTGGCTAATCCTGGGGTGCAAAGCTCATAAGGCCCTAGGGATACTCACTCTCCATGGCAGCACCTAGCATCTGCCTGACCAATATTCTCCCTCACAGTCATTTGCATTCTAGGAACCCTAGATTCATTTTCATGACAGCCTAAACACAAGGTAAGTGTGATAAGAAGTCAAGTCCACTCTTCCTCCCCCACATGAACAGAAGGGCTGTTTCATTCTTCTTCCCTCGTTTCTATTCCCTTGGCACAAGTAATTCAGGCATTTGTGCATTTGTCCCAAGGTGAACTGTTGTCTATGGACTGGTCCCACATGACCTGCAAGGTGTCCTTTCCCTGTGCTAGTCCTGACCCTTCAGGAAGACTTAACTGCTAGTTTCTCCTTCCTGAAGCCTTAAAAATTGGGTTCTGCCCCACAGCACCTCCTGGGAAATATCCTAATGGTTTCAGAGATGTGCTGAGGGAGCTGATCCGGGATGAAGGAGTCACATCCTTGTACAAAGGGTTCAATGCAGTGATGATCCGAGCCTTCCCAGCCAATGCGGTGAGTAGCTGGCAGGGCTGTGCTTTCCCTCTGGGGCTCAGGGCAGGGTGCATGTGGTTTGACTTTTGCTTGTTCCTGGGATAGGACTGGGGTCTCAGTTTTCCCAAAGCCCTATCTTCAGCCAGAGCATTCCTTATTTGCTCCCTTCCTTGAAGCTGTCAGGAGGATTTGCCTTTGGGGATCTCTGAGGTGAGGGGCTTTGATTTCCTGACCTGGCCATTAGAAGTGGGCAGTTGTGAGGCCAGGCATGGTGGCTAGTGCCTGTAATCCCAGCACTTTGGGAGGCTAAGGCAGGTGGATCATCTGAGGTCAGGAGTTTGAGACCAGCTTGGCCAACATGGGGAAACACCGCCTCTACTAAAAATACAAAAATTAGCTGGGCGTGGTGGCGGGTGCCTGTAATCCCAGCTACTCAGGAGGCTGAGGCAGGAGAATTACTTTAACCTGGGAGGCAGAGATTGCAGTGAGCCGAGATTGTACCATTGCACTTCAACCTGGGTGACAAGAGCAAAACTCCATCTCAAAAAAAAAAAAAAAAGAAGTGGGCAGTTGTGGAATATAAATTTTCTTCTCCTCTTAAAAATGAGAGAGTAGAGCTTGCATCCTTGATGTGGAGTGGGTGTGGGGTTAGGGAGGGGCTCTGGTCCTGACAGGGCCAGCAAAGCATAGTGCTTTGAATAGTCTATGAATAGTTATTCCTGCTGGCTTTTTTCTTCCTCCCAATCCCTTCTTAGGCCTGTTTCCTTGGCTTTGAAGTTGCCATGAAGTTCCTTAATTGGGCCACCCCCAACTTGTGAGGCTGAAGGCTGCTCAAGTTCACTTCTGGATGCTGGAAGCTGTCGTTGAGGAGAAGGAGTAGTAAGCAGAACTAAGCAGTCTTGGAGGGCAAGGGGAGGGGAATGGTGAGATCCGAGCCCTGTGCATGGACTTGGTGAGACTGTTGCCTTAATGACATCCTGCACCGTGTATAACTTAGTGTGTCATTTTGAAACTTGAATTCATTCTTATCAATTTAAGGGATCTTAAAAGGATTTGGAAATGGAACAAGTAGCTTCCAGACCAGATACTACCTGTGGCAAGAATGCTGCCTACCAGTTAACTGCTGGTCCTACCACAGTCAAAGTATTCCTCATTAAAGAGAGAATCTCAGGTTCTCACTGGAGGCACTGTGCATATTTTCAACCAGATCACCAGGAGCTGAGATCTTCTTCAGTCCCTAGCCAGGAATACCCATTTGATTTCCAGGGTGCCATCTAATCCTGGGCTGTACATGTGGATATGGACTTGAGGCCCACCTCTGTGTCCAAGTGGATTGAGCATATATGCCTAGGAGGAGATAGACTGTTAATCGTTGGATTTTGATTTTTTTTTTTTATGCCTGCAAATAATCAAAAGTAAAACTGGAGTAGCCTAATTTTCTGGGAGCAGGTGGAGAACTTTCCCTCCTACACAGTGAGGACAGTCCCAGTCTGCTGGGATAAGTGAGAAAGCCCAGGGTGTAGGAAGGCCCTTTTTACATACTCTTTTCTCATGAGAGCTCACTATTTTAACAATAAACAATAAACGTTGTTTCTAATTTTTGCATTGTGTTATATTTTCTTCTTTTGATTCTGGGACATTTCAGCAGGCAGCCTGTAGCCTTGGTGGAGGCTTTCAGGGATCCAGTATTCTTCCCTGGGAACCTTAGGCTGGGGATCCAGCAGGAGGAGGTGGAGGAGGAGGAAGTTTTGGCTGGCTCTGCCTTCTCTGACTGCCCTAGCCCCGGCTGCTCTAGGGAGGGTGTGTGGGGTGGTGTGACCCGACTGGTAATTGTTCACACAGGCCTCAATGCAAGCCTGGCAGACAGGCCCTCCCAAGGCCCAGCCTGCAACCCATCCCTTCATTTATTCCCCTCTCTTCCCTGAGCACCATGGGTGTCTGAGCTAACAGATGGAGAGTCAGTTGTTCTAAAAGGACAAAAGCAATCTCGGGTTTTCATGTGGGCTTTGGAGTTGCTGTGCGATCTGAGGTAGCTAGCTTAACTTTACTAATCAGGCAGATTATGCTATCCAGGTGTGTCCAGAAAAGGTGAGGGAGTTGGAGAGTCATAAGCTAGATTATTACTTTCTGGTGGAGGGGAGAGCTTGCTGAAGCTACTGGAGCTGGGCTTTTCTGGCATTATCCCATCTGGTGGTCACAGTTACAGTTACAGTTCCACTGGCACTTCCTGTCTCACTGCAGCTGCATAGAGACTCCTGGACTTTGGCTTTAGAACCATCACTCTGTCTCTAGTTTTGAACTGTTAAAAAAAAAAAAAAAAAAAGCTGGGAGCACTGGATCATGCCACGCTTGTAATCCCAACACGTTGGGAAGCCAAGGAAGGAGGATCACTTGAGTCCAGGAGTTCAAGACCAGCCTGGGCAATATAGTAAGACTCTGTCTGTACACAAAATTTTTTAAAAATTAAAAAATTAGTCAGACATGGTGGTGTGTGCCTGTAGTCCCAGCTACTCAGGACGCTAAGGTAGGAGGATCACTTGAGCCCAAGAAGTTGAGGCCACAGTGAGCCGAGTGTGCATCACTGCACTCCAGCCTGGGCAACAGAATCAGACCTGGTAAGAAGGGAAGGGACACACCCCTATCTGGGAGTTGGGGCTGTGATCAACCCAGCAGGAAGTTGAAGACTTGGGACTTTAAAGGAGGCTTTATAGCTTGGAATATGTTTCTAAATGACCAGATAGGAATTATGGCCGAGGAGAAAATAACATTTTTGGCCGGGCACAGTGGCTCACGCCTATAATCCTAGCACTTTGGGAGGCCGAGGCGGGTGGATCACTTGAGGTCAGGAGTTCAAGACCAGCCTGGCCAACACGGTGAAACCCCATCTCTACTCAAAATACAAAAATTAGCCAGGCATGGTGGGGCATGCCTGTAGTCCCAGCTACTCGGGAGGCTGAGGCAGGAGAATCACTTGAACCTGGGAGGCAGAGGTTGCAGTGAGCCAAGATCGCCTTACTGCACTCCATGCTGGGTGTCAGAGCGAGATTCCATCTCAAAAAAAAATTTATTTTTTGTTAATTAAATTTTTTAGAGACAGGGTCTCACTTTGTCCGCCAGGCTAGAGTGCAGTGGTGAGATCAGAGCTCAGCTCATTGCTGGGCTCAAATGATCCTCCCACCTCCACCTCCCAAGAAGGTGGAACTATAGACACTTATACAGTACACCTGTAGTGTACTGCTGTGCCTGGCTATTAAAAAAAAATCTGTAGAGATGATGTCTCACTATGTGGCCAAGGATGAACAGTTTTTAAAGATGAAAATTGTGTATCCTCTGTCTGGCAAGGTTAATTAAATGTTAAGCCTGCTTCCTCTAACGCTGCAGGATGTCTTTGTTTAATATCTCATTGATTTGAAGATGGCCATATATGTGTCTCCTGAAGCTCTTCTTTTTAAATCTTATTTTATTAGAAAAAAATTTTTTGAGATAGGGTTCACTCTGTTACCTAGGCTGGAGTGCAGTGGCATGGTCATGGCTCACTGAAGCCTTGACCTCCTGGGCCCACGTGATCTTCCCACCTCAGCCTCCTGAGTAGCTGGGACCACAGGCATGTGTTACTATGCCCAGCTAATTTTTTATATTTATTTTTTGTAGAGATGGAGTCTTCCTATGTTGCCCAGGCCGGTCTTGAACTCCTGGGCTCCTGCCTCAGCCTCCTAAGTGCTGGGATTACAGGCATGCACCACTGTGCTCAGCCTGAAGCTCTTCTTGATATCACCCAGTCCTGAGACTGTTCTGAATTTTAAATTTAAATTTTTTTTTTTTTTTGAGATGGAGTCTCGCTCTGTCACCCAGGCTGGAGTGCAGTGGCATGATCTCAGCTCACTGCAACCTCCACCTCCCGGGTTCAAAAGATTCTCCTACCTCAGCCTCTGGGTCTACAGGCACCTGCCACCACGCTCAGCTAATTTTTGTATTTTTTGTAGAGATGGGGTTTCCTCATGTTGGTCAAGCTGGTGTTGAACTCCTGACCTCAAGTGATCCACCCACCTCAGCCTCCCAAAGTGCTAGGATTACAGGTGTGAGCCACCACACCCGGCTGAGACTATTCAAAAACCTCAGCTTTTGCCTAGAAGCCCCTGTAAATGTATTTGCATTTCAGCCAAATGCCAGCCATTCCCATGGCTTAGGATCACTTTTACAGTCTGTGCCTCTGGATAATTTGCCCTTTGAAAAATTTTCCATTTTAAAATGGAGTATTTTGGTTCTTTGATGTTAGTGATGGTAGATTATTTTAGTCCTTTGGGTGTTCAATAGATGTTAAGTCAAATAGGGAAGCCCCTGGAGGCATATTTGTGATGGGAGCAGAGCAGATGTTGAGTAACTCCCTCCTGGCTGGTGCTTCCTTTTTATGATGCACTTTGAAATGCCACCTGTTCCTGATATATCTCTTCTCTTCCTGACAGGGGTAAGGAGTAGGGGAAAATTGGGGCCTCCCTAGCAATTTCTCTTTCACAGACAGTCACAACTGGGAGCCAGACAGTGATTTTTTTAAACAACCAATTGGTGATAAAAGCCTCACCCAGGCATCAAGAAGCATATAACTGGGCCAAAGGTGAGGGAAGGAGCACAGGTTGTTGCAACAGTGATTGTTAAAAGCACAGTAGCACCATTTCAGCTATAAAGTCATACTATCTCTACCCCACAGTTGTTTCCCTACAGCCTTTTTTTTTTTTTTTGAGACAGAGTCTTGCTCTGTCACCCAGGCTGGAGGCAGTGGAGCGATCTCAGCTCACTGCAACCTCCGCCTCTTGGGTTCAAGTGATTCTCCTGCCTCAGCCTCCCGAGTAGCTGGGACTACAGGTGCACACCACCACGCGTGGCTAATTTTTGTATTTTCAGTACAGACGGGGCCAGGCTGGTCACGAACTCCTGACCTCAGGCGATCCGCCTGCCTTAGCCTCCCAAAGTGCTGGGATTATAGGCATGAGCCACCGTGCCCAGCCTCCTTACAGCCTTTTGAGGCTGGAACCCCTTACATCTTTTGTAACCTCCTTATAAGTTTATTCTCTTATTTCTTTATCCCCTTGTAACTCAATGTTTAATGGGTAGGGATTTTTTTTTTTTTTTTTTTTTGAGATGGAGTCTCCCTCTTTCACCCAGGCCGGAGTGCAGTGGCACGATGCTGGATCTTGGCTCACTGCAACCTCTGCCTTCCAGGTTCAAGTGATTCTCCTGCCTCAGCCTCCCGAGTAGCTGCGATTACAGGTGCATACCACCACGCCCAGCTAATTTTTGTATTTTTAGTAGAGATGGGGTTTCGCCATTTTGGCCAGGCTGGTCCTGAACTCCTGACCTCAAGTCACCCACCCACCTCGGCCTCCCAAAGTGTTGGGATTACAGGTGTGAGCCACTACACCTGGCCTTAATTTTTGTATTTTTTGGTAGAGATGGGGTTTTACCATGTTGGCCAAGCTGGTCTCAAACTCCTGACCTCAGGTGATCTGCCTGCCTTGGCCTCCCAAAGTGCTGCGATTACAGGCATGAGCCACTGCACCAAGCCTCTGAGTAGGGATTTTGACTTCCACTTTCAGATGTGGATGCCAAGGCTCAGACAGGGTAAACTGATCTGCAAAGGTCATTGGCAAATTGATAATAAAGTGGGGATTGTCTGGGTCTCCTGAAGAAAGACTTGTGATGCTATCAGAGGCTTGATCCAGGCTCCAGGAGACCTGTCTGTACCACCTGGTCCAAGCTTAGGTACTTGGCCTGTGAGTCAGATCAGGAGTGGCACACAGAGTCCTGACAGCACTGGGAAGGCCCCAGGGCCAGGTGTCCCTGAGGGGTCCCTTTTCTGCTTTCTCTGCTATGGTAAGCATGCAGACCTGTGATTTTCTAGCCAGCTTCCCTGTGCTTTCTAGGTTCTGTCCTTGCCCTGAGGTGTCTCAGATGCAGACCCTGGGTCCACTGCAGAGACTGACATTTTCTCAGGACATAGTGTCTCAGGCGTGGGGATGGCTCACAGGTACACAAACGTGGCCTGGGAGCTAACTGCTCCCTGGAGCATGGGCACTTGTTAAAACAGATTAGATTTCCTGGGCAAAAGGCAATGGCCTCGCTGGAGGAGCCACAGTAGAGGCTGAAAGACAGCTTGGGTAAGGGCCGAGAAAACATAGCCCACTTCCTCAATCTCTCTTGCCAACTAAAGGCTCATGAACACTTCTAAGGCAACATAGAAGCTGTTGCTTGTAGGAACTAAGTGAGCTGGGAGTACTAAATCCAGGAGGGCCTGGCATGTAGAGGTGGTCAGGTGACCAGCGGATCCCAGGAAATGGGTGGGGGACTGGAATGGCTTAGAAAAGTGGTCCCTTGATCAAGTAAGAGGGAGGTTTTCCTGCTGGACCTGAGTCCTGCAAGTATGCAGAGGGCATAAGGTATTTAAGCTGGAGGATCTGAGCCAAGAGCAGGCCTTCAGAGGAGTTCGGGGAAGTTTAGGCCCCTCTCTTCATCTTGGAGAGACAGACAGAAACGTTTGAATAACAAACCTATCAAGAGCACACAAAATTCATTGTTTCATTGGAAACAGCAATGGTACCCTACCCATTTTCGTTTTCACCAAGACCCGTTGCTTTTGGGCTAAACAACATGTGTCCCACCTGTGCTACTCTGCATCCATAGTTGCAAACATCTCTGCAAATTGGCCCCATTGTGTCCATATCTGTGCCTCTGGTTGGTGATATGGCAGTTTGTGCAAGACGTTGACTGCCTGCTGAGTTGTGAGTAGGATTAGATTTGAGTGTAGCACCCTCAGGGTTCTGGGGCCTCCTCCTGTGTACTTCTCTTCCTTCTAAGAGTCTCTGCTGTTGGCCTTTTCCACCATCAGTTGCTCTTGGCAGCTGTATCTCAGTTACCGGCTGCCTCTGGGTTTAGTTGCCATGGTAACCTCCAGTGGTGCAGCTGGACAGGCTTGAATGCAGGCAGGATAAATGCAGGATAAGGGTAGAAGATGCGGGGTTCAGGCTCCTGGTGTTCTGTCCTGTTACAGGGCCCTCTTCTTTAGCCAGTTCAACTAGATATTCATGAAGACCCTGGGGGCTCTACTTGTTACTGAAGGGTTGACCAGAAGTGGGAGAGATGCACCCCTGCTCTGGGGACCAAGTGCTGGGGGAGAGTGCCAGGTTAAACCTGGAGGCTGGCTGCCCATCCTTGCTCTAAGACTAGTCTATGGAGACCCATGAGGAGCAGCTGTAGGACTCCTGCTTTCTGTGGCTATATGGCAGACACACCTGTGTATGGTAGCTGCACCTGACAGCAATAACTTAAGCATACTCTGAGAATGACCCTGTATGGCAGATGCACCTGAATGTGTTAGGAGTTCCAAGTGAGGACAAGCCAGAGATTCATTACTTACCCATGAGGAATATCTGAGCCCCCATTCTGTCCTGTGGATGTACAGGGGATTTAGCCCCTTTGTTTTGGGTTAAATCAAAGTTGTTAGGGGGAGGGTGTTAAGTGAAAATGCTATATATACTGCATACTTTCTGCAGGTGGGGCAGTTCTCCTATCTAGCCCACCTCCACTGGACTGCTCTGTATGCAAATTCCCCTCAATCAAACCTAAGTCTTGTTTGCTGGCTCTGGATCTCTTTTGGCCTCTCAAACCTGGTGCCATCCCTACTGAAGTTAATGGGGGTCTGGTGGCCAGGTGCGATGGCTCACACCTATAATTCCAGCACTTTGGAAGGCTGAGGCGGGTGGATCGCCTGAGGTCAGGAGTTCGTGACCAGTCTGGCCCTGTCTGTACTAAAAATACAAAAATTAGCCAGGCGTGGTGGTGTGCGCCTGTAGTCCCAGCTACTCGGGAGGCTGAGGCAGGAGAATGGCTTGAACCCAGGAGGTGGAGGTTGCAGTGAGCAGAGATTGCGCCACTGCACTCCAGCCTGAGCGACAGAGCAAGACTCCATCTCAAAAAAGAAAACAAAACAAAATATGGGTCTTTCTTGGCCGGGCGTGGTGACTCATGCTGGTAATCCCAGCATTTTGGGAAGCTGAGGCAGGCGGATCACCTGAGGTCAGGAGTTCAAGACCAGCCTGGCCAATATGGTGAAACCCCATCTGCACTAAAAATACAAAAAATAAGCCGGGCGTGGTGGTGCGCACCTATAATCCCAGCTACTTGGGAGGCTGAGACACGAGAATCGCTTGAACCTGGGAGGTGGAGGTTGCAGTGAGCCGAGATCGCGTCACTGCACTCCAGCCTGGGCAACAGAGTAAGACTGTGTCTCAAAAAAACAAACAGGCCAGGCGTGGTGGCTCACGCCTGTAATCCCAGCACTTTGGGAGGCCAAGGCAGGCGGATCATGAGGTCAGGAAATCCAGACCATCCTGGCTAACATGGTGAAACCCCGTCTCTACTAAAAAATACAAAAAATTAGCTGGGCATGGTGGCGCACGCCTGTAGTCCCAGCTACTCTGGAGGCTGAGGCAGGAGAATGGCATGAACCCGGGAGGTGGAGCTTGCAATGGGCCGAGATCATGCCACTGCACTCCAGCCTGGGCAACAGAGCAAGACTCCATCTCAAAAACAAACCCAAACAAACAAAATGGCCAGGTGCAGTGCCTCACGCCTGTAATCCCAGAACTTTGGGAGGCTAAGGCGGGCAGATCCCTAGGTCAGGAGTTCGAGACCATCCTGGCCAACATGGCAAAACCCCGTCTCTACTGAAAATACAAAAATTAACTGGGCATGGTGGCAGGTGCCTATAATCCCAGCTACACAGGAGGCTGATGCAGGAGAATTGCTTGAACCTGGGAGGTGGAGGTTGCAGTGAGCTGAGATCGTGCCATTGCACTCCACCTTGGGCGACAAAAGGAAGACTCCATCTAAAAGAAAAAAAAAAAGCCAGGTGCGGTGGCTCACGCCTGTAATCCCAGCACTTTGGGAGGCTGAGGCGGGTGGATCACGAGGTCAAGAGATTGAGACCATCCTGGCCAACATGGAGAAACCCCATCTCTACTAAAAATAGAAAAAATTTGCTGGGTGTGGTGGTGCACGCCTGTAGTACCAGCTACTTGGGAGGCTGAGACAGGAGAATCGCTTGAACCTGGGAGGCAGAGCTTGCAGTGAGCAGAGGTCATGCCATTGCACTCCAGCCTGGGCGACAGAGTGAGACTCCTCTCAAAAAAAAATAGGGGCCTGGCAGAACGGTCGCCCTCATTCCTTCCAGATGCCTTTTGAATGCTCTGCTGGATGGGTGGTTGGCTGAGCCGTGGGGCATCTGAGAACAAGTCAGTAGACCTTCTCCAAGAGTATGCAATAAGGACTGAGCAGGAAAAAAGTTGGAGACTGCCTGTCCCCTCACAAAGTTGATGGTCTAACATTCTTCTCAGGGTCAAGAAACTTGTCCAGGGAGACACTGCTGTTTATAATCACAGGCCTGCTTAGCCTAGAACCTGGGCTGGCCTCTTCATCAGTGGGGATGAGGGCTCCTTGCTCCCAGCTGCTCAGCTCCCAGCAGCATTGAGCTCCTGGGTGTGTGCCAAGCCTGTATGGGAGGTGATAGGGAGGATTTTAATTAATACTGAGTAATTACCAGGCGGTGTTTAAGCATCCCAAATGCCCTCAGGTTCCCAAACCTACAGCTACTCTCTTCCTGGCTAGGCCTGTAAGGAGAGGGGGACTCTGCTCTATGCCCAGTGGGCCTTTGGTTAGCACGTAGGCTGTAGACTGGACATCCCAGGAAGGTCTCCACCTTTTTCAATACCCTTCCAGTTTGGTAGGAGGAGGAGGGCAATTTGGGAAATAGTCTGGCCTCTACAGTTCACCTATACCATCTTCCCAGGGGCAAAGGATAACAATGCCTGTGGTCTGCTCAACTTCATCAAGCAGTGTTGACCTAGGGCCCAGTGTAGAATGTGGGGAGAGGAATGGGCAGACCTAGATCTGGGGACCCTGGTGAAAGTGCTCCAGGAGGAACAGGCACAGAGGTCTTTGCTGCTTTTGGCCTTATTTCCCTTTCTCACTGTACACATTTGGCTGAGTGAACTCTTTCAAATTTATTTTTCTGTCTGTGGCTCTCAAATTATGATCTCATTCAAACGCCTACTTCCTACAAGGCCTTACCCGTTTGACATCTCAGAGACCTGACAGACTCCTGAGTTATTCCACCATTCCACCTGGCAGCCAAGGTGGTCTTGACTCCACCAGGCCTTTGCTCTTGTTGTATGTTCAGATGGCTTTCCTCCAGATCTTCCCCTGGGCGGGTCCTGCTCAGGCCTCGGGGCTAGCTTGAATGTCACGCCGGAAAGTGAGCCCTCTCTTGCCCTTCATCACAGCAGAATCACACTGATGTGCTCGTATGCTTCTGCTTCTCGCTGTGTCTCTGGTGCTTAGTAAGTGCTGGCCAAAAAGAGGCTCTTGGCATCAGCTGAAAGAATAATTTAAAGGTCTTCAGGACCAGGCGAGAGGCACTAATCGGTCCCCTTCATGGGTAGACCGTTCATTACCTAATTCCCTGGATTCCCTCCGTGAGCTGGCATCAGGAACACTCCACTGTCTCGACCCCCCGACAGCCCGAGGGGGCGGGTCATCTAGTGGCGCAAGCGCACTGAGGGCCGGTGCTAAGCGGGGACGCGCACGCCCGCGGTGGCGTGCGTCACAACCAGGACGCCTGCCCCGCCCGTCCAGCTCGCCTGCCCGTCGGTCCCCGCGGCGGCGGCGGCTGCCCAGTGACAGCGGCGGCGGTGCCAGGTCGGCCGTGGTAGCGTAGGGTTGCGCGGCCCGGAAACGCAGAGCCGGCCAAAGAGCGGCGCGACGTGAGCCGGGGCCGTGCGCGAAGAGACCTCGCGGGCGCGGAGCGAAAGGCCGGCGTGAGTGAGCGCGGAGACAGTGGCCGCCGGCGGCCCAACCCGTCTATCCCTTCGGCCGCCGCCGGCATGAGCCACATCCAGATCCCGCCGGGGCTCACGGAGCTGCTGCAGGGCTACACGGTGGAGGTGCTGCGACAGCAGCCGCCTGACCTCGTCGAATTCGCAGTGGAGTACTTCACCCGCCTGCGCGAGGCCCGCGCCCCAGCCTCAGTCCTGCCCGCCGCCACCCCACGCCAGAGCCTGGGCCACCCCCCGCCAGAACCCGGCCCGGACCGTGTCGCCGACGCCAAAGGGGACAGCGAGTCGGAGGAGGACGAGGACTTGGAAGGTAGGCTGTGGGCGGGGCCCTGGGGAGTGGTGCAGGAGGTCTCCAGAGGTCTAGAGGGGTGGCAGGGAGCCAGGTGTCGCGCCGCAGCCAAGCCGACCGCAGGCTGGGATTGGGAGCTCTGTAGCCGCGTTTCTAGCGTTTCCCTGAGACACCGGCGTGAGCCCGCGTGCGCCACTTCCAAATTGAGCTCCGCGATCCTGCGAGCCCTAGAGCGCACCGAGTGATTTGTCAGATCCAGCCTTGAAGGAAACGTGCGCGCTGTCGGCCCTGCTAGAGGATCCCTCGCCTTTGCTTAAGACCCTTCACCAGTTTTGGCTTCGAAGACAACAGCGTTCTCATCCAGTGACTTGTGTTTAATTGATAGGACAGTAAGTTTGTTTGGAAATAATAATTTTTTTTGAAAAGTTACTGTGAAAACTTTTAAGCATAGACAAAAGAGGAAAGGTGAGATGAATCCCTATATGCCATCACCTACATTTAACAGTTGCGTTTGTCACAAAGTTTCATCCATACCTTTTTTCTTTCTTTGCCGAAGTGTATTAAAGCAAATCTCTCAGGTCATTTCACCTCTGCTTACTTGAGTTTGTATTTCTTCAAACATGGTCCCTGGGAATATTCCTATTTTTAAAAACTTGGCCAAAACGATTGAATCAAATTTGGTGAGAGTAAATAATTATCTTGCCGGCCGGGGCAGTGGGCCCCTATAGTCTATACCAGCTACTCTGGAGGCTGAGGAGGAAATATCGCTTGAATCCAAGAGTTCGAGACCAGCCTGGGCAAAATAGACACCCTACCTCATTTTTGAAAACGAAAAACCTGGCCGGGCGTGGTGGGTCACGCCTGTAGTCCCAGCACTTTGGGAGGCCGAGGCGGGTGGATCACCTGAGGTCAGGAGTTCGAGACCAGCCTGGCCAACATGGCGAAACCCCGTCTCTACTAAAAATACAAAAATTAGCCGGGCGTGGTGGCGGGCGTCTGTAGTCCCAGCTACTTGGGAGGCTGAGGCAGGGAGAATCGCTTGAACCTGGGAGGCGGAGGTTGCAGTGAGCCAAGATCATGCCACTGCACTCCAGCCTGGGCGACAGAGCGAACTCCGTCTCAAAAAAAAAAAAAAAGAAAAAGGAAAAACCCAGTAACTATATTCTTGTTTAGTGGGTGGGTTGTAGCTTTAAAGGAAAGGATCCCAGCAGAGACTGAGATCAGGAGAGCAGCTTCATTGGCTCTACTTGCTGTGTCAGGATTTATCATTTAGTAATAGTAAACCTTCTCCAAGAGTTTGCAATAAACTCCAAGAGTACGCAATAAGGACCGAGCAGGAAACAAGTTGGAGACTGTCCCTCCCCTCACAGATTTGGTGATCCAAGATCATCACACCTTTTTTTTTTTTTAAAGTCAGGATCTCGCTCTGTCACCCAGGCTGGGGTGTAGTGGCACAATCAGGGCTCACTGCAACCCCAACCTCACAAGCTCAAGGTATCCTCCCACCTGGGCCTCCCAAGTAGCTGGGACTAAGGGCATGTGCCACCATGCCTTACTAATTTTAAGTGTTTTATAGAGACGGGGTCTCCCTGTGTTGCCCAGGCTGGTCTTGAACTCCTGGCCTCAAGTAATGCTCCTGCCTTGGCCTCCCAAAGTGCTAGGATTACAGGCATGAGCTACTGCTCCTGTCCAAAATAACACTTTCTACATCTGATCTACGCAAGAGTGTTAAGAAGCTATTACAGTTTCCTTGGTTGCTTCAACATATGCTTTGTCAATTTAACAGTAGAATTGGCCTACTTTTGAACAACTAAAATTTAACAAAACAATGAAACCATTTGAGAGGCCAAGTTAGGATCTTAGTGTTATTAGATCACACACACACAAAACTAGTTCTGAGTTGTATCTGGTCTGGCCCAGTATTCAAGTCACGGCAGGGAAGGAGTTAATTAACGGTCATTGCTGTGGGAGGTCACAAGCTTCAGTGCACTGGGCAATCTCCCTAAGTGTATTCATGCTAAAGGAGTAACAAGGGCTCTTCTGGGTTTCCCTTGATTTATTGCACATTACATCATGGGTTTTTGGGAAATCAGAAATTATTTTCTAAACTCTGCCACAGGTTTGCTTTGTGGTCTTGGACAAATTCTCAAACCTGTTTGATCTCAGATTTTCTTATCTTTAAGTTGAGGACAGTGACAACAATCTTCCAGGGACAAATTTGTTTTTAAAAGCTTTATTTCAGGTTTGTTTCACTGTCATCTCTGTAAATCACAAAGCAGTAACCTGCTTTGAGACAATTTTTATTTACACAACACTTTAGGATTTTAGAAATTAGCCTCAGATGAGTAAAAGTTTACAAGTTTTTTTTCTTTTTTATTATACTTTAAGTTTTAGGGTACATGTGCACAATGTGCAGGTTAGTTACATATGTATACATGTGCCATGCTGGTGTGCTGCACCCATTAACTCGTCATTTAGCATTAGGTATATCTCCTAATGCTATCCCTCCCCCCACCCCACAACAGTCCCCAGAGTGTGATGTTCCCCTTCCTGTGTCCATGTGTTCTCATTGTTCAATTCCCATCTGTGAGTGAGAACATGCGGTGTTTGGTTTTTTGTCCTTGCGATAGTTTACTGAGAATGATGGTTTCCAATTTCATCCATGTCCCTACAAAGGACATGAACTCATCATTTTTTATGGCTGCATAGTATTCCATGGTGTATATGTGCCACATTTTCTTAATCCAGTCTATCATTGTTGGACATTTGGGTTGGTTCCAAGTCTTTGCTATTGTGAATAGTGCTGCAATAAACATACGTGTGCATGTGCCTTTATAGCAGCATGATTTATAGTCCTTTGGGTATATACCCAGTAATGGGATGGCTGGGTCAAATGGTATTTCTAGTTCTAGATCCCTGAGGAATCGCCACACTGACTTCCACAATGGTTGAACTAGTTTACAGTCCCACCAACAGTGTAAAAGTGTTCCTATTTCTCCACATCCTCTCCAGCACCTGTTGTTTCCAGACTTTTTAATGATTGCCATTCTAACTGGTGTGAGATGGTATCTCATTGTGGTTTTGATTTGCATTTCTCTGATGGCCAGTGATGATGAGCATTTTTTCATTTGTCTTTTGGCTGCATAAATGTCTTCTTTTGAGAAGTGTCTGTTCATATCCTTTGCCCGCTTTTTGATGGGGTTGTTAGTTTTTTTCTTGTAAATTTGTTTGAGTTCATTGTAGATTCTGGATATTCGCCCTTTGTCAGATGAGTAGGTTGCGAAAATTTTCTCCCATTTTGTAGGTTGCCTGTTCACTCTGATGGTAGTTTCTTTTGCTGTGCAGAAGCTCTTTAGTTTAATTAGATCCCATTTGTCAATTTTGGCTTTTGTTGCCATTGCTTTTGGTGTTTTAGACATGAAGTCCTTGCCCATGCCTATGTCCTGAATGGTAATGCCTAGGTTTTCTTCTAGGGTTTTTATGGTTTTAGGTCTAACGTTTAAGTCTTTAATCCATCTTGAATTAATTTTTGTATAAGGTGTAAGGAAGGGATCCAGTTTCAGCTTTCTCCATATGGCTAGCCAGTTTTCCCAGCACCATTTATTAAATAGGGAATCCTTCCCCCATTGCTTGTTTTTCTCAGGTTTGTCAAAGATCAGATAGTTGTAGATATGCGGAGTTATTTCTGAGGGCTCTGTTCTGTTCCATTGATCTATATCTCTGTTTTGGTACCAGTACCATGCTGTTTTGGTTACTGTAGCCTTGTATTATAGTTTGAAGTCAGGTAGCATGATGCCTCCAGCTTTGTTCTTTTGGCTTAGGATTGACTTGGCGATGCGGGCTCTTTTTTGGTTCCATATGAACTTTAAAGTAGTTTTTTCCAATTTTGTGAAGAAAGTCATTGGTAGCTTGATGGGGATGGCATTGAATCTATAAATTACCTTGGAAGGAAATAGAGACACAAAAAACCCTTCAAAAAATTAATGAATCCAGGAGCTGGTTTTTTGAAAGGATCAACAAAATTGATAGACCACTAGCAAGACTAATAAAGAAAAAAAGAGAAGAATCAAATAGACGCAATAAAAAATGATAAAGGGGATATCACCACCGATCCCACAGAAATACAAACTACCATCAGAGAATACTACAAACACCTCTACGCAAATAAACTAGAAAATCTAGAAGAAATGGATAAATTCCTCGACACACTCTCCCAAGACTAAACTGGGAAGAAGTTGAATCTCTGAATAGACCAATAACAGGATCTGAAATTGTGGCAATAATCAACAGCTTACCAACCAAAAAGAGTCCAGGACCAGATGGATTCACAGCCAAATTCTACCAGAGGTACAAGGAGGAACTGGTACCATTCCTTCTGAAACTATTCCAATCAATGGAAAAAGAGGGAATCCTCCCTAACTCATTTTATGAGGCCAGCATCATCCTGATACCAAAGCCAGGCAGAGACACAACCAAAAAAGAGAGTTTTAGACCAATATCCTTGGTGAACATTGATGCAGAAATCCTCAATAAAATACTGGCAAACTGAATCCAGCAGCACATCAAAAAGCTTATCCACCATGATCAAGTGGGCTTCATCCCTGGGATGCAAGGCTGGTTCAATATACGCAAATCAATAAATGTAATCCAGCATATAAACAGAACCAAAGACAAAAACCACATGATTATCTCAATAGATGCAGAAAAGGCCTTTGACAAAATTCAACAACCCTTCATTCTAAAAACGCTCAATAAATTAGGTATTGATGGGATGTATCTCAAAATAATAAGAGCTATCTGTGACAAACCCACAGCCAATATCATACTGAATGGGCAAAAACTGGAAGCATTCCCTTTGAAACCTGGCACAAGACAGGGATGCCCTTTCTCACCACTCCTATTCAACATAGTGTTGGAAGTTGTGGCCAGGGCAATTAGGCAGGAGAAGGAAATAAAGGCTATTCAGTTAGGAAAAGAGGAAGTCAAATTGTCCCTGTTTGCAGATGACATGATTGTATATCTAGAAAACCCCATTGTCTCAGCCCCAAATCTCCTTAAGCTGATAAGCAACTTCAGCAAAGTCTCAGGATACAAAATCAATGCACAAAAATCACAAGCATTCTTATATACCAATAACAGAAAAACAGAGAGCCAAGTCATGAGTGAACTCCCATTCACAATTGCTTCAAAGAGAATAAAATACCTAGGAATCCAACTTACAAGGGACGTGAAGGACCTCTTCAAGGAGAACTACAAACCACTGCTCAATGAAATAAAAGAGGATACAAACAAATGGAAGAACATTCCATGCTCATGGATAGGAAGAATCAATATAGTGAAAATGGCCATACTGTCCAAGGTAATTTATAATTCAGTGACAAGTTTTTGTATTATATCGTCATTCTTTGTCATCTTTGATACCTTTTTCAAAATTGAGTTGACTTAAAATCTTTGTACCCTATTTTATTGGTATTTAAGTATTTTTGGTGTCTCAGGTGGCTGCGCTACATAATTATAGAAATCACTACAAGGTGGATTTCTATTTACAAATAATAAATGAAAAATACATTGCATACAATGAGATACTTCATACCTGTTAGGATGGCTGGTATTAAAAACAGAAAATAGCCAAGATGTGGAGATGTTGGAACCCTTGTGCATTACTCATGGGAATGTAAAATGGTTCAGCTGCTGTGGAAAACAATTTGGTGGTTCCTCAAAAAGTAGTTAAACATAGAATTATCATAGGTAGAGCAATTTCACTCCTAGGTATATAACCAAAACACCTTTTTTTTTTTTTTTTTTTTTTTTTGAGACAGAGTCTTGTTCTGTCACCCAGGCTGGAGTGTAGTGGCGGGATCTTGGTTCATTGCAACCTCTGCCTTCTGGTTCAAGCAATTCTCCCACCTCAGCCTTCCGAGTAGCTGGGATTACAGGCATGCGCCACCACACTTGGGTAATTTTTTGTATTTTTAGTAGAGATGGTGTTTCACCATATTGACCAGGCTGGTCTCAAACTCCTGACCTTGTGATCTGCCTGCCTCAGCCTCCCAAAGTGCTGGGATTACAGGTGTGAGCCACCGTTCCCGGCCTACCCAAAATAATTTTAAGCAGGGAGTTAAACAGATAGTTATACTCCAGTGCTCATTGCAGCATTATTTACAGTAGTCAAAAGGTGAAAACATGGCACGTGCCTGTAATCCCAGCACTGGGGGGCCGAGGCGGGCGGATCACCTGAGGTCAGGAGTTTGAGACCAGCCTGACTAATATGGTAAAACCCCATCTCTACTAAATTAAAAAAAAAAAATTAGCTGGGTGTGGTGGTGTGCGCCTGTAATCCCAGCTACTCGGGAGGCTGAGGCAGGAGAATCTTTTGAACCCAGGAGGTGGAGGTTTCAGTGAGCGGAGATCACGCCATTGCACTCCAGCCTGGGCAACAAGAGCGAAACTGTCTCAAAAAAAAAAAAAAAAAAAAAGGTGGGCCAGGCCCTGTGGCTCATGCCTGTAATCCCAGCACTTTGGGAGGCCGAGGTGGGCGGATCACGAGGTCAGGAGATTGAGACCATCCTGGCTAACACAGTGAAATTCCGTCTCTACTAAAAATACAAAATATAAGCCGGGCGTGGTGGCGGGTGCCTGTAGTCCCAGCTACTCGGGAGGCTGAGGCAGGAGAATGGCGTGAACCCAGGAGGCAGAGCTTGCAGTGAGCCGAGATTGTGCCACTGCACTCCAGCCTGGGCGAGAGAGTGAGACTCCGTCTCAAAAAAAAAAAAAAAAAAAAAAAAAAAGGTGAAAACAAACCAGGTATCCAGGTATACATCCATAAATGAATGGATAAACAAAATATGGTATATATATACATAAGACCGAGTGTTGCTCTGTCTCCCAGGCTGGAGTGCAGTGGCACGATCCTGCTCACTGCAACCTCCACCTCCTGGGTTCAAGCAGTTCACTTGCCTCAGCCTCCCGAGTAGCTGGGATTACAGGCGTGTGCCACCATGCCTGGCTAGTTTTTGTATTTTTAGTAGAGACGGGGTTTCACCATGTTAGCCAGGCTGGTCTCAAACTCCCAACCTCAGGTGATCCACCCGTCCCGCCTCGACTTCCCAAAGTGATGGGATTACAGGCATGAGCCACCATACCTGACCATCCTTAAGAAGGAATGAAATTCTTATTCATGTTACAGCATTGAAAATATTATCCTAAATGAAATGAGCCAGATACAAAAGGACAAATAATGTATGATTCCACTTACAGAAGGTAACCAGAGTAGCTAAATTCATAGGGACAGAAAGTAGAAGAGAGCTAACCGAGGGCTTGGGGGAAGGTGTAATAGGGTGTTATTGTTTAATAGGTACAGAGTTTCAGTTTGGGATAATGAAAAAGTTCTGAAGTTGGATAATGGTGATGGTTGCACAATGTATGTACTTAATGACACTGAATTGTACACTTAAAATGGTGAAGTGGCACATTTTATGTACATCTTACCACAATTTAAAAAGGAAGAAAAAATGAATTGTATACCCAATGACATTAGAATAAGTCTACACTACTTAAATTAGAAATAGGATATGTTTCAACTCCAGAGCCAATAAAAAAAAGAACAAGAAGTATCATATGTAATAACTGTATATAGCAAGGAAGCTTTGCTTAGTGAGGTCCTTGTGACTAACCACCAATTCAGTTTATAAAATTGTATCCTATTGGAAAGAGTCAAAAAACTTACTAGCTGTTATTTTAATAACAGCTTTAATATCAAACAGGACATAACTTCAAAGTATAAAGTATTATAATGCGTATTTAATGTTGAGAGATGCCTGAAGAGTATAAACTTATTAATAAATTACTGTAGCTGCATACAAACAATAAATCGACATTCAGAATTGTTTCACTTCTGTAATTACCATAAAGCATTTATACTTGCCGGTCTCTCAGCATTTTTTTTTTTTTTTTTTAGGTAACAGCTTTATAGAGATATGCTTCACATACAAGTCAACTATTTAGAATGTATAATTGGTTTTTCATATCTGTGTGCAGCCGTCACCATAATAATTTTTTTTTTTTTTTTAGACGGAATTTTGCTCTTGTTGTCCAGGCTGGAATGCAATGATGTGATCTTGGCTCACTGCAACCTCTGCCTCCCGGGTTGAAGCAATTCTCCTGCCCCAGCCTCCCGAGTAGCCAGGATTACAGGCGCGTGTCACCACGCCCGGCTAATGTTTGTGTTTTTAGTAGAGATGGGGTTTCATCATGTTGGCCAGGCTGGTCTTGAACTCCTGACCTCAGGTGATCTGTCTGCCTCGGCCTCCCAAAGTGTTGGGATTACAGGCATGAGCCACTGCACCTGACCAACCATAACAATTTTTTTTTTTGAGACGGAGTCTTGCTCTGTCGCCCAGGCTGGAGTGCAGTGGCGCGATCTCGGCTGACTGCAAGCTCCACCTCCCAGGTTCGTGCCATTCTTCTGCCTCAGCCTCCCGAGTAGCTGGGACTACAGGCGCCCACCACCATGCCTAGCTAATTTTTTGTATTTTTTTTTTTAGTAGAGACAGGGTTTCACCGTGTTAGCCGGGATGGTCTCGATCTCCTGACCTCGTGATCCGCCTGCCTCGGCCTCCCAAAGTGCTGAGATTACAGGCATGAGCCATCGCGCCTGGCGCCATAACAATTTTTAGAACATTTTTCCTCACTCCAAAAAAAGTCCCATATACTGTTTTGTTTTTCTTTTCTTTTTTCTTTTTTTTTTTTAAAGATGGAGTCTCTCTCTGTTGCTCAGGCTGGAGTGCAGTGGTGAGATCTCAGCTCACTACAATCTCTCCCTCCTGGGTTCAAGCAATTCTTGTGCCTCAGTCTCCTAAGTAGCTGGGATTACCGGCATGTGCCACCATGCCCAGCTAATTTTTGTATTTTTAGTAGAGATGGGGTTTCACCATGATGGCCAGGCTGGTCTCGAACTCCCAACCTCAGGTGATCTGTCCACCACGGCCTCCCAAAGTGCTGGGATTACAGGTGTGAGCCACTGCGCCCGGTCACCATACACTTTAGTCATCACCTCACCAACACCCTCATTCCCCTCATCCCTAGGCATCCTCTAATCTACTTTTGTCTCTACCATTTGCCTATCCTGCATATTTCATATAAATGGAATCATATAATATGTGTTGTTGTTGTTTTTTTTTGAGCGGAGTCTTGCTCTGTCGCCCAGGCTGGAGTGCAGTGGCGTGATCTCAGCTCACTGCAAGCTCCGCCTCCTGGGTTCACGCCATTCTCCTGCCTCAGCCTCCCGAGTAGCTGGGACTACAGGCGCCCGCCACCACACCCGGCTAATTTTTTGTATTTTTAGTGGAGATGGGGTTTCCCTGTGTTAGCCAGGATGGTCTCGATCTCCTGACCTTGTGATCCGCCTGCCTCAGCCTCCCAAAGTGCTGGGATTCCAGGCGTTAGCCACCGTGCCCAGCCAATATGTGGTCTTTTGCCGCTGGCACTTAGCATAATGTACTCAAGGTTCATCCATGTTGTAAGCATGTATCAGTACTTTTTTTTTTTTTTTCCTTTTTCCACTTGTTCTAAATAAACTTCATTTCTTTTTATTGCTAAATACTATTCTGTTGTCTGGAAATACCATTCATTTCTGGATATACCATTTATCCATTCATATGTTGATGGACATATAGATTGTTCCCACTCTTTGACTATTATGAATAATGCTGCTACGAATATTTGTGTGTACAAGTTCTGTGTGGAGCTGTTTTCATTTCTCATAGGAGTAGAATTGCTGGGCCATATAGTAGCTCTGTTTAACCTTTTGAGGAATTGCCAGTCTGTTTTCCAAAGTGGCTGAACCATTTTACATTCCAACCAGCAGTGTTTTGAGGATTCTAATTCCTCTACATCCTTGTCTGAACGTATCTGTCTTCTAAAATTATTATAGCCAAACTAGTGGGTGTGAAGTAGTACTTCATTGTGGTTTTGATTTGCATTTCTCTAATGACTAATGATGTTGAGTGGACATCTTTCCATGTATTTGTCAGTTGCATTTCTTCTTATTTTTTAAGATAGGGTGTCACTCTGTTGCCCTGGTTGGAGTGTATTAGCAGAATCATAGGTCATTACAGCCTTGAAATCCTGGGCTCATGCCACCATAGCTGGGCTCCTGGGCTCATGCGCCACCATAAGTGGCTAATTTTTTTTTTCATACCTGGCTAATTTTTATTTTTATTATTATTATTTTTGAGACAGGGTCTCTGTCACCCTGGCTGGAGTATAGTGGTGCAATCATAGCTCACTGCAGCCTAACCCTTGCAGGCTCAAGCGATCCTTTCACCTTAGCCTCCCAAGTAGCTAGGACTACAGGCATACACCATGCCTGGCTAATTTTTGTATTTTTTGTGGAGATGGGGTTTCACCATGTTGCCCAGGCTGGTCTCGAACTCCTGAGCTCAGGTGATTTGCTCGCCTCATCTCCCAAAGTGCTGGGATTACAGATGTGAGCCAATGTGCCTGGCCTCTGGCTAACTAAACAAAATTTTTTTTTTTTTTTTAGTAGAGATTGGGTCTCACTATGTTGCCAGCGTTGGTCATAAACTCCTGGCCTCAAGGGATCCTCCTGCCTTGGCCTCCCAAAGTGCTGGGATTATAGGCATGAGCCACTGTGTCCAGCCTTTTCACTTTTTTGGTGTCCTTTGAAGCACAAATGTTTTTAATTCTGATGAAATCGGATGTGTCTTTTTTCTTTTCTTGTTTGTGCTATAGGTGTCATATTTAAGAAACCGTTGCCAAATCCAAGGTCATGAAAATTTACCCCTGTATTTTCTTCTAGAAGTTTATAGTTTTATCTTTTGCATTTAAGTCTTTGGTACATTTTGAGTTTTTTTTTTTTAATATATATATATTAAAAAAGCTTTCTTCTTCTTTTTTTTTTTTTTTTTTTTTTTTTAGACGGAGTCTCGCACTGTCGCCCAGGCTGGAGTGCACAATGGCACAATCTTGGCTCACTGCAACCTCCGCCTCCTGGGTTCAGGCGATTCTCCTGCCTCAGTTTCCCGAGTAGCTGGGATTACAGGTACCCGTCACCACGCCTGGCTAATTTTTTGTATTTTTGGTAGAGACGGGGTTTCACTATGTTGGTCAGGCTGGTCTTGAACTCCTGACCTCGTGATGCACCTGATTTGGCCTCCCAGAGTGCTGGGATTACAGGCATGAGCCACCGTGCCTGGCCGAGTACTTTATTCTTTTACATGTAAATATCCAGTTGTTCAGCACCATTTGTTGAAGAGACTATTCTTTTCTCACTTAATTGTCTTGGTACTCTTGTTGAAAATTGATTGTTATGCATGGACTCAGTAACATGGGGAAAAAAAAGAAAATGGATTGACTGTAAATGTGAGTCAGTTTCTAGACTCAGTTCTGTTCCATTGATTTATATGTCTGACCACATGCTAATATCACATTGTCTTGATTACTATAGATAACTCTAGTAGGTTTGGAATCAGGAAGTATGAGTTCTCCAAGTTCATTCTTTTTTTAGAATTGTTTTGGCTATTTTGGGTCCCTAGAATTTTTTTTTTTTGAGACTGAGTCTTGCTCTGTCACTCAGGCTGCAGTGCAGTGACACGATTGGCTCACTGCAGCCTCCGCCTCCTGGGTTCAGTAATTCTCCTGCCTCAGCCTGTAGGCATATAAGCTACCACACCTGGCTTTTTTTTTTTTTTTTTTTGAGACGGAGTCTTGCTCTGTCCCCCAGGCTGGAGTGCAGTGGTGCAGTCTCCGCTCACTGCAAGTTCTGCCTCCTGGGTCACACCATTCTCTTGCCCCAGCCTCCCGAGTAGCTGGGACTACAGGCGTCTGCCACCACGCCCGCCTAATTTTTTGTATTTTTAGTATAGATGGGGTTTCACCGTGTTAGCCAGGATGGCCTCGATCTGCTGACCTCATGATCTGCCCGCCTTGGCCTCCCAAAGTGCTGGGATTAGAAGCGTGAGCCACAGCAACCGGCCACACCCTGCCATTTTTTTTCAGTAGAGATAGGGTTTCGCCATGTTGGCCAGGTTGGTCTCGAACTCCTGGTTTCAAAAGTTATCTGCCAGGCCAAGCATAGTGGCTCACGCCTGTAATCCCAGCACTTCGGGCGGCCGAGGCAGGCAGATCACTTGAGATCAGGAGTTCGAGACCAGTCTGGCCAACATGGGGAAACCCCGTCTCTACTAAAAATACAAAAATTTGCAGGCGTGGTGGTGTACATCTGTAGTCCCAGCAACTCTGGAGGCTGAGGTGGGAAGACCACTTGAACCCGGGAGGCGGAAATTGCAGTGACCTGAGATCGTGCCACTGCACTCCAGCCTGGGTGACAGAATGAGACTTTGTCTCAAAAAAAAAAAAAAAAAAAAGTGATCCTCCTGCCTCAGTCTCTCAAAGTGCTGGGAATTTGTGAGTTACTGTGGCCTGCCCCCATTTGTATGTTTTTTTGGTAGAAAAGTCTATTCAAGTCTTTTGTCTATTTTTTATTAGTTTATTTGTCTTTTTGTTGTTGAAACTTTTTGTCTGGAAACTCGTTCCTTATATGATAAGTGATTTGCAAATATTTCCTCCCATTTTGTGAATTGTCTTTTCACCTTTTTTTTTTTTTTTTTCTTGAGACAGGTTCTCACTCTGTTGCCCAGGCTAGAGTGCAGCGATGATCATGGCTTACTGCAGCCTTGACCTCCCAGGCTCAAGTAACCCTCTTGCCTCAGCCTCCCAAGTAATTGGGACTACAGGCATGCACCACCACGCCTGGCTAATTTTTGTAAAGGTGGGATTTTGTCATGTTTCCCAGGCTGGTCTTGAACTCCTGGGCTCAAGTGATCCATCTGCCTCAGCCTTCCAAAGTGTTGGGATTACAGTCATGAACCACTGCGCCCAGCCTTCTTTTCACATTCTTAAAGCATAAAAGTTTTTAAAATTTTTATGAAGTACAATTTTAGCTCTTTTTTGTTTGTTATTGTTTTTTTTCCGTGTTGCTGTGCTTCAGGTGTCACATACCTGAAGTACAGTCTGATTTATGCCTCTACCTCACAGGAGAGCTACTCTCCTCCTTTGCTTGGTTCACACTGAAGAGGTATGAAGAGGTATGAGAATATGGGATTTCTGCTCCGTATGGACCCTGACCTCCACTTATTTAGCTAAAAATGTATGTGGCCTATTTTTCCTCTCCTTCTGAGCTTTTACTGCTGGACGGCAGTAAACTTTTGATTGTGTTGCCCTTTTGTAAAGTGGCTATGAGAGTATGGCTGGGTGGAAGAAACCATTTTCTTTTTCTTTTTTTTCTTTTTTTTTTTTTTTTAAGACGGAGTCTTGCTTTGTTGCCCAGCCTGGAGTGGAGTGACGCGATCTCAGCTCACTACAACCTGTCTCCCGGGTTCAAGCGATTCTGCTGTCTCAGCCTCCCAAGTAGCTGGGATTATAGGTGCACACCACCATGCCCGGCTAGTTTTTGTATTTTTTAGTAGAGAAGGGGTTTCACCATGTTGGCCAGGGTGGTCTTGGTCTCCTGACCTCAGGTGATCCACCTTCCTTGGCCTCCCAAAGTGCTGGGAATACAGGCGTGAGCCACTGCGCCTGGCCGGAAGAAACAATTTTCTTTCTTTCTTTCTTTTTTTTTTTTTTTGAGACCAAGTCTCACTCTTGTCGCCCAGGCTGAAGTGCAATGGCGCGATCTTGGCTCACCACAACCTCCGCCTCCTGGGTTCAAGCAATTCTCTTGCCTCAGCCTCCCGAGTAGCTAGGATTACACAGGTGCCTGACACCACATCCGGCTAATTTTTGTGTTTTTAGTAGAGATGGGGTTTCACCATGTTGGCCAGGCTGGTCTTGAACTCCTGACCTCAGGTGATCCACCCGCCTCGGCCACCCAAAGTGCTGGGATTACAGGGGTGAGCCTCTGCGCCTGGCAAGAAACAATTTTCTAAACACAAGAGGAACCGTGGGCTGTTTATATGGTGACGCTTCTTAAGGAAATATGATTATTTTAAGAAATTAGCCTGAGTGCAGTGGCTCACGCCTATAATTTTGGTACTTTGGGAGGCCAAGGTGGGAGGATTGCTTGAGCCCAAGAGTTCAAGACCAGCCTGGGCAATATGGCGAGACCCCCCATCTTTTCAAAAAATTAAAACAATTAGCTGGGTTATGGTGATGTGCACCTGTATTCCCAGCTACTTGGGGGGCTGAGGAAGGAGGATTCTTTGAGCCCAGGAGTTTGAGGCTATGGTGAGCTGTGATTGCGCCAGTGTTAATACAAAAAGTGAGCTTTGCTAATTCATTTTCAATAACCTACAAGCAGCTTTTGAAATGTTGTCATTGGAAGGATCAAATGCACTTGGGGCTCTTGGACAAGCTACAGACTCATAATATGTGGGCAAGGTCAGATTGGATGTATTTGCACAATCTGGAGACTGTATGAGGAACTTGTTTTCATTGTCTTTGGCACACAGCAGCCTTAGTTTTTAGCTCTGTCAAAGAATGGAATTATTTCAAGACTGTTTGCTCAGCAAAAATCAATCAAGGGTTCCTACTCAAGTAAAAAGCAACTTGTAGGAAAATAATAGGGGATATATTTTGCTCATTAAGGATCTTTTTATAGTGGCTCTTGGTGCACTGCCTGTGAGTTAGCCCTTATCCTCAAGGAGCAGCTTAAAAAATTAAAAAAAAAATCGTTTTGTAATAATTTTAGATGATGTACTTTCAGGAATCATTACAGGTGTTGGGACAGCTGTTTTGTGTCTCTTAAAGCATGTGTCTTGCTAGGACTGTTCTTGTATATTGTATATTCACTAAGTTTTTCTTGTGTAATTTTTCCTCTTTGGAGTAAAATTTAGTATATGTTTCTTTGGAATTAAAAGAAAAAATGTGCGTGTTCAGAGGCTGGTAACTAAAACTTTTAGCTTATTTATTTTGCATTTGAGGTGCCATTTAAATGAATTTTAGATCTGAAAATAAATGGCTTGAGTTTTTCTTGGTCCAAGCCCAGATAGCTGCCTGGAAATTTGTCAGCAGTTTTGTTTTTTTTTGTTTTTTTTTTTTTTGAGATGAAGTTTTTCACTCTTGCTGCCCAGGCTGGAGTGCAATGGCATGATCTCGGCTCGCTGCAACCTCCACCTCCCGGGTTCAAGCGATTCTCGTGCCTCAGCCTCCTGAGTAGCTGGGATTACAGGCGCCCGCCACCACGCCCTGCTAGTTTTTGTATTTTTAATAGAGATGGAGTTTCACCATGTTGGCTAGGCTGGTCTCGAACTCCTGACCTTAGGTGATCTACCTGCCTCGGCCTCCCAAAGTGCTGGAATTACAGGCGTGAGCCGCCCCACCCGGCCTAATTTGTCAGCAGTTTTAAGATGTGATGACCACAAGATACGTGTGCAAAGACAGTTACTAACGATGTAGAAATTCGGATGAAGATTTTTTGGAGGCCAGTTGTGGTGGCTCACACCCGTAATCCCAGCACTTTGGAAGACTGGGACAGGTGGGATCACATGAGATCAGGAGTTTGAGACCAGCCTGGCCAGTATGGTGAAACCCCGTCTCTACTAAACATACAAAAATTAGCCAGGTGTGGTGGTGCACACCTGTAATCCCAGGTACTTGGGAGGCTGAGACATGAGAATTTCTTGAACCCGGGAGGTGAAGGTTGCAGTGAGCCAAGATTGAGCTACTGCACTCCAGCCTGGACAACACAGTGAGACTCTGTCTCAAAAAAAAGAAAAAATATTTTTTCGAGGCAATCCGCTTGAGGCCAGAGGCCTAGGACCAGCCTGGGCGACATAGCAAGACCCCATCTCTACAAAAAATATAATAGCCAGGTGTGGTGATGCACGCCTATAGTTGTAGCTACTAGAGAGGCTGAGGTGGGAAGATAACTTGAGCCCAGCAGGTCAATGCTACAGTGAGCCGTGATCATGCCATTGCACTCTAGCCTGGATAAGAGCAAGACTCTGTCTCTAAAAAAAAAAAAAAAAAAAAGATATTTTGGATAAACCAGTGGCTAGAGAGTTATTGTTCAGTTTGCAATGTTATACAGTCTTGCACTGCATAATGATGTTTTGATTAATGAGGGATTACATTATAAAATGGTAATCCCCTGAGTATAATAGAGCTAAAAAATTCCTATCGCTTAGTGACATTATGATGTTGTGTTACAACACATTACATGTTTGTGGTGATGCTGGTGTAAACAAACCTACCCTGCTGTCAGTTGTATAAAAGTATAGTACATATAATTATGTATAGTACATCCCGGGTCCCCACCCCCTGGGCCATGGACCAGTATTGGTCTGTGGCCTGCTAGGAACTGGGCCGCACAGCAGGAGGTGAGCAGTGGGCAAGCAAGTGAAGCTTCATCTGTGTTTATAGCTACTTCCCTTGCTTGTATTACCGCCTGAGCTCCATCTCCTGTCAGATCAGTGGTGCGTTAGATTCTCATAGGAACGTGAACCGTTGTGAACAGTGTGCATGCCAGGGATTTGGTGGTGCTCTCCTTATGAGAACCAAATGCCTCATCTGTCACTGTGTTTCATCACTCCCAGATGGGACTGTCTAGTTGAAGGACTGTCCAGTTGAGCTCAGGGCTCCCACTGATTCTACATTATGGTGAGTTGTATAATTATTTCATTATATATTACAATGTAATAATAATAGAAATAAAGTGCACAATAAATGTGATGCACTTGAATCATCCTGAAACCATCCCCCAACCCTTCTCCAATTTTCATGGAAAAATTGTCTTCCATGAAACCAGTTCCTGGTGCCAAAAAGGTTGGGGACTGTTGTAGTACATGATACTTGATAATAATAATTATGTTATTGGTTTATGTATTTAGTTATACTGTACTTTTAATCATTATTTAAGAGTGTATACCTTCTACTTACTAAAAAAAGTTAATTGTAAAACAGCCTCAGGCAGGTCCTTCAAATGGTATTCCAGAAGAATTCATTGTAATCAAAGGAGATGACAGCTCACAGTTCCATGTGTGTTTTTGCCCCTAAAGACCTTCCAGTGGTACAAGATGTAGAGGTGGAAGACAGTGATATTGATGATCCAGACCCTGCTTAGGTCTAGGCGGTCCTGACCCTGTATAGGACTAGTCTAATGTATGCATTTGTGTCTTAGTTTTTTTTTTTTTTTGAGACGGAGCTTCGCTCTTGTCGCCCAGGCTGGAGTGCAATAGCACGATCTTGGCTCACTGCAACCTCCGCTTCCCAGGTTCGAGTGATTCCCTTGCCCCAGCCTCTCGAGCAGTTGGGATTACAGGTGTGTGCCACCATGCCCGGCTAATTTTTTTTTTGTATTTTTGGTAGAGATGGGGTTTCTCCATGTTAGCCAGGCTGGTTTCAAACTCCTGACCTCAGGTGAGCCACCTGCCTCAACCTCCCAAAATGCTGGGATTATAGGCGTGAGCCACTGTGCCCGGCTTGTGTCTTAGTTTTTAACAAAAAAGCTTAAAAAAAAAAAAAAAATATATATATATATATATATATATACACACACGCATATATATGTATGTATATACATACATATATATGTATATATACGCATATATTTTATATACATGCGTATATATACGTATGTATATAAAATATATGCGTATATATAAACGTATATATAAAATATATACGTATAAGAATATATACACACGTATACACACACACATTTATGTGTGTGTATACACACGTATACACACACACATTTATGTGTGTGTATACACACGTATACACACACACATTTATGTGTGTGTATATATACACACATATATATTTATGTGTGTATATATACACATATATATTTTTTTCTTATTTATTTATTTATTTTTGAGATGGAGTCTTGCTCTGTTGCCCAGGTTGGAATGCAGTGGCATGATCTTGGCTCACTGCAACCTCTGCCTCCCAGGTTCAAGCTGTTCTCCTGCCTCAGCCTCCTAAGTAGCTGGGACTACAGGTTCGTGCCACCATGCGCAGCTAATTTTTGTATTTTTAGTATAGACAGGGTTTCCCCATGTTGGCCAGGCTGGCCTCGAACTCCTGACCTCAGGTGATCTGCCCACCTGGGCCTCCCAAAGCGCTGGGATTACAGGCGTGAGCCTCTGCGCCCAGCCTTCATTTTCATTTATTTCTGTTTTAATAGAGAGGAGATTTTGCTCTGTTACCCAAGCTGGTCTCAAACTCTTGGGCTCAAGTGATCTACCTGCCTCACTTGAGCTGGGTGCGGTGGCTCACGCCTATAATCCCAGCGCTTTGGAAGGCCAAGGTGGGTGGATCACTTGTGGTCAGAAGTTCGAGACCAGCTTGGCCAACATGGTGAAACCCCGTCTCTACCAAAAAATATAAAAAATTAGCCGGGTGTGGTGATATGTGCTTGTAGTCCTAGCTACTCGGGAGGCTGAGGCAGGAGAATTGCTTGAACCTGGGAAGCAGAGGTTGCAGTGAGCTGAGATCGCGCTACTGCACTCCAGCCTGGGTGACAGAGCAAGGCTCTGTCTCAAACAAACAAAAAACAAGAAAAAAACAAAGTGCTGGGATTATGGGCATGAACCACTGCACCTGGTAAAAAAATAAAAAAAAGGCTTAAAGGATAAGAATATAAATCAATTTTTCTTTCTTTCTTTTTTTTTTTTTTTTTTTTTGGAGACAGGGGCTCGCTCTGTTGCCCGGGTGCGATCACAGCTCACTGCAACCTCAGCTTTTTGGGTTTAAGCAAGATCCTCCCACCTCAGCCTGGAGTAGCTGGGACCAGAGGCGCTGGCCACCACACTTAGCTAGTTTTTTTCTATTTTTTTGTAGAGGCGGAGTCTCACCATGTTGCCTTGGTTGGTCTTGAACTTTTCGGGCTCAAGCAATTCTCCTGCCTCAGCCTCCCAAAGTACTTGGATTACAAGTGTGGGCCACCATTCCCATCCAGCAAAATATTTTTGTGTACCTGTACAGTGCGTTTATGTATTAAGGTAAATGTTATTACAAAAGAGTCAAAAAGTCAAAAGAAGAGCTGAGTGTCTGTAGTCCCAGCTACCCTGAGGCTGAAGCAAGAGAATTGCTTGAGCCCAGGAGTTTGAGGCTGTTGTGGGCCATGATCACGCCTGTTTGTAGCTGCTACACTCTAGCCTGTGCAACATAGGAACACCTAATTTCTTTAAAAAAGAGAAAAAAAGTTAGAAAAAAGTTTAAAGTTGGGCCATGTGCGTTGGCTCACGCCTGTAATCCCAGCACTTTAGGAGGCAGAGGTGGGTGGATCGCCTGAGCTCAGGAGTTCGAGACCAGCCTGACCAACGTGGTGAAACCCCATCTCTAGTAAAGATACAAAAATTAACCAGGTGTGGTGGCGGGCGTCTGTAATCCCAGCTACTTGGGAGGCTTGAGGCAGGAGAATCACTTGAACCCGAGAGGTGGAGATTGAGGTGAGCTGAGATCGTACCATGATTGGACTCCAGCCTAGGTGACAGGGCAAGACTCCATCCCAAAAACAAAAAAAAATTAAGGTTTATAAAGTAAAAGTTACAGTAAGCTAAGGTTATAATTGAAGAAAAAACGTATTTTTTATAGATTGTGTAGCCTAAGGATACAGTGTTTATAAAGTCTACCTTAGTGTACAGTAGTGTCCTAGACCTTCACATTCACTTACCACTCACTCACTGACTACACCCGAAATAACTCCAGTCCTGCAAGTGCCATACACAAGTGTAAAATTACTTTTATACCATATTTTTACCATACGTTTTCTATGTTTAGATATACAAATAGCCTAGGAGTAATAGGCTTTACCATATATTCTAGGTGTGTTGTAGGCTGTACCATCTAGGTTTGTGTAAGTACACTCTGTAATGTTTGCAGAATGATGAAATTGCCTAACAAATTTCTCAGAATGAAGTGATACATGTGCTTTTGTTTTTTCGAGGCATCCAATATTTTAAAAGTAAAATTATAATTCAAAGAGTTTACTTCATGCTATCAGCAGACATACTTATGTTCTTTCTTATTCTGTTCTTTTTTTTTTTTTTCATCTTAAACTCAGTGGTAAGAATTGTCATGTTCTTGAGGGTTCTTTTGGGGAAGATTATTGGAGCTTTGTTTTTGGTGACTCCATGATTTTTAACAGGGCAGGTGATTTGTCTTGGCATTTCTAGACCAAGCATCCAATGCTCAACTAGTTGGTTGGTTTCTCAGCCCAAAAAAAAGAAGCCCTATGTTGTTGGCGGTACTCCAGGGCTTTTTTTGTAGCCATCATCAGAGAATTCTGGATATGGTTAACTTTAATGCACACCAAATTTTAAAAATGGTTAGTAGATAAGTGGTATCTGAAATCCTAATAATTTTCAGCAAGACTGCTCTTACTTCAGAGTGGAGTTTAGTGCCCCTAAAATGAGTGGGCATCAGTGGCCTTGGATATCTTTTTCTATGTTTATCTTTATTTTTGTAAGTTGAGAGGTTTTTTTAAGTTTACTTTGTTTTTTTTTTTTTAAATTTACAACCCTATTCACCTGGAGTAGAGAGTTTTAAGTTTGTTTTTTGGTGTATAATAAAGAATGTGACTAGCCTTTTTCCTGGGGTTCCTGGCATAATGTGTCTAAAACCTTTGGAATTTTCCAAGTGATAGAAGTATCTTTCTTTGTTATTCATGAGCCTTTTGGATCATAACTGAGTTTATGTTAATGAGATGATTCAGGATGGGGGCTGGTCACCAGAAAGACCAACCATGTGATAGGAGGGCTGATGCTTGAGGAAGTCTAATCTCTGGGGAGAGAAAGGGGGCTGGAGGTTGAGTTTAGTTATGTGGCCAATGATTCAATCGTGTCTATGTTAGGAAACGCCAGTAAAAACTCTCAACACAAAATTGGTGGATCATCCTGGTAGGTAAATCCATTGATGGGCTGGGAGGGTGATTCCATGGGGAAAGGGGACAGAAGTTTGTGTTCAGGACCCTTACAGACCTTGCCGTATGTCTCTTCATTTCACTGGCCCAAATTTGTATCCTTTATAATAAAACTATAATTGTAAATACAGTGCTTTTCTGAGTTCTGTGAGTTCTAGTGAATATTGAACCAGAGGGGTCATGGGAACCCCTGAATTTTTTTGAGACAAGGGTCTTCTTCTGTCACCCAGGCTGGAATGCAGTGGTGCGATCATAGCTCACTGCAGCCTTGACCTCCCGGGCTCAGGCAATCCTCCTACCTCAGCCTCCCTAGTAGCTAGAACCAGAGGTGCGTGGCACCACACCTGGCTAATTTTAAAAAATTATTCATAGAGATGGGGGTCTCTCTATGTTGCCCGGGCCGATCTCAAACTCCTGGGCTCCAGTGATCGTGCTGCCTTAGCCTCTCAGTGCTGGGAGTCACCATGCCCTGCTGGAATCCCTGAATTTGTAATGAGTTGGTTAGAAGTACAGGTGGCCTGGGATCCCCAAAGTATAACTACCATCTGAAGTAAGGGCAGTCTTGTTGGGCATCTTGCCTTTTAACTTCTAGAGTCTGATGTTAACCACCTAGTGTTAGCATCAGAATTGTATGGAAGTATACCAGTTAGTGACAGAATAGTTTTATATTCCTATTATATATAATTCTACTGAAATTAGGGGCCAGATGTGAACTGATGAGAAGACATACACCAGAAGGGGGATGTGGCCTTTGGTCCTTTCCAGCTTGGGTAATAGGAAATCATTCTTTCAGTCTATTTTTTAATTTAATTTAATTTTTTTATTTTGAGACAGAATTTCTCTCTTGTCCAGGCTGGAGCACAGTGGCGCAGTCTTGGCTCACTGCAACCTTTGCCTCCCAGGTTCAAGCAATTCTTGTGCCTCAGCCTCCCAGGTAGCTGGGATTACAGGCGCATGCCACCATGCCCAGCTAATCATTTACGTTTAATGTCTATGTGTGCCAGGGTCTGTACTCAACAAAAGGTAGCAGGAAAGTCTCCATCCCTACTCCTTAAGAGTCCTTAGTGTGATGCAGTAGACATGTGGATCGTGTCTGTGAATAGCCACTGCACTCCAGCCTGAGCAACCTAGCAAGACTGTTTCTTAGAAAAAGAAAATCAGGCCGGGTGTGGTGGCCTCATGCCTCTAATCCCAAGGAGGCCAAGGCGGGCAGACTCCTAAGGTTGGGAGTTTGAGACCAGCCTGACCAACATGGAGAAACCCAAATTAGTTGGGTGTGGCAGTGTATGCCTGTAATCCCAGCTACTTGGGAGGCTGAGGCAGGAGGCATCGCTTGAACCTGGGAGGCAGAGGTTACGGTGAGCCGAGATTGCGCCATTGCACTCCAGCCTGGGCAACAAGAGTGAAACTCTGTCTCCAAAAAAAAAAAAAAAAAAAAAAGAAAAGAAAATCAGTATAAATTCAAGAACTTAACCATATTTGATATGTTTGAGTTCATTGCCTTTTTTTTCTTTTTCTTTTTTGAGACGGAATTTCACTCTGTCGCCCAGGCTGTAGTGCAGTGGTACGATCTCGGCTCACTGCAACCTCCGCCTCCCGGGTTCAAGTGATTCTCCTACCTCAGCCTCCTGAGTACCTGGGATTACAGGTGTGTGCCATGATGCCTGACTAATTTTTGTGTTTTTAGTAGAGACAGGGTTTCACATGTTGGCCAGGCTGGTCTCAAACTCCTGACCTCAAGTGATCCTCCCGCCTCGCCCTCCCAAAGTGTTAGGATTACATGGGCGTGAGCCATCATGCTTGTCCTCATAGCCATTCTTATTCAACTTTTATTTTAGGTTCAGGAGGTACATGTGCAGGGTTCTTTCTTTCTTTCTTTCTTTCTTTCTTTCTTTCTTTCTTTCTTTCTTTCTTTCTTTCTTTCTTATGATTTTGGAATGTACAGGTTTGTTACATGTGTAAATTTCATGTCACCTGAGGTTTGGGATATGAATGATCTTATCACCCAAGTAATGAACATGGTACCTGGATAGGTAGTTTTTTCAACCTTTACCCTTCTCCCCTTTTTTTTTTGGAGACAGAGTCTCGCTCTGTTACCCAGGCTGGAGCACAGTGGCATGAACTCAGCTCACTGCAACCTCTGCCTCCTGGGCTTAAGTGATTCCCCAAGTAGCTAGGATTATAGGCATGTGCCACCATGCCCAGCTAATTTTTGTATATATTTTTTTAGACGGAGTTTTGCTCTTGTCGTCCAGGCTGGAGTGTGATGGCGTGATCTCAGCTCACTGCAACCGCCTTCTCCCAGGTTCAAGCGATTCTCCTGCCTCAACCTCCCGAGTAGCTGTGATTACAGGTGCCTGCCACCACGCCTGGCTAATTTTTGTATTTTTAATAGAGACAGGGTTTCGCCATGTTGGCCAGGCTGGTCTTGAACTCCTGACTTCAAGTGATCCACCTGCCTTAGCCTCCCAAAGTGCTGGGATTACAGTGCTGGGATTACAGGCGTGAGCCACCATACCCGGCCCTGGCCCTTGTTCTTATTTGATGTTCATATTATCCTGTCTTTTTGTAGTGGTAACCTCTTCAAATTTCCTCCTGATTTCCTTTTGCTACGGTCCTAGTAGACTTCCGTAGTGTCCTTGATTTCTGGTAGAAGATTTTTTTTCTTTTTTTTTTTTTTTTGGAGACGGGGTATTTCTCTGTTGCCCAGGCTGGAGTGCAGTGGTGTGATCATGGCTTGCAGCAGCCTCGACCTCCCAGGTTCAAGCAATCCTCCCACCTTGGCCTCCCCAGTAGCTGGGACCACAGACGTGCGCCACCATACCCAGCTAATTAAAAAAAAATTTTTTTGTAGAGATGGAGTCTCCCTATGTTGCCCAGGCTGGAAGATGTTCAAGTCTTATGACATTTTTGGTTTTAGACTTGTGATTAGAAAAAACTCTCCAACTGTATTTTTCTTCTCCTCTCACCATACCACAACAGACATCAACATGGAAGACTTCTGTGACCAAATATGTGTTTTTTTTTCCTCCACACACCAAGCAGCAGACACCAGCTGGGTATTCTCACATTTATTTCTGACTGTCTTCCTGGAGACAGCAACAGATCTCACAGGTTGAGGGCTCAACCCGTAAGACAGCACCCCCCCGACACCCCCTTTAGACACCAGTCCCAAGTATGAGTTCTGAAAAAACTGCAGATTTTCTTGAGTTCTTATCTTTAGAATATACCCTATTAGGATTTCCAGTTAAAGTCACTTGAAGGGCCAGGCACAGTGGCTTACACCTGTAATCCCAGCACTTCAGGAGGCTGAGGCGGGCGATTGCTTTGAGCCCAGGAGTTCAAGACCAGCCTGGACAACATGGTGAGACCTCGTCTCTATGTTAAAAAAAAAAAAGTCACTTAAAATAGTCCTTTGTGTGATTCTCTTTCCAATTCAGTATGCAGTACGTTTGCTTTATGCTTTAGGGATTGCTTTTTCTAATTTAATTTCATAATTGTTTAAAATATTTGTGATTCCAAAGCCAAATCTATAAAACAAGGTATATTCAGAGAAGACTGGCTTCTACCCTTGTAGCCTCCACTCAATTCTTCCCTTCCCCTATAGCAGTGGTTTTCAGCCTTGGGAGCTTTTAAACAATATTGATAATGGCCCCACATCAAGTCAAGGCCATGATTGCACCACCACACTCCAGCCTGGGCAACAGAACGAGATCTTGTCTCAAAGAAAAAAAAAAAAAAAAACAACATCCTGGGGCATCATGAACACATTTGACTTGGGATCTGCATATTATTGCATGATTCAGATGCACTAACTAGCCTGATTTGTTATTTTCATTTGATTACTAGTCTGTGACATGTGTCTTGTGTTTTAATTACAGAATATGTGAAATTGTGTTCTTAGGAAAATGAAAATGGCTTAATTTTGCTAATTTGCTTTTTCTTTTATTAGAGTATAATTTTTTTCTTTTGGCATCAGTTACCGAGGCCATTTTTTCCTTCTCTTTGCTCTAATCTAAGCATATAGATTCAATTTAGTAGATATTGTGAGTGCTAGCTGGTGTTCTATCAATTTGAAATGGTTCTGTGGCCATGGAAGTTTGGGAGATGCTTCTACAGGCCAGGGACACATTAAACAGCTTTATAAAGGGAAGGAACATCACCATATTTATACCCCATGCAAGCTGTGTGAAGAACTGGTCTGAGGCAGTGCCAGGCTGGATGCTGGGAAACTCCATTTTTTTTTTTTTTTTTTTTTGAGACAGAATCTTGCCCCGTCACCCAGGCTGGAGTGCAATGGTGCAATCTTGGCTCACTGCAACCTCTGCCTCCCTGGTTCAAGGGATTCTCCTGCCCCAGCCTCCTGAGTAGCTGGGATTACGGGCATGCGCCACCATGTCCAGCTATATTAGAGATGGGGTTTCGCCATGTTGGCCAGGCTGGTCTCGAACTGACATCAAGTGATCTGCCCGCCTTGGCCTCCCAAAGTGCTGGGATTACAGGCGTGAGACACTGCGCCTGGCCCTGTTTTCATTCTTTTTTTTTTTTTTTTCTGACATGGAGTGTTGCTCTGTCGCCCAGGCTGGAGTGCAGTAGTGCAATCTCGGCTCACTGCAACCTTCACCTCCCAGGTTCAAGCGATTCTGCTGCCTCAGTCCCCTAGTAGCTGGGACTACAGGTGCACACCACCATGCCCGGCTAGTTTTTGTATTTTTAGTAGAGACAGGGTTTCACCATGTTGGCCAGGCTGGTCTCAAACTCCTGACCTCGCGATCCGCCCGCCTCGGCCTCCCAAAGTGCTGGGATTACAGGCGTGAGCCACTGTGCCTGGTCCTGTTTCCATTCAAAAGGGAGTTCTTGACTGTCTTTCAAGGGTGTGGTAAAACTTAAAGATAATGTATGCTAAATATCTAGTGTCTGGTGTGATAACTGTAATTGGTTGTTTAATCATTTCTATTGATCCTAGAACTCATATCTCTCAAGAACTCATATCTCTAAAAACCAGGGAACTTGCATATTTAAAAATTCTTGGGAAATTGGATTATCAGTAAGAGTTTTGATTGGAAAATACAGAATTGTAACAGGAAAAATAGCAATAGCTGGAAGGGAGTGGGGATGGGTAGGAGGAGGTATTTCCCTAGTTCTGGGAGCATGAAGCAAAGCTGGTCTTTACAGCAGAGAATGATCCTTTTAGGTCTGGATAGCTGGTGTTCCTAGAGTTGAAGTTTCTGCCCCTGGGTAAGTAGTGCTCTGTGTCATCTCTGACTTGACCCACAATCCCCACCACTCCTTGCTCTGATCTTGCCACAGTCAGATCCTATACTTAGGGAGACGTTCTTTCTCTTTCTGTGAGGCATGGCTTACGCTGGACTAATCATTCCACCCTTGTCCTACTGTTACAGTCTGTGTTTAGGAGTAAATGGGGGAGTAATTAAAACTGTGTGATTGGAGATGGTCATGGCATTGCCCCTGACATAGGGAGCCTGGAGTAACAGGAACTGTGAAGTTTATTGGTTCTATTCTGGACCTATTGAATTTCAGGTCCAACTCAGGGAGTTGGAGTTCCAGCTGGCATTTAGCCAACATTGGGAATGTGGGTCTGGAGAGCACAATGGTCATGAGTCAAGCTCACTTTTTCACATTTCTTTTCCTTTGCATATGCCTTCCCTTCTGCCTGGAATGCTGTCCTCCCCTTCTTGTTTCTCTGCTGAACTGCTACTTGTCTTTTATCAACCAGTTCAAGGGTTTCCTTTTCTGCACAGCAGCAACCCTATGAGGTAGGTGCTATTATTATCCTGGTTTTATAGATGAGGAAAGTGAGGCACAGAGGTTAAGTAACTTATTCAAGGTCACACTGCTAGTAAGTGAGGTGACTGGATTTGAACCCAAGCAGCCTGGCTCAGAATCTATGCTTATAACTACTTCATTCTTACTGGTTTCTAGGTACTTGGTAAGTACTTATCATATGAATCGAGTGTTCACAGTAGTCATCTATGTGCAAGAGAATTAAGGAGTCAGGTTCTCTGTTTTAGGACAGTATTTCCAGTGAGACAAAAGGCAATCCCCAAATGTTTCCTAATGTGTTCCCTTTTCTCCATTCCCGTTACCATTCAAGCTTTCTTCATTTTTTTGTCAGGAATATTACAGTAGGCCCATTACTGGTCTTCCCACTCCGTGTCTTATTCCATTGGTGATACTATTATTAGAATAATCTTTCCAAAATGCATGTATGACCCTCTTATTCCCTTGCGGTAGATCTACTCCATTGGCTCCACAGTGCCTAAAGCAGTTCCTGATCCAAACTAAAGAGCGAGCTATTCTGTATCCCCAGTTTAGAATATTCCAGAGAAGGAATGGCTTGGGTTGGGTCATATTCCGTTTTTGGAATAAGTTACCATGAATGTTCTATGCTTGTTCCAAGCAAGTTACCATGCTTAAGAACACTGATTTGCCTGGCTTGGATCATGCACCCTATCCTATGACCAAATTGGAAGTAGTAGGCAGAGTTGGGAGTGAAGTCCCACAAGGACTTCACATCTGTGAGAGGCCACTCCTAAAGGATAACTCTGGTTACCTAACTAGGAGAAGGTAGGGGTTTGGAGTAGTGTCACAGGAGGTGGGTTGACACAGTGGTATGGCTGAACACTGTTGTGGCCTTCAGCCTCCCCACTGCCTTCCTGTGTTATTTCAGCAGATGTCCACTCTGGTCAGCACTGGGACAGGGGAGGATAAAAGTGCACTTGACTATAGGAGCTTATCATCTGTCTGGTAGGGGCAGCAGTAAGCAAACAGGCAACATGATCCTTCCACAGGAAAAAGCTGGGGGGATTCTAATAAACATTATATTGCTAAGGATCCATAATTAAATAATGGAATGGTGGAATTTATTTCAAAAAATGTAAAACAAGTATTTTATTGATTCACACTTTTACTTTTCCTCAGTTGTCAAATTTAGATGACTCAGATTCTGGCTTGACCACTTCCTAGCTGTGTGACCTTGGGTACAATTCTCTGAGTCTCAGTCTCCTCAGCTACAAAATGGGATGGTAATAGGGTTGTTGTGAAGGGTATATGTGATGATGCATTTAAAATGGTTGGCATAATACTTGCACGTAGTGGGACTCAAAAATTGTAACTAACAAAAAATGTTTGAGGGTGGGCGTTGTGGCTCATGCCTGTAATCCCAGCACTTTGGGAGGTCAAGGCTGGCGGATCACCTGAAGTCAGGAGTTCGAAACCAGCCTGGCCAACATGGTGAAATCCTGTCTCTACTAAAAATACAAAAATTAGCCAGGTGTGGTGGTTGGCGCCTGTAATCCCAGCTATTTGGGAGGCTAAGGCAGGAGAATCGCTTGAGCCCAGGAGGCGGAGGTTGCAGTGGGAGGTTGCAGTGAGCAGAGATTGCACCACTGCACTCCAGCCTGGGCAACAAGAGCGAAACTCTGTCTCAAAAAAAAAAAAGTGTTTGAACAGGGTATACGTGGCAGAATAGCAGCTGTGAAAAAAAATGTGAAACTGCAGTATTTTAAAGATAGATAATTTTGAAAAACCAGCAAACAAACCCTCCACAAAACTATGATATCCCTAACATTTTACTGTCTCAGTACTTCTATACATAGGGTCATTAAGTCTGCCCTCGGGTCATTTGTGGTAAGTAGTACTACCCTTATTGAATTTGTGAGAATACTGAGGCTCAGAGAAGTTTAAGTTCTCTTTTCTTTTTTTTGAGACAGGGTCTTGCTGTGTCACCCAGGTTGGAGTGCAGTGGTGTAATCACAGCTCAAGCTCCCTGGCTCAAGCCATCCTCCCACCTCAGCCTCCCAAGCAGCTGGCACTGTAGGTGCACACCACTGTGCCTGGCTAATTAAAACATTTTTTTTTTGTAGAGACAGGGTCTCACTCTGTTGCCCAAACTTGTCTCGAACTCCTGGGCTCAAGCAGTCCTCCCTGCCTTGGCCTCCCAAAGATTATGGGTGTGAGCCACTGCACCTGGCCAGGTTTAAGTTCTGAAGCTAGAATGCAAACCTGTCTTTTGTGGTGAAATCTTATTACTGTTACCCTTGCTTTGTTCTCCAGAGTGTTGTCAGATATTAAAAATGAATGGCTTATATTGTAAAATGACAGACTAAAGATTAGTGGTATAGTTTTGATTATTTGAAAATATAGCAGATAATTCTTGTACAAATAATTCGGCAGGGCAGCTCTTCGGCTTTTGGTTTCTTAATAGGCTGATTTTTGCTTTTAACAGGATGCCTTGGGTATGGTTGGAAGTGCCTACCTGCCTGGCTGGCATGTAAATGATAGAGAAATCTGATCTGCCTCTTTACAACTTTGCATCAGAGCAGAGGGCAGCTGAGATAGTAGAGTTTGTTAGATGGTACCTTTTGGCTGTAGAGAGTGTTAATATTTATGTATAATTAATTAGCACATTTGGGAATGGAAAACAATTTCTCTCCTCTGCTGGATTTCTCCCCTCTTGTAGATTGCAAGATTTATGTGTTTGGAGGAATAAGAATCTTCCACTTTCTCAGTGGCATAGCAACTCTACATGCTAATGCTTTCAAAAGAAACAAAAATCTTAAAATGGAGTTTGTTTTTTTTTAATTGATATGTCATTTCTTATTTGGGGCTCACAGCTCTTGTGCTGTAAAGAGCATACCAAATCTTTTTTTGCTTGGTTAAGATGTCTCCATTGTTTTTGTTTTTAAAATATGAAGTGTTTTTTCTCTCTCTTTTCTCCCTCAGTCCTTACTTGGTTTATTTTATTATTATTATCTTATTTTTTATTTTTATTTATTTATTTTATTTATTTATTTATTTTAAGATGGAGTTTCGTTCCTGTTGCCCAGGCTGGAGCGCAATGGTGCGACCTTGGCTCACTGCAACCTCCACCCGCCGGGTTCAAGCAATTCTCCTGCCTCAGCCTCAGCTGGGATTACAGGCGCCCGCCAAAATGCCTGGCTAATTTTTTGTATTTTTAGTAGAAATGGGGTTTCACCATGTTGGCCAGGCTGGTCTCGAACTCCAGACCTTAGGTGATCCACCCACCTTGGCCTCCCAAAGTGCTGGGATTACAGGCGTGAGCCACCACGTCTGGCCTATTTATTTATTTATTTATTTATTTATTTATTTATTTATTTATTGAGACGTAGTCTTGCTGTGTCACCAGGATGGAGTATGGTGGCGCAATCTCGGCTCACTGCAACCTCCACCTCCTGGGTTCAAGCAATTCTCCTGCCTCAGCCTCCCGAATCGGTGGGACTACAGGCATGTGCCACCATGCCCAACTAATTTTTGTATTTTTAGTAGAGACGGGGTTTCACCATCTTGGCCAGGATGGTCTCAATCTCTTGATCTCGTGATCCACCTGCCTCAGCCTTCCAAAGTGCTGGGATTACAGGCGTGAGCCACTGCGCCCAGCCTATTACCTTATTATTATTATTATTTTTTAAAGAGATAAGATCTTGCTATGTTGCCCAGGCTGGTCTTGAACTCCTGGGCTCAGGTGATCCTCCTGCCTCGGCCTCCTAAGGTGCTGGGGTTACAGGCATGAGCCATTGTACCCAGTCTCCTTAATTGGTTTAATGCTAAATGTTTAAGCTTATAAACTTAAGAAGGAACCTCATAATACTTTGGGTTTACAGTGGAGCTCTCCTTTTAAACTTGCATTGGGTGGGTAAACTTGCTCTGTGGTTGCCCTGGAAAAAGAGGGGCTTAGGTGAGGTGAACATTGCTTTGATTCCATACTGTACTGCTGTTGAGAGACTATCTGCAGGCTGAAGTTTGGATAGGATAATTTGTATACCCAGTTAGTAAATTTTTTCTTTTTTTTGAGATGGAGTCTCTCTCTGTCGCAAGGCTGGAGTGCAGTGGTGCGATCTCGGCTCACTGCAACCCCCACCTCCCAGGTTCAAGCAATTCTCCTGCCTCAGCCTTCTGAGTAGCTGGGACTACAGTCACGCGCCACCACACCCGGCTAATTTTTGTATTTTAGTAGAGATGGGGTTTCACCATGTTGGCCAGGATGGTCTCTATCTCTTGACCTTGTGATCCGCCTGCCTCGGCCCCAGTTAGTAAATTTTAATCCGCCATGTGCTGAGCACTGTGCTAGATGCTAGAGATTTAGAAATGAGTCTGACAAAATGCCAGTCTTCTAAGAGTTCATGGTCTATACTCTAGACAGACAATGAACCAGTTTCAATGTGCCTAGGGTGTTTTCACTTATAAATGTACAGGATTCTAGGGGAGGGATATAGGAACTGCCTGGAAGAATGAGAAGGAGGGTATCAGTGGATGTACACACACAGGCTGTGAAAATATTCCTTTTCTGGGCAGAAGGAGGGTTTTAGATGGTCAGATGGGAACAGGGGAGAGAGGTATAGGAGGCAAGGTTGGAGAAGTATTAGTAATAAAGCCAGCTTCTAGCTTCTTTTTTTTTTTTTTTTTTTTTGAGATGGAGTCTCGCACTGTCACCCAGGCTGCAGTGCAATGGTGTGATCTTGGCTCACTGCAACCACCACCTTCTGGGTTCAAGCGATTCTCCTGCCTCAGCCTCCTGAGTAGCTGGGATTACAGGCGCGTGCCACCACGCCCAGCTAATTTTTTTATTTTTAGTAGAGATGGGGTTTCACCATGTTGGTCAGGCTGGTCTCAAACTCCTGGCCTTGTGATCCGCCTGCTTTGGCCTCCCAAAGTGCTGGGATTACAGGCGTGAGCCACCACGCCTGGCCCTGTTTTCATTCTTCTTCTTTCTTCTTCTTTTTTTTTTTTTCCGCTGAGACAGAGTCTTGCTCTGTCACCCAGGCTGGAGTGCAGTGGCGCGATCTCGGCTTACTGTGACCTCCGCCTCCCAGGTTCAAGCGATTCTCCTGCGTCAGCCTCCCGAGTAGCTGGGACAGGCGCCCGCCACCACGCCTGGCTAATTTCTTGTATTTTTAGTAGAGACGGGGTTTCACCCTGTTAGCTAGGATGGTCTCAATCTCCTGACCCCGTGATCCGCCCGCCTCAGCCTCCCAAAGTGCTGGGATTACAGGTGTGAGCCACCGTGCCCGTCCAGCTTCCTTTTTAAAGCATAATAAAGCTGACTTACTTTTTGTCAGGTATGAGCTAAGTCATATATATATATAATATATAAAATATGTATGTATATCATATATTTTATATGTATGTGTATGTGTGTGTATGTATGTTTGTACATAACAAAACCATGCCAGCACTGTTTGAATATCAAGGGGCTTTAGAACTGGTAAATTGAAGGCTGGGTGCAGTGGCTAACGCGTGTAATTCCAGCACTTTGGGAGGCCGAGGCAGGCAGATCACCTGAGGTCGGGAGTTCAAGACCAACCTGGCTGACATGGCGAAACCCTGTCTCTACTGAAAATACAAAAATTAGCCAGGTGTGGTGGTGGGCGCCTGTAGTTTCCCAGCTACTTGGGAGGCTGAGGTGGGAGAATCACTTGAACCTGGGAGGTGGAGGCTGCATTGAGCCGAGATTGCACCATTGCATTCCAGCCTGGGCAACAGAGCGAGACTCTGTCTCAAAAATAAAACAAAACAAACAAAAAGAACTGGTAAATTGAAACTGCAGCCATTTTCTTTATATCCTGAAAAATCTGTTGAAATTAATAACTAAATATTTATAAAGCACAAAGCTTGAGATTAGAAAATAAAAATGATCTGCTTGTTTCCTATTAGAGCTGTGCTGTAAGTTGCTGGAGGGCTTCCCCAATTTCAAGGCTGAATAAACTCTGAACTCCTCTGATTCTATGATATGTTTTCAATTTGTAGCAATGATTTTCTACTCTGGTGCATGTCAGACTCATGGAACTTTCTGGAAATACAAATGGAACAAGGCATTACAGAATGTTTAAAATCAGCAAAATGGCCAAACTTAGATCAAGATTCAAAAAATATTTTTCTTAAAATGTTGAAAACCTGTTAACTTTCTGTGTGGATAGAAAGGATTGTTAAAGTCAGTTGAATATCCCACTCAGTGACCCTTCTCTGTTAACGTTAATAACTTTCCTCCTTGATTATTTATTTTTTGTTTTGAGATGGAGTCTCACTCTTGTTGCCCAGGCTGGAGTGCAGTGGCAAAATCTTGGCTCACTGAAACCTCCACCTCCGTGGTTCAAGCAATTCTCTTGCCTCAGCCTCCTGAGTAGGTGGGATTACATGTGCAAGCCACCACGCCAGGCTAATTTTTTTTTTTTTAATCTTTTTGAGACGGATTCTCGCTCTGTCGCCAGACTGGAGTGCAGTGGCACTATCTCAGCTCACTGCAACCTGTGCCTCCTGGGTTCAAGTGATTTTCCTGCCTCAGCCTCCTGAGTAGCTGGGACCACAGGCGCGAGACACCACGCCTAGCTAATATTTGTATTTTTAGTAGGGACAGGGTTTCACCATGTTGGCCAGTATGGTCTCCATCTCTTGACCTCGTGACCCACCCACCTCGGCCTCTTAAAGTGCTGGGATTACACTGCGCCTGGCCCTAATTTTTGTATTTTTAGTAGAGGTGGGGTTTCGCCATGTTGGCCAGGTTGGTCTTGAACTCCTGACCTCAGGTGATCCACCCGCCTTGGCCTCCTAAAGTACTGGAATTACAGGTGTGAGCCAACACATCCTGGCCCCACTTTCCTCCTTTATCTTATCTGGCTTTACTTAGGATCTTTAACATGGCTCATAGCAGCTACCTAAATTATATAAAATTTTCTGGAGACAGTAGACAGCTTTTAGCGTTTTTGTTTTGTTTTGTTTTGTTTTGTTTTGTTTTTTTGAGATGGAGTCTCGCTCTGTTGCCCAGGCTGGAGTGCAGTGGCACAATCTCGGCTCACTGCAACCTCCGCCTCCCGGGTTCAAGTGATTCTTCTGCCTCAGCATCCCAAGTAGCTAAGACTACAGGTGCGTGCCACCACGCCTGGCTAATTTTTTGTATTTTTAGTAGAGACAGGGTTTCACTGTGTTAGCCAGGATGATCTCAATCTCCTGACCTCGTGATCCGCCGCCTCGGCCTCCCAAAATGCTGGGATTACAGGCGTGAGCCACCATGTCCAGCCTTTTTTTTAAAGAGACAGGATCTTACTCTGTAGCCCAGGCTGTAATGCAGTGGCTTGATGATAGCTCACTGAAACCTCGAACTCCTGGATTCCAGCAATCCTCCTGCCTCAGCCTCCCAAATATCTAGGACTACACGTGCATACCATCCTGCCAGCTAATTTTTTTTTTTTTTTTTTTTTTGGTAGAGATAGGGTCTTGCCACCTTGCCCAGGTTGGTCTCGAACCCTTGGTCTCAGCAGTCCTCTTGCTGGGATTACAGGTGTGAGCCCCTATGCCCGGCGGACAACTTCATTATACCCAAGGAAGAATTAAGGCTCTCTTGCCCAAATTTCTATGCAAATGGACTTTTGTCTTCTGTATCCAGAAACTAGAAGAGGTACCTCCTATTCTTTTCCAGTCAGAATTATTTGCCTCTTATCTTTAGTTCTTTGTGCTTCAATATGTACGGAGCATTATGTCTAATTTGACCATGTGACTAACACAAGTTTAGAGAAGCTTTTGCTGTCTGTAGAACACAGTTGTGTTTACAAAGTTCTCAGAGTTTAAAAAATCCACGTGTATTTCAGAACTAAATTTTTTCAAGTTTAATTAGAACATAAGGTATCAAATAAAGTAGTAAAAGTTTTTTCTGGCCAGGCGCAGTGGCTCACGCCTTGTAATCCCAGCACTTTGGGAGGCCAAAGCGGGCGGATCACAAGGTCAGGAGATTGAGACCATCCTGGCTAACACGGTGAAACCCCGTCTCTACTAAAAACACAAAAAATTAGCCAGGCGTGGTGGCAGGCGCCTGTAGTCCCAGCTACTCAGGAGGCTGACGCAGGAGAATGGCGTGAACCTGGGAGGCGGAGCTTGCAGTGAGCCAAGATTGTGCCACTGCACTCCAGCCTGGGCGACAGAGTGAGAGTCTCGAAAAAAAAAAAAAAAAGCTTTTTCTGCTCAAAGTTGCCTGTAACACCAAATGAATAAAGGATGTGGTAAATTATTTTCTTCCTGTTACTACACCTCAGAACCTACTGCGTCATTGCTGCATTGTGTTATAGGATGTGCTTTTTTATTGTTAGTCACAATTAGATTATAAGTTCCATGAGGACAGATGGTTTGTTTTGCTCCCTCCCTAATCTCAATGTCTAGCATATAGTAAATATTTACTAAATGAATGAAAAATGTCCTAGTTTTTTCCTGCTTATTTCTGCATCTCTTTGTTTCTTTTCCTTCCTATTTTCGTTGTACTTAAAATTTACATGACTCATGTTGAAGGACTTTCAATAGTTTTTTTTTTCAGAGCTTTATTGAGATATAATTTATATATCATGAAATTCACCCATTTTAAGTGTACAATTTATTTTTAGTAAACTTACAGACTTGTACAGCTATCACCACACTTTGAGAACATTTTTCACCCCCAAAAGTTCCCTCTTTTGTGTCTATTTGCAGTCACTCCCCATTCCCCCTGCAGCCCCAGCCTACCGCTCATCTACTTTGTGTTTTTCTGGTTTTAACTTCTCTGGGAATTTTACATAAATGGAATCATTCAATATGTGGTCTTTTTTGAGCCTGGCTTACTTTTTACTTTGCATAATGCCTTTTTTTTTAATTGAGGTGAAATTCGGATAACATATAATTAATCTTTTAAAGTGTATAATTTTGTGGCATTTAGCGCATTCACAATGTTATGCACCCACGGCAGCTCTCTAGTTGAAGAATCTTTTCATTCCCTCAGAAGAACAACCTGTACCCAATAAATAATCACTTTTCATTCTCCCCTCCTTTCATCTCCTGGCAACCATCAGTTGGCTCTATGGGTTAACTATTCTGGATATTGCATATAAAAGAAATCATACAATATGTGATTTTTTTGTGTCTGGCTGCTTTTATTTAAATGTTTTTGGGGTTCATCCAAGTTGCATATGTCAGTAATGATTCCTTTTTATGGCTGAAGACAGGGTCTTTTGCTCTGTCACCCAGGCTAGAGTGCAGTGCCATGATTGCAGTTCACTGCAACCTTGACCTCCCAGGCTCAAGCCATCCTCCCACCTCAGCATCTGAAGTAGCTGTGACAACAGGCATTAGCCGCTGTGCCTGGCTAATTAATTTTGTTTGTTTGTTTTTGTAGAGACGAGGTCTTATTATATTGCCCAGGCTGGTGATCATTCCATCTTGGCCTCCCAAAGCACTGGGATTACAGACATGAGCCACTACACCTGCCCCATTTTTTTTAATTTTTAAAGTTAAAATTAAGAGATAGTCTCCCTCTGTTGCGCAGGCTGAAGTGCAGTGGTACAATCATGGTTCATCACAGCCTCGACCTCCTGGGCTCAATGGATCCCCTACCCCAGCCCCCTGAGTAGCTGGGACTCAAGTGCATGCCACCTCGCCTGACTAATTTTTAAATTTTTTGTAAAGACACGGGGTCTTTCTATGTTGTGCGGGCTGGTCTCAAACTCCTGAGCTCAAATGATCCTCCTGCCTTGGCCTCCCAAAATGCTGAGATTATAAGCATGAGCCACTGCACCCGGCCCCTTGTCAATTCTTATAGGACCATTGCATTCATTTAAATGGCTACATAGAGGTTTGTACTATAACTGTACCAATATTCCCTTAATTTCTTTTTCTAGGCAATTTGTTTCTCCCTTTTGAATATTATATATGATAATATAATGATTATGGCGTTTGCATATACACATGTATGTACATATGCACATATACATATATATGTATTTACTGTCAGCCCTTTGTATCCGTGGGTACCACATCTGTGGATTTTTATTTTTTTAATTTAAAAAATTAAAAAAACATTTTTTTAAGAGACAGTTTTACTCTGTCGCCCAGGCTGAAGTGCAGTGTTGCCATCATGCAAATACTTTCAGGAAAAAAATTCCACAAAGTTCCAAAAAGCAAAACTTGAATTTGCTGTGTCAAGTACTACATTAAATCCACAGGAATGAAGTAGTGTATAGGCATATTAGTAGGTATTATAAGTAATCTAGAGATGATTTAAAGTACACAGGAAGATATGCATAGGTTATATGCAGATACTGTGCTATTTTATATTTTTGAGTATCTTCAGATTTTGGTATCCATGGGGGTCTACGGAACCAATTCCCCATAGATACTGAGGGATGATTGTATACACAAATATATGTATATATTCATCTATACGTGTGTGTGTGTGTACACACACACACACATTTATTTCTCTCCACATGTGAGTTTTGTTTAGAACATATTCCTAGAACTGGAATTGTTGCTGGGTTAAAGGCAGTTTACATTTAAAATTTTGACAAAGGCTGTCAAATTATCCTTCTCAATGTTAAGATCACTCTGATAAGTGTGAAGAGAATTGATTGGCAATGGGAAAAAAGGTTTGGAGGCTACTGCAAGTCATCCAAGCAAGAAATGATGTGCCTCAGACTAGGATGATAGTGGAGATCAAGGTAGGTAGACTGATTTAAGAGATGAAGTGGGAGGGAGAACAGATGGAATTGTTAATGAAGTAGATGTGAGTAGTGAAAGGAAGGAGTCTAGAATGACTCAGGTGGATCTGTGACTTCAACTAGAGTTGCTATGTGAGATGAAGCCTACTTGTCATGGCCAGACCAGATGACTTCACAGATACTCTGTAACTCTGACATTTTATGATTTTAGAATTTATGACAGCACCCTTATTTATAGATTGAATGAGATCCATATTGAATACTGTGTCTTTTATAGCAGTAAAGATATAATTTCATTTGATTGGCATTTGTAGAGCAAGCACTGACACATTAAGTCTGTCACTAAACTATATAGTTTTTTTTTTTTTTTTTTTTTTTTTTTTGAGATGGAGTCTTGCTCTGTCACCGAGGCTGGAGTGCAGTGGCGCAATCTTGGCTCACCACAACCTCTGCCTCCCAAGTTCAAGTGATTCTCCTACCTCAGACTCCTGAATAGCTAGGATTACAGGAGTGCGCCACCACGCCCAGCTAATTTTTTTTTTGTATTTTTAGTAGAGACAGGGTTTCACCATGTTTGCCAGGCTAGTCTCGAACTTCTGACCTCAAATGATCCAGCCGCCTCGGCCTCCCAGAGTGCTGGGATTACAATAGTAAGCCACCGTACTTGGCCTAAACTGTATAGATTTTTTCTCATCTCTGGAATCTATTTGTTTTCCTTCTGTTCATAAGCCACACATCTAACCTAAGCCACTACCTTTGTCTATCAACTATAGCCAAAGTGATCTTTATACAATCTAATTTGCAATGACTCATTTTCTCCAGGTACTTTATATTGTAACAGAAGTGCTATGTCCGCTGCTGATCCACTCACAGGGAACATTTCAAAATGGTTCTGCTTGGCCAGGCGCGGTGGTTCACACCTGTAATCCCAGCACTTTGGGAGGCCAAGGTGGGTGGATCACTTGAGGTCAGGAGTTCATGACCAGTCTGGCCAATGTGGCAAAACCCTGTCTCTACTAAAAATACAAAAATTAACAGGCCAGGCACGGTGGCTCACGCCTGTAATCCCAGCACTTTGGGAGGCTGAGGCAGGCGGATCACCTGTCAGGAGTTCAAGACCAGCCTGGCCAACATGATGAAACTCCATCTCTAAAAAAATACAGGCCAGGCGCGGTGGCTCACGCCTGTAATCCCAGCACTTTGGGAGGCCAAGGTGGGTGGATCACTTGAGGTCAGGAGTTCATGACCAGTCTGGCCAATGTGGCAAAACCCTGTCTCTACTAAAAATACAAAAATTAACAGGCCAGGCACGGTGGCTCACGCCTGTAATCCCAGCACTTTGGGAGGCTGAGGCAGGCGGATCACCTGTCAGGAGTTCAAGACCAGCCTGGCCAACATGATGAAACTCCATCTCTAAAAAAATACAGGCCAGGCGCGGTGGCTCACGCCTGTAATCCCAGCACTTTGGGAGGCCAAGGTGGGTGGATCATGAGGTCAGGAGATCGAGACCATCCTGGCTAACACGGTGAAACCCCGTCTCTACTAAAAATACAACACATTAGCTGGGTGTGGTGGCGGGTGCCTGTAGTCCCAGCTACTGGGGAGGCTGAGGCAGGAGAATGGCATGAAGCCGGGAGGCGGAGCTTGCAGTGAGCCGAGATGTCACCACTGCACTCCAGCCTGGGCGACAGAGCGAGACTCCGTCTCAAAACAAAACAAAACAAAACAAAAACAAAAAACCCATCTCTTAAAAAATACAAAAATATAGCCGGGCATGGTGGCGGGCGCCTGTAGTCCCAGCTACGCCGGAGGCTGAGGCAGGAGAATGGCGTGAACGTGGGAGGCGGAGCTTGCAGTGAGCCGAGATCGCGCCACTGCATTCCAGCCTGGGCTACAGAGCGAGACTCCGTCTCAAAAAAAAAAAAAAAAAGAAAGAAAGAAAAAAAGAAAATTTCACTACTTTATATCATAACATTATCAATAAATTTGGTAGACTTCTTATTCAATTGGAATGATACAAATTAGATGGAATATAGATGTGGGCAGAAATAAAATTGCCAGGTTGAATATATTGAAGGTATAGTTTGTTTTCAAAGAAATACTGTATTTCCTATATTGTCTTAATATTATCACATTGAACAACTATTTGTGATTGAGTGTGGAAGACTATGAACTGACCCACTGCTTGGTTTTGAGGGGCTTAGGTCTATTGTAAAAGACTTTTGCAAAAAGGGAGGATAAAAATGCGGCCTGGTGACATAATAATGACTAAATGTTGCTTCTTTATTTTGCAGTTCCAGTTCCTAGCAGATTTAATAGACGAGTATCAGGTATGTGTTCTATTTCATAACATACTTCTAAAATGTTATTTTAAGATAGGAATATATTGAAAAAACAGATATTTTGAATAAAAAGATAAGCTCCCATCACAGAACATTATCTAAAAGTAAAATTACCTATGGTTTCTTTATTCTGTTTTTATTTTAAGTTCTGAGTATGTATGTACGTATTTTATACTATAATTGGTACAGTTTGTCTCTTTGCGTTTATGTCATTACTGTTTTTTCATGTTTATAATTACAGCTTCAAAAAATGATTTTTCATATTCCTTTTTCTGGTATTCTGGCTTATGCTGCCATTAACTCTTACATATACCTTTTTGAGCCACTTGAATTATTTCCTCAGTTTTGGTGCTGGAAGTGGCATTCTCTGGTCAGAGACTGAGCATTGCCTTGGCTTTTTCTGTCTTGTTTTGTAGAGAGAGTCCACAGATTAGGCTACTGGGAGAAAGGCACCCTGTACCTGCCTCTTTTCCACCATTATCTTAATAATATGGAATTTAAATGTAAAATAGTACTTCACATCATTTTATATGGCATTTCTTTTGGTTGTTAAAAAAATGAATGCTGTCCAGGCGCGGTGGCTCACACCCATAATCCCAGTACTTTGGGAGGTCTTGGCGGGTGGATCACGAGGTGAGGAGTTTGAGACCAGTCTGGCTAACATGGTGAAACCCCGTCTCTACTAAAAGTACAAAAAAATTAGCCAGGCACAGTAGCGCGCCCCTGTAGTCCCAGCTACTTGGGAGGCTGAGGCAGAGAATCACTTGAACCCAGGAGGTGGAGATTTCAGTGAGCCAAGATCACGCTACTGCACTCCAGCCTGGGCAACAGAGTGAGACTCTGTCTCAAAAAAAAAAAAGAATGCTTTCCAAATATGAGAAATCTATTTGTATTTTCTTATATGGTACTAGTTTGGTAATATTTTGCCCTTTTATCTGGTATAGTCCATATTATTTTAAAAATAAGTTTGGGTAAACTTTCTATCCAAGTTTTTGACCTTTTGAAATTTTCAATGCAAAATTTCCCTAGGTGGTTATGCTATTTTTTTAATTGAGTTAGAGATGTTAATATATGACTGATAACCTCAAACACTGCTGGACACATAGGCACTCAGTAAATATTTATTGAATATGCACATCATCTTTTTTAAAAAAAAAACAATGATTGTTCCTGAGAAGGCTCCCCTTTTTTCCATAGAGCTGGTAAATATATTTTATGAAAGTTTTTCTTAAAGTGTTTGACTTTTTGATAACTCTGGAATTTATTTGGGAGTACAGTGGAATGTTAATGTGTTTTAAAATTGCTAGGCAAATGGTATGTTCTTTCATATTTCCTTGTTTTAGGAAGGTTTCTTGATTTGAAATTGTCATCTGGCCTATTATAGGGCTAGGAATTGCTTTTCTATCCCTCAATCCTTGTCTTTGAGAAAATCGGCTCATTTATGTTTTCAGAAAGCGTTTATCATTCCACATAAAAATCTGTTGAAAGGAGGTTGAAGAATATGTTATGTTAAGAGAGTCAATATCCTGAGAGTAGGGATTAAGGTTAGTTTGATACCCATGAGCTATTATCTTCCATTTTTGTTCATGTCTGCCCTGCACCTTTTTTTCCTCTGAAAGATTAGTTAAATCCCTTGACATCTGTAGGATAGGTCTGGGAGATGGAGACTATAGTGATACCTCCTCCTGAGGTCACAGTTGGTGTTAGTTTGTTTGGCCCTCTGCCATTGTTGTTCAAATCTTGAACCTTGTAGAAGACTCAGACAAGTACATGGTATTATCCCTCCTCCTTAGATTTTATAATCTTAGGATTTAAAACCTTTTCATATCATTGAAATGTTAAATGAAAATAAAAGATTTTTCAAATAATTCAATAGGATGATACAGGAGAGAAAGTATCCTTTAATAATACGTAACATTTTTTAAGTGCAGACCGTGTGCCAGGTGCACAGTTATAAGGACTTTCTAAATGCCTTCCTTGTATTGTTGAATATAATCTTCAAAATAACACTTTGAGTGAGGCCCATACCATGATTATCCCCAATTTACAGACAAGGAAACTGGGAACAAAGCAGAGGTTAAGTAACTTGCAATAGGTGAGGTGAGCATATGCCCATAGGTAGCATGGATCCTAAGTACCACCCTTGCTATCTCTAAGATTCTTTCTTGCACCCTCTGGAACTCTTGGTTAGTCTTCAGCTAAATCCGCCAAATTCTCACCCTGTTCTCTCAGTGCAGCTTTCACTTTCCAGCTGTAGCTGAAGCTTGGCTTGCCCTGTAGGCTTCTCAAACAATGGCTCTGTCCTCTTCTACCTTCCTTGTAACACTGACAGGAAATGGGTGAATGTCTCTATTGATTCTCTTGGCTGCTTCCAGAGCATTCTCTCTCCCTTCTCCCTGAAAGCTTCTTAAAACTTCGCATTATGGCTGGCCATCGTGGCTCACACCTGTAATCCCAGCACTTTGGGAGACTGAGGTGCGAGAATTGCTTGAGCCTAGGAGTTTGAGACCAGCTGGGGCAACACAGTGAGACCCCATCTCTCAAAAAATTAAAAAAAAATAGCTGGGCATGATGGTGCACACATGTAGTCCTAGCTATTCAGGAGGCTGAGTTAAGAAGATTGCTTGAGCCTGGGAGGTCAATGCTGCAGTGAGCTGTGATCGTTCCACTGTACTCCAGCCTGGGTGACAGAGTGAGATTCTATCTCAAAAAAAAAATTAAAATTAAACTTAACATTATTATATTTTACCAGCCACTGCTTCTCCTTGTTTTAGTCATCTAACAATCCCCAGGTTGTTCCTTCTTATTTCCACATATAGATGATTCTTCCAATGTCTGGCCTTCCATTCTTTGACCTCCTCTCCTCCAAGGATCTTGTCCTCCAGTTGTCCACCCTACTTCAGCCACTCATTCCCAATGGTAATACTCTGGTATGACAAGCATTGCAACTCTTTGTCATTTCAGTGAGTGGTCCCATTCTGCAACCACTGCCTGCTGTCTTCTCACCTCCTTTGCTGTCCTACCCAGACCTGGATAACTTGTTGATTCTGCCGTCTTTTTGCTATTCCCCACTTCTTCCTTACTAACCTTAAATTCCTGAGTCAGTGATTATAATCACTCCCTGGCACATACCCTCAATTTGCTTTCCCTGTTTTTAAATTTTTAATTTTTTTTTTTGAAACAGGATCTCACTCTGTACCCATGTTAGAGTGCAGTGGCATGATCACGGCTCATTGCAGCCTCAACTTCCTAGGCTCCAGTGATCCTCCTGCCTCAGCCTCCTGAGTAGCTGGGACCACAGGTGCACGCTACCATGCCTGGCTAATTTTTGTATTTTTAGTGGAGACAGGGTTTCGCCATGTTGCCTAGGCTGGTCTTGAATTCCTGAGCTCAAGCAATCCACTTAGCTTGGCCTTCCAAAGTGCTGGTTTTACAGGTGTGAGCCACCACACCTGGCCTTACTTTTCCCTTTTTATTTGCTTTGCTAAACCGACTTTGTTAAGTTCAATTCTCCACTTCGTGCCTGTACCAATAATAGCTGAACCTGATTGGAGGAAAATAGATAGCCTTATTGACTGATCTTACTTTCAGTTCATGATTATTAACTTCTAGTAGGCTCTTGATACCAGCAATCATGCTATATTCTCATGCTTTTTTTTTAATAAATTTTTTTGAGACAGAGTCTTGCCTTGTCGCCCAGGCTAGAGTACAGTGGCACAATCTTGGCTCACTGCAACCTCCACCTCTTGAGTTCAAATGATTCTCATGCTTTAGCCTAATTTTTGTATTTTAGTAGAAACGAGGTTTCACCATGTTGGCCAGGCGGGTCTTGAACTCCTGGCCTCAAGTAATCTGCCTGCCTCGGCCTCCCAGCGTAAGCCACTGCGCCTGGCCTTTTAAAATAAATTTTAGGCCAGGCATGGTGGCTCACGCCTGTAATCCCAGCACTTTGGGAGACTGAGGCGAGTGGATCACCTGAGGCCAGGAGTTTGAGAGCAGACTGGCCAAGATGGTGAAACCCTGTCTTTACTAAAAATACTAAAAATTGGCTGGGTGTGGTGGCAGGTGCCTGTAATCCCAGCTACTCAGGAGGCTGAGGCAGGAGAATTGCTTGAACCTGGGAAGCGGAGGTTACAGTGAGCTGAGCTTTCGCCATTGCACTCCAGCCTGGGTGACAAGAGCAAGACTCTAAATAAATAAACAAATAAACAAATAAATAAGAAAGACAGTGTCTCCTTCTATTGCCCAGGCTGGGCTAGAGTGCATTGGTACAATCATAGGTTACTGCAGCCTTGAAATCTTGGGCTTAGGGGATCCTCCTGCCTCAACCTCCCAAGTAGCTGGGACGACAAGTGTGCACCACCATGCCCAGCTAATTTATTTTTTGTAAAGACAAGGTCTCCCTTTGTTGCCCAGGCTGGTCTCAAACTCCTGGTTTCAAACTATCCTCTTGTCTTGGCCTCCCAGTGTTGGGATTACAGGTGTGAGCCACATGCTCCATGCTTTTTTCACTCTTCTGTTCTCCTAGATAAGTCTTTCATACCTTCCCCTTCTCAAAACCTCCTATACCTCCTTCCTCATCCTTAGCAGATGATCTTGTTCTCTATTTAACCAAGGAAATAGGAAAACAGAAGAGAATTTCCAGAATCCCATCACCATATATATTCTTCACTTGCCTGTGAGTTTACGGTATCCACCTGTGCGAGATCCCATCCCTTCATCCTTTTAGCTGTTAGCTCCTCTCCTGCATAATCTTTGATCTTTTAACTCAATTCTTTCAGCAAAGAAACATATCGTTGGCTCTATTTCTTAAAAAATGAACTTTTTTTTGACTGTTGTTGTCTCTCCAACCTTTTTCTCTCCATACCTTTAAAACAAAACCGCGTGAAGTAGCTGTTTGTATTTGTTGTTTCTAGTTGTTCTACTTCTATTCTGAGACTGAGTCTGGCTGTGTCACCCAGGCTGGAGTGCAGTGGTGTGATCTCGGCTCACTGCGACTTCCACCTCCCAGGTTCAAGTGATTCCTGTACCTCAGCCTCTGAGTAGCTGGGATTACAGGTGTGCGCCACCATGCCTGGCTAATTTTTGTGTTTTTAGTAGAGACAAGGTTTTGCCATGTTTGCCAGGCTGGCCTTGAATGCCTGGCCTCTTAAGCCTATTCTAATCAGACTTTTTTTTTTTTCCTTTTAAACTCAGTGGTAAGAATCTAATCAGACTCTTGCTTCTGTATCTCACCAAAATTATCTTTGTTGTTTGCTCACTCACATTCTTCAGACCTTCATTTAAAGGACACCTTTTTCAGGCTGGGCGAGGTGGCCTGTAATCCCACCACTTTGGGAGGCCAAGGCGAGTGGATCACTTGAGGTTGGGAGTTTGAGATCAGCCTGGCCAACATGGTGAAATCCTGTCTCTACTAAAAATAAAAATTTGGCCAGGTGCGGTGGCTCACACTTGTAATCCCAACACTTTGGGAGGCCGAGACAGTGGATCACCTGAGGTCAGGAGTTTGAGACTAGCCTGGCCAACATCGTGAAACCCCATCTCTACTAAAAATACAAAAATAGATGGGCGTGGTGGCAGGCGCCTATAATCCCAGCTACTCAGGAGGCTGAGGCAGGAGAATCGCTTCAACCCGGGAGGCAGAGTTTGCAGTGAACCGAGATCGTACTGTTGCACTCCAGCCTGGGCGACAAGAGTGAAACTCTGTCTCAAAAAAATTAAATAAATAAATAAATACACAAAGTTAGCTGGCACATGCCTGTATCCCAGCTTCTTGGGAGGCTGAGGCAGGAGAATCGCTTGAACTCTGGAGACGGAGGTTATAGTGAACTGAGATTGTGCCATTGCACTCCAGCCTGGGCAACAAGTATTAAACTCCGTCTCAAACAAACAAAAAAATACAAAAATTAGCTGGGCGTGGCTGAGGCAGGAGAATCGCTTGAACCCAGGAGACGAAGGTGGCAGTGAGCTGAGATCGCACCACTGCATTCCAGCCAGTGCTATAGAGCAAGACTCAGTCTCAAAATAAAACAAAATAAAATAAAATAAAGCTGGGCATGGTAGCTCATGCCTGTAATCCGAGCACTTTGGGAGGCTGAGATGGGCTGGTCACCTGAGGTCAGGAGTTCGAGATCAGCCTGGCCAACATTGTGAAACCCTGTCTCTACTAAAAATACAAAAATTTGGCTGGGCATGGTGGCTCACACCTGTAATCCCGGCACTTCGGGAGGCTGAGGTGTGCGGATCACCTGAGGTCAGGAGTTCAAGACCAGCCTGGCCAACATGGTGAAGCTTCGTCTTGACTAAAAATACAAAATTTAGCTGGGTATGGTGGCAGGTGCCTGTAATCCCAGCTACCTGGGAGGCTGAGGCAGGAGAATCACTTGAACCTGGGAGGCAGAGGTTGCAGTGAGCCAAAATCCTGCCATTGTACTCCAGCCTAGGCAACAAGAGCGAAATTCCGTCTCAAAAAATAATAAAAATACAAAAATTAAGCCAGTGTGGTGGCCCACGCCTGTAATCCCAGCTACTTGAGAGGCTGAGACATGAGAATCACTTGAACCCAGGAGGCAGTTTGCAGTAAGCCAAGATTGCGCCACTGCATTCCATTCTGGACGATGAGTGAGACTGTCCGCCTCAGCCAACAAAAAGAAAAGCCGTGCCTGGCTGGGCACGGTGGCTCATGCCTGTAATCCCAGCACTTTGAGAGGCTGAGGCGGGTGGATCACGAGGTCGGGAGATGGAGACCATCCTGGCTAACACGGTGAAACCCTGTCTCTACTAAAAATACAAAAAAAATAGCTGGGTGTGGTGGCGGGCGCCTGTAGTCCAGCTACTCGGGAGGCTGAGGCAGGAGAATGGCGTGAACCCGGGAGGTGGAGCTTGCAGTGAGCCGAGGAGATTGCGCCGCTGTACTCCAGCCTGCGCGACAGAGCAAGACTCCGTCTCAAAAAAAAAAGAAAAGAAAAGCCATGCCTTCCAATTTCTACATTCTAGCAAAACAGTCCCTCTACATCAAGTGATAGAGTAAATGAAGAGTTCATGAATTCCTTAAATGCGGCTTTCTTATGTAGTCCCAAATTAGTGTGTGTGTGTGTGTGTGTGTATATAGTTTTTTTTTTTTTTGAGACGGAGTCTCGCTCTGTTACTCAGGCTGGAGTCAGTGGCACGATCTTGGCTCACTGCAACCTCCACCTCCTGGGTTCAAGCGATTTTTCTGCCTCAGCCTCTCTAGTAGCTGGGACTACAGGCATGCACCACCACGCCTGGCTAATTTTTGTATTTTTAGTAGAGACAGGGTTTCGCCGTATTGGCCAGGCTGGTCTTGAACTCCTGACCTTGTCATCTGCCCGCCTCGGCCTCCCAAAGTGCTGGGATTACAGATGTGGGCCACTGTGCCCAGCCCTCCCAAATTAGTATTAATTATCTTTGAGTTGGAAATGTTAGTATGATTTTATTTAATTTAAAAACCTCCTTTGTCGGCCGACGTGGTGGCTCACGCCTGTAATCCCAGCACTTTGGGAGGCCAAGGCGGGTGGATCACAAGGTCAGGAGTTCAAGACCAGCCTCACCAACATAGTGAAACCCTATCTCTACTAAAAATACAAAAATTCACTGAGTGTGGTGGCAGGTGCCTGTAATCCCAGCTACTCGGGAGGCTGAGGCAGGAGAATTGCTTGAACCTGGGAGGTGGAGGTTGCAGTGAGCCAAGACTGTGCCATTGCACTGCAGCCTGGGCAACAGAGTGAGACTCTGTCTCAAAAAACAAAACAAATAAAAACCTTCTTTGTCAAAAAAAGCCCAACTTTTATTTATTAAATACATGTCGAAACATCAAAGCACATTAATCAGAAATGGGTGTATTGGCATCATGCCACATTTAGGAACAGAATATTTTGACTCTAGTGATGACTGTGACAGGCAGCAGAACAGTCCACTGAGAACCTGGTGCCATGTCAGTCACCTACTTCTGCATTGCAGGTGCTCTTCAGCAGACATCCCTGCCCTTTAAGGCTTATGTGCTTACTATATAATAAAATACTGATTTTTGTCCTTATATTCTTTCATAGTATGCAATATTTTTTTCATCTATAGCTACCTTCAGCTGAAATATTACTAAGTATTGCTTAAAATAATTTAGAAATCCAGTGTTGTGGACTACTTGGTTTCCCCCAAATTCATATATTGAAGTCCTAACCCCAATGTGATTATATTTTTGAGACAGAGCCTTTAAAGAGGTAATGAAGGTGAAATGAGGTCATAGGGTAGAACCCTAATCTAATAGGACTGATGTCCTTCTAAAGTGATCCTCCCATCTAGGCCTCCCAAAGTATTGGGATTACAGGTGTGAGCCACCATGCCAGGCCACTGTGTTGCTATTTTAATCTTCATTTCCTGTAGGTCTTGAGTATTTCATGACACACAATATAATGTTTGAGGTTGCGTAGGGGATCACACAGATTCTGGACCTTCTCCAGGTAACTTGTGTACTGTGGCAAGCAGCCAGATGTGCAGAACCCTTGGGGCAGCAACAATCAAGTAGGTACTGTAAAATGGATTTTTTCCTAGAAAATAAAGGAAGTAATTTAGGACCAGGACTAAGGAGAAGTAAAGAGATTGAGGGGAACAGAGGAAGAGGGCAAAGAGAGGTAAGTCCAGGGTTCAAAAGAAAAGGGAGGCTGGACACGAGGGCTTACGCCTGTAATCCCAGCATTTTGGGAGACCGAGGTGGGCAGATCACTTGAGGCCAGGAGTTCGAGACCAGCCTGGCCGACATGATGAAACCCCATCTCTACTAAAAATACAAAAATTAGCTGGGCCTGGTGGTGTGCGCCTGTAATTCCAGCTACTCAGGAGGCTGAGGCACGAGAATCACCTGAACCCGGGAGGCTTAGGTTGCAGTGAGCTGAGATTGTGCCACTGCATACCAGCATGGGTGACGGAGTGTGAGACTCTCAAAAAAAAAAAAAAAAATTAAAAAGGAAGATTTCATGCACAAAAGTAGAGAAAGTTAGTATAATACCCATGTACCCATTTATTTCCTGAAATGAAGTTTTTTTTTAATGTATTATTCTAAGTAGTTGTTTTGAACTCTTAGACCAAGGAGTAGCAATTGGAATACACTGAATTAAGGTCAAATATGAGAATATTTCTGAAGCAGAATTTGATGTATTCATTGGACAAGAGGTGAGAGAAGAAAGTCTGATTAATTCCAAATTTCTAGTTTAGAAAATTAGTCTGATAATGGCATTAATCAAGAGCACAGAGAACCAAGAAACTTGAAGTTTGACATAGTGTCTGGTTAGATGCCTTTGATGCAGCTTCCCCAGTTTCCTACTAGAATACCCAAGATGATGCAAAAAGTGACAATAGAAATGTCTAGGAGGCTGGGCATGGTGGCTCACACTTGTAATCCCAGCACTTTGGGAGGCCGAGGCCAGTGGATCACCTGAGGTCAGGAGTTTGAGACCAGCCTGGCCAATATGGCGAAACTCCATCCCTACTAAAAATACAAAAATTAGCTGGGTGTGGTGGCGGGCACCTGTAATCCCACCTGCTCAGGAGGCTGAGGCAGGAGAATTGTTTGAACCTGGGAGGCAGAGGTTGCGGTGAGCCAAGATGACGCCATTGCACTCCAGACTGGGCAACAAGAGCAAAACTGTGTCTCAAAAAAGAAAAGAAAAAAGAAATGTCTAGGAACTAAGATAGGTGTCTGCCTTAATCATTAGGGAAGAACTGAGATAATGCACCCTGGCCTC